>NC_000007.14:49937211-50240242 GCF_000001405.40 Homo sapiens | reverse complement strand
GTTTTGGTAATGGTAGCCTCGTAATATAATTTGAAATCCAGTAATGTGATGCCTCCAGATTTGTTCTTTTTGCTTAGTATTGCTTTGACTATGTGAGTTCTTTTTTGGTTCCATATGAATTTTAGTAATTTTTTTCTAGTTTTGCAAAGAATGATGATGGTATTTTGATGGGCGTTGCATTGAATCTGTAGATTGCTTTGGGCAGTGTGGTCATTTCCACAATATTGATTCTCTCTATCCATGAGCATGGGCTGTGTTTTCACTTGTTTGTGTCATCTGCGATTTCTTTAAGCAGGGTTTTGTAGTTCTCTTTGTAGAGACCCTTCACCTGCTTGGTTAAGTATACTCCAAAGTATTTAATTTAATTAAATTAATTAATTTATTTATTTTTTGCAGCTATTGTAAAAGGGATTGAGTTCTTGATTTGATTCTTAGCTTGGTTGCTGTTGGTTACAGCAGTGCTACTGATTTGTGTACATTGATCTTTCCCAATTTGGATGCCTTTTGTTGCTTTCTGTTGACTGATTGCTCTGGCTAGGACTTCTAGTATTATATTGAATAGAAGTGGTGAAAGTGGGCATTCTTGTGTGACAATATTTTAAACACACTATTATATTTAGTTCGTTATATTTTATTTAACATTTTTGCTTCTATATTCATAAGTAACATGGATCTATAAATTTTTGCTTTTTTATTTGCATGGACTTTATATTTTGTTTGGAAACCAAGAATACACTAACTTTACAAAATATATGGGACCTTTTTTATTCAAGCCTGGAACCACTATTTCCTCAAAGTTTGGTAGGTCTGATTCAAAGTCAAATGTATAAGTTAATCATATCAAATTATGAGACTGTATAGGACAAAAGGTGTCTTTAAAATTTTACTAATGTCAGTGTTATTGATAATTTGTTTAGTTTGTTTCCAAACTTTCTAAAATGTTCCTCATAGACTCTAACAATTTGCTTTTTTACAGAACATTTAAAAATATAGACTTACTGGTCTCTTAAAAATAAAATTGTATAACATCTCTTCAAATATGCATTTTGTGGTTACTACATTTGAAACTGTCGACACCTTTGACTTTTCTCTATAAAACTTACTTTTAATTGAAAAAAATATTTCCTTAGGTGCTGAAATACATGCTTGCTCAAAGAAAATTCCACTAAATGGAGATTATTCTAATATTTTATGAAAACATTATCCCAAAGATTTTTATTATCTGGCATAACCTTTCTTATTTGACAAATCTTTACAAGACAAAAAAAATGGAATAAATCATCTCTATTTATGATTCTTTTGAATGCTTTGAAATGGCACCAAGTTATAATAATTCTCACTTTCGTTCTATTCTGGTATAGAATATACATTTATCCAAAATAAAAAAAGCTCTACAAACATATTTTTTTACATATCTAGATAATTCAAAACATGATTATAAATATTAAAAATTAAATCCAATCTATTGTTTGAACACTCATCATTTAATTTGTTCAGCTCTTTCCTTGCTTGCCACTTTGATCTGGATGCAGTAACTGGACAGGACTTTAGATGATTTCAACTTTGTTTTCAATGATTTTATTTGTTAAGATCTATAAACATAAGATCTTTAGCACTTGTTTAGCATTTGTTGAATATGTTGATTACAGATTTTCAGCTTATTTCAAATAGAATATACCCCATGTTTAGAGAACTTGTTTACAGACTGGTTGACACTATTGTAGAACACATAGGTTGATTTACACCATCATTCAAACATTTCCAAAATCTGAATAATAGTGGGCAACAAAGAGAAAAAACTGTGTAGTGAAAGTTTTTTATCCTTTTGTATTTAAAATTAGATTTATCATAAAAAATTTGTAGTTCAGCTACAATAGCAATAAATATATTAAATATATACATCTGTGTGTGTATATATACACATTCATTCATTCATATGTATACATTCATTCATTGAAATGTATATATATGTGTGTGTGAAATATATATATATATTTCACAACCATTGTTTCTCTTTTGGATAGTAAAATATAATAACTTGTTAGAACTGTATTTATTAATTACTTATGCTCCAAAACAAGGTCAAAAAATATTTCTGCTTCATAAACTTCATAATTTAAAAATAATCTTTTTTTAGCATTTCACTTCATCAAAATTTCTATTAACAATATTATTTCAAAAACAGTTTTCTCTTTAATGTCGAATATTTAAATAGGATTTAACAGTAAAATTCACAATGATCATAGATATTTAATTTTTGATTGAAGGAATTTCAAGAAATTTTACTTTGATTCCACAAACTGATTGAAAAATGAATTATATTTGAATCTAAATGTTTCTCTATTTGAAATATATAATGAGCTTGGTATAACATTTGCAAGAATGTTATTATTTGCAACATTCTCCTATTAATAGAGCCAACACATTGTAAAACTAGTACTTTACTTTTAATATGCACACAAAAAATCTTGTAGTTGAAAATGAGTGAAATAAGTTTCAAATGAATCAGTCATTTGATCCAAATGAACGGTTGCGTTTCACTGAGTGATGTGTAAATCCTTTTTTACCTTAGAATAATTTCTAATTTTTGAAGTTGATGCTGGTGCTTCACCAGACTTTTGCCTTTAGCTTTTCTGATGGTCTCTTGTAACACTGCAGCTCACATGGTAGTTGGCAAATGTTAACATATATTTTGTGCAATATACAGTCATTGTTGGGTTTATTGAGGTTTGGAAATTACTTAATTTTTCATTAAGTATTTACCTTTTTTAAAAAAAAATTTCTGTCAAAATGATTTATTGCAAAATAAAAAAGCAGTTCACAAATATATGATATTCACAAAAGAAGACAATTACAGAGAGGTACCACAGTGAAGAAGAGCAGATTAGTGATTGTCAGAGGTAAAAGATGAGGGAGGGTGGGTGTGAATATAAAGGGGTAGCTCAAGAAATTTTTGTGGTGACACAGCTCTGTATTCTGATTATGGAGGTGGTTACATGAAGTTACACATGTGATAGAATTATATAGAGCTGTACACACACATACACACATCTGAAGCTCAGGACAAAAAGGATAGATCATTACTGGTTTTCACTCACACTTAAAGTTGAACTTTCTCTATTGACTGAGTTACACACTCAGAGAGGATCAATGCTCATCTACTCATCCCTTCTTGGCTTATTTTGATGTACTTCCTAATAATGGCAGTACTTCACTAAAACATGAAAAACCTAAACCAATTTACCAAACAGGAGGCAGGGACACAGTCACTAACAGAGACTTTCTTGGACAAACTGGAACCTACAGTCCTCATATTTTTAGTCTTGCAGACATGAAGAACCTAAAGGAGAAAAATGCACATTTCTCAAAGATTCTGACTGGGAGCTCGATGTAGTAACTGGACAGGTCTTCGGATTGCTTCACTTAGGCAGAGGGTGAAAGTGTGTGTAGGGAAGAAGTGTGTGCCTGGATTTTGGGTAGCCATAGTCACAATCATGGCAGAGCTTGCTAGAGGATCACTAGTCAACATCTACATCTTTACCTTCAGAATTTATTGAGACTTCATTTATGGTTTAATGTATGGTCTATTTTTAGAATGTCCTACATGTGCTTTAAAGAATGTGTATTTTCTGTTTCTTTGGGGTAAAATTCTACATAATAGTAGCTGGAGAATATTAACTGTATTGTTAGAGACATTGATAACTCTGCTTATTTTTTTACTGCTTAATCATATCAGTTTTGGGGGATAGTTTGTTAAGTTATCCAGTTTGTTAAAATGAGAAAGTTCAAATAAAGTATAAAAGCAAAAACACTTTTAAAATAAAAGCAATAGAAAGCAGTATATTGATAAATTCAATAACAGATTTTATTAAAAATAAAAAATTGACATTTTAGACAGATTAAATTAAGGAAAGAATAGAAAAAACACAAAGTATAAATGAGAAACCACATATAAAATGAATACAGAGAAAATTAGAAATTACAAAGCAATCATACACATACATTTCCTAATATGCTTAGAAATATAGTAGTGAGGATAACATTCTAAGATAGTGTGTCAATAAATTTGACTGAACAAGTAGTGGAAATCACAAATAAGTCAATAATCAAGGAAGAAGTAAGAAATTTTATCCAAAAATTTCCACCAAAAATCTGACTATAAATGTAAAATACATTATAGATCATTTTTAAAAAATTTCGAAGTAATTTTTCATTCTAATACCACATAATCAATTTCAAAGCAAAGAAGAAGCTGGAAACTGTGGTCATATCATAAAACCAGGACAACTAGGAGAACAAAATATGAAAAAGCACAAAGAACCGTGTGTAAAACAATATAGTTTTCAAATATAAGTACAAAACCTTAATCAGTTCAGCCAGCTACTATTTAAGTTGCTTAATACAATAAACATCAACTGGATGGGTCCCCCATGGAAATGTAAAAATGGCTTAATATCCAGGAATCCTCTAAGATCGTGTAATATATCGATAGGTCAAATATAAATTTAAAAAATGATGCTGAAATATATGGTGAAAAAAATTATATGTAAATATACATTTAATATTTTATTTTTTAAAACTTAGTACATTAAGAATGGAAGGATTTTACTGATCATTGGAGAAATACAAATGAAAAACACAATGAGATACCATCTAATGCCAGTCAGAATGGCAATTTTTTAAAGTCAAGAAACAACAGATGGCTGGAGGCGATGGCTCACACCTGTAATCTCAACACTTTGGGAGGCTGAGGTGGGCGGATCACCTGAAGTCAGGAGTTCGAGACCAGCCTGACCAACATGGCAAAACTCCATATCTACTAAAAATACAAAAAATTAGCTGGGCGTGGTGGCAGGCACCCGTAATCCCAGCTACTTGGGAAGCTCAAGCAGGAGAATCGCTGGAACCCTGGAGGCAGAGGTTTTAGTGAGCCGAGATCGCACCACTGCACTTCAGCCTGGCAACAGAGCTAGACTCCGTCTCAGAAAACAAACAAACAACAACAACAACAACAAAAAACAAAACATGCTGGAAAGGTTGTGGAGAAATAGGAATGCTTTAACACTGTTGGTGGGAATGTAAATTAGTTCAACCGCTGTGGAAGACAGTGTGGCAATTCCTCAGATATTTAGCACCGGAAATACCATTTGACCCAGCAATCCTATTACTGGGTATATGCCCAAAGGAATATAAATCATTCTATTATAAATATACATGCACACGTATGTTCATTGCAGCACTATTTACAACAGCAAAGACGTGGAATCTACCCAAATGCCCATCAATGATAACTGGATAAAGAAAATGTGGTACATATACACCATGGAATACTATGCAGCCACAAAAAGGAACAAGATCATGTCCATTGCAGAGACATGGATGAATCTGGAAGTCCTTATCTTCAGCCAACTAATGCAGGAACAGAAAACCAAACACTGCGTGTTCTCACTTATAAGTGGGAGCTGAACAATGAGAACACATGGACACAGGGAGGGGAACAACACTTACTGGGGCCTGTCAGGGGAGTCTGGGGGTGAGGTGAGCATTAGAGAAAATGCTGGGCTTAATACCTAGGTGATGGGTTGATAGGTGCAACAAACCACCATGGCACAGGTTTACCTACATAAAAAACCTGCACATCCTGCACATGTACTCCAGAACTTAAAATAAAAAACAATAAAATAACTACAAAAAATCACTATAAACATAAAAAAAAGAATGGAAGGGTTTTTAACATGAAAAAGTATGTACATATAAAGTATAATGTGCTTTATATATATTTAATCATATAATTTAATTATGTATAATTATCATTACACATAATATGATGTAATATATATGCTATATAATATGTAAATATAATATTTATTTATGCATAATGCAAAGGATAATGTGCAGTTTTCTCCTTTAGGTTCTTCATATATAAACATGTATTTATATAACTATAAATATATAGATTTATAAATGCAGCAGTCAATATCATAGTGAAAAGTGATCAATTAGAAATGCCTAATTAACAAAGTAAAAAGACAAATGTACCCATTATTTGACATTATCCCAGAACTTGTGGCTAATGAAGCAAGAGAGCAATCAGAAATAAGGAATCCAAATATTAGGAAGTAGACAAAATTTGTATTATTTGTGGATGATATGGCATATGTATAGAAAATAGGCCCAGGACCAGATTCACAGCCGAATTCTACCAGAGGTACAAGGAGGAGCTGGTACCATTCTTTCTGAAACTATTCCAATCAATAGAAAAAGAGGGAATCCTCCCTAACTCATTTTGTGAGGCCAGCATCATCCTGATACCAAAGCCTGGCAGAGACACAACAAAAAAAGAGAATTTTAGACCAATATCCCTGATGAACATTGATGTGAAAATCCTCAGTAAAATACTGGCAAACCAAATCCAGCAGCACATCAAAAAGCTTATCCACCATAATCAAATGGGCTTCATCCCTGGGATGCAAGGCTGGTTCAACATATGCAAATCAATAAATGTAATCCATCATATAAACAGAGCCAAAAACAAAACCACATGATTATCTCAATAGATGCAGAAAAGGCCTTTGACAAAATTCAACAACTTTCATGCTAAAAACTCTCAATAAATTAGGTATTGATGGGACGTGTCTCAAAATAATAAGAGCTATTTATGACAAACCCACAGCCAATATCATACTGAATGGGCAAAAACTGGAAGCATTCCCTTTGAAAACTGGCACACGACAGGGATGCCCTCTCTCACCACTCCTATTCAACATAGTGTTGGAAGTTCTGGCCAGGGCAGCCAGGCAGGAGAAAGAAATAAAGGGTATTCAATTAGGAAAAGATTAAGTCAAATTGTCCCTGTTTGCAGATGACATGATTGTATATTTAGAAAACCCCATTGTCTCAGCCCAAAATCTCCTTAAGCTGATAAGCAACTTCAGCAAAGTCTCAGGATACAAAACCAATGTGCAAAAATCACAAGCATTCCTATACACCAATAACAGACAAACAGGGAGCCAGATCATGAGTGAACTCCCATTCACAATTGCTTCAAAGGGAATAAAATACCTAGGAATCCAACTTACAAGGGATGTGAAGGACCTCTTCAAGGAAACTACAAACTGCTCAACGAAATAAAAGAGGACACAAACAAATTGAAGAACATTCCATGCTCATGGATAGGAAGAATCAATATCTTGAAAGTGGCCATACTGCCCAAGGTAATTTATAGATTCAATGCCATCCCCATCAAGCTACCAATGACTTTCTTCACAGAATTGGAAAAAACTACTTTAAAGTTCATATGGAACCAAAAAAGAGCCTGCATAGCCAAGACAATCCTAAGCAAAAAGAACAAAGCTGGAGGCATCATGCTACCTGACTTCAAACTATACTACAAGGCTACAGTAACCAAAACGGCATGGTACTGGTACCAAAACAGAGACACAGACCAATGGAACAGAACAGAGCCTTCAGAAATAATACCACACATCTACAAACATCTGATCTTTGACAAACCTGAGAAAAACAAGCAATGGGGAAAGGATTCCCTATTTAATAAATGGTGCTGGGAAAACTGGCTAGCCATATGTAGAAAGCTGAAACTGGATCCCTTCCTTACACCTTATACAAAAATTAATTCAAGATGGATTAAAGACTTAAATGTTAGACCTAAAACCATAAAAACCCTGGAAGAAAACCTAGGCAATACCATTCAGGACATAAGCATGGGCAAGGACTTCATGTCTAAAACACCAAAAGCAATGGCAACAAAAGACAAAATTGACAAATGGGATCTAATTAAACTAAAGAGCTTCTGCACAGCAAAAGAAACTACCATCAGAGTGAACAGGCAACCTACAAAATGGGAGAAAATTTTTGCAATCTACCCATCTGACAAAGGACTAATATCCAGAAATCTACAAAGAACTTAAACAAATTTACAAGAAAAAAATCAAACAACCCCATCAAAAAATGGGTGAAGGATATGAACAGACACTTCTCAAAAGAAGATATTCATGCAGCCAAAAGACACATGAAAAAATGCTCATCATCACTGGCCATCAGAGAAATGCAAATCAAAACCACAATAAGATACCATCTCACACCAGTTAGAATGGCAATCATTAAAAAGTCAGGAAACAACAGGTGCTGGAGAGGATGTGGAGAAATAGGAACACTATTACACTGTTGGTGGGACTGTAAACTAGTTCAACCATTGTGGAAGACAGTGTGGCAATTCCTCAAGGATCTAGAACTAGAAATACCATTTGACCCAGCCATCCCATTACTGGGTATATACCCAAAGGATTATCAATCATGCTGCTATAAAGACACATGCACACGTATGTTTATTGTGGCAGTATTCACACTAGCAAAGACTTGGAACCAACCCAAATGTCCATCAATGATAGACTAGATTAAGAAAATGTGGCACATATACACCATGGAATACTATTCAGCCGTAAAAAAGGATGAGTTCCTGTCCTTTGTAGGGACATGGATGAAGCTGGAAACCATCATTCTCGGCAAACTATCGCAAGGACAGAAAACCAAACACTGCATGTTCTCACTCATAGGTGGGAATTGAACAGTGAGAACACTTGGACACGGGAAGGGGAACATCACACACTGAGGTCTGTCGTGGGGTGGGGGATGGGGAAGGGATAGCATTAGGAGATATACCTAATTAAATGATGAGTTAATGGGTGCAGCACACCATCATGGCACATGTATACATATGTAACAAACCTGCACATTGTGCACGTGTACCCTAGAACTTAAAGTATAATAATAATTACAAAAAAAGAAAATAGGATAACATTAGGTGCAAAAACTATTCAAACCAATAAGAGATTTTAGCAAATTGGACAGACATGAGGAACTTTCTTAAATATTAACAAATAAATAGCTGGAAAAATATTTTTAGAAGATCTGATTGACAGGGCCAACATAAGAAAAAATGAAAACTATTATAGTAAATATATGAAAACAAAACAAGAACACTTCAGACCTTTGCTACTGGACAGAAGAGAAATGCTTAAGTAAATGGACAAGCCAGATTAGGGCAGTGCCCCTCACCAGGCAGAGGGAGTACGATGGAAGACAGAAATCAGATATCTGTTCCCCAGAATCTGATTTGCTATAAGGAGAAGCTGGAAGTCTCAGCCTTGATCTTCTACCTCCTCCTATACTGGGAAACACAGTCTGGCCTGTGGAAGCTTGGGCCTTAGGGCTGGAACTCCAACCACTAAGAAGTTTCTCAACTATGCAGTCTTCCTGAGTTTATGCAGGAGGGAAGAGAAAGCCCAGTTTAGGACTCACGCTCTATGCCACATTCTCTAGTCTATCTGTTATTACTGCAGTGTTGCAATTGTTGCTTTGCCATTTAATAAAGTGAGCAGTTGTTTTTCATGTAGGGAAAATGTGGTACTCAATTCTTAGGTTCAAACATCTATGACTACCCTCCCAAACCCATAACTACATTTTTTTTTTTTGAGTTCACTTCTTCTTAAAAGACAAAATGAAGGTAACGATCTATAGAAAAATAGCCCAGGTCTGACGTCAAAAGGGGCAAAAAAAGTTTGTTGCCTATTTTGTAACTCTTGAGCAGATTTTTCCCTTTTTAAAACTCTGTTTTTTTTTAAATCTAGAATGTATTCAAGTATTAATTTTTTAACCAATGTTTATATTAACTTGCTATGTGCTAAGTACTATGTTAAGTGTGTGGATAAAATGAAGACTATATATGTGTATGTATATATGTATTTGTGTTGTCTTGTATGTATGCACACACATGTATATCCCAATTAAGAAAAGTACTTATATAAGGAAAAAAGACAGTAAAAGAACACATGACAATTCTGGGAGGTAGTATTACAGGTGATTTTAAGATTTTTTTTTCAAATGCTTATAAAGAGCATGGATTATTATTTATTATCTAGAAAAATATTTTGGGGAATTTTTTAAAGCTATAGAGATTTGAATTGCTGAATTGCAATCTCTATTGTTCGCTTCATGCATGAATTCCACATTAAATGGGAACTCGATTTGTAAAAACCACTGTCAGAACATGATTTAACACTACTGCCAGCTGGTGGTGGGTTACTATAATTGCAGGTTTAGTTATTTTATGCCATGACTAGCTTCTAGGTAAATTTGATTCCTGAATTCTTCTCTTCCGTGACATGTCATGGTCAGAGGCACATGTCATCCTATTAGATATCTTATTTATTTAATGGAGGAGAGCTGTGTTTGAGCTCTGATGAGCAGCCTGGTCTTCAAAATACCCAATCATCCACTCGTAATGGGGTTTCCCTAAAAAGATGCATTAAAAATGGTTTGGAGACAGGGAAACACATTATAAAATTAACAGACTAGCCCTGGCAAGAAATAACAAGCCCTGGCAAGAATAGAGCCTTGCCTAAATTAACCAATGATCTTTCTTTCCCTTGCCTCTGGATAGTTCTCCAAAGCAAGGTAATTTGTTTCTTTCCATCCTGGGTCCTTTATAGGCTAGGGTCTAAATATTGACCTCTCAGTTTTCTATACATATTACCATTTTTGCACCCAGCTGATCTCTGGATGATTAAATTTTTCCAAGAATATCTTCATTAAGCCTCTCTTATGTAAAAAATAAAATCTCTAGAGATGATTTTTGATTCTTAAGCCTCATAAAGCCAAAACCAAACAAAATCAATACCAACTCCTCTCAGACTACATATTGTAATTTTTCCACCCTGGATGAAATTGGTGTTCCTAACAAAATTTCCTTAAATAGTTTGATCATTCCTGCACCCTTCCTCTTTCCCATCACCCCCATCACCAAGTTCCAGTTCAGGGATGCCTAGTCCATGTTTTAGAATTCTAACTTACCTTTGAAAATTTCACCAGAAGGAAAGAATTTAATGTTTCCAATTAATCAATAACATAGACTGAAGATGAAGATGGGGGATCACTAAATAAACAAGTGAGGAAAAAGTAAACACAAACACTGAGTTTTCCCAAAGCTAGGTGCATGTTTTCTTATATGTTTACACACCAAATATTGGAATGCAGAGCATGATCTGTATGTGATTAATATGTATGTTTTGATCATGCAATGCCTTCCAATATCAGAAAGGTTAACACGTGAGAAATTAGTCTGTAGTATTTCCCCAACATGAATGTTTACAAATATTATTACATCTATGATAGTTTTACAATCAATGGCATCCTGGAATGAAGAAAATGGAGTATCCTTCCTTCATGATCAGCCCTGTCTTGATGATGAATGTGAACAATTGAATGTTTGGCAGAGCATTTTGAGCACTTCAGTAATGCAGAATGACCACTCTGCTTTGGATCGTTTGCAAAATTCAGCCACAAAGCAAAGCCATGTCTGGAGCCAATGGGAGGTCTATATTTACATTTTAGGACGAGACTTGCTTCCTTTAAGCCTTAAAATACTGCTGAAGATTGAGAGAAAAGAGGAACACTTCTAACTGGAAGGGGTTTGTTTTGCTTTTCTCATTTAAAAAGACAAATTTAGTTAAAATTTTAAAATAATCTAACAAGATAAAGATGAAGTTTCCTATAACTACAAACACAAATTAAAATAAAATTCTGGGTTTTTGCTAGAGATGAGATTGGGTGTGGACAAGATGGGATTTTTAAGGAGACTTTTGTGTGTAATCTATTATTACTTTTGTCTTTGAAATGAATACATTGAAGAAGTCATTAACAATTAGCTACTGCCAAAAAGAATTGTTGTATTGGCTCTTGTGCAGGCTGACATGCTTCTCATTCACTAAAGGGGGAGCGGGATGGAGAACGCCGAGCTCTCCACAGAAGTTGGAGGTGTTTGGAAAGTTCCTCCAGAACACCAGCTGCCTACATGACAGTCACATTCAGTAGGAGAACACGGGCACATGTGCTATGCTTCAGGATAGATATTCTCCTGGATTTGAACTGTAATGAGATTAATGCAGAAAAACAGCAAGACAGGAAATATATGTTGATTTTGATACTAACTGTGGCAGTTAAACCACAATTATCTTTGCACAATAGTGTTCAGTGCTTATGTAGTTAAATAAGTGGAATTTTTAAATACATGGATTTTCTTCCCATTTTAAAAAGGAGCATGTCAGGAAGTATTACAATCTATGACAGAAAGGACAAAATGAGGAAGGTGACGTTTAGCTGAAAATAGGAAACTGATTCTAAGAACTGCCAACTTGAAACCCAAATCCTGATTCCCTCCACTAGATAATGACGCAAGGAGTTCCTCTGTATTCACAGCAGCTCAGATAACTTAGCTGTTTTGTAAGAATCCCCAGGAGTTGGAAACCTTAGTTCCAAACAGAAAATATTTGGTACTTACCACCCACTTAAGCAAATAATGAGAATCGCTGCCCCTCCCTCAGTTTCCGAGTAACTCAGAGCTCCCTCTACCAAGGACACCGGGGACATGGAACCTAGCAGCCAAGTGCTCGCTTTGCTTAGATCTGAAGACCTAGTTCTGGGAATTTTTGCTTGTAAATATAGAAGACAGTATGGTACAGTGGAAAGAGCGCTGATTGTGGAATCACAGACTTTGCTAGGAGCTTTGTGTCTGCCATTTAT
The DNA here is from genome assembly GCF_000001405.40 of Homo sapiens. Classification (NCBI taxonomy): domain Eukaryota; kingdom Metazoa; phylum Chordata; class Mammalia; order Primates; family Hominidae; genus Homo; species Homo sapiens. Next base: position 50,227,645 of record NC_000007.14, on the reverse strand, counting down.
GTATTGTCCTTGGACCAGTAAGTCCCTTGCTTTCTGGAAGTGTGGCAAGGGGACCAGTATTAGCTGTATAGCTCCTAAGATTGTTATAAGAATCAAAATAAGACAATGATAGAAAAAGTGCTATGGGCATTATGACATTCCTGACATTATCATTATTATTAAGGAATTTGAGTTTAGAGTTTATTTAGAGTACTCTAATTTTTAAACTATGAATATCCTCTTTGTATAAAATCAGGCCATTTTCTGGTATTTTCCTAATTCTAATTTTCTGTCAAATCTTCCAATATAGGTGAATGAGAGAACAGATATATTTCAAGCTAACTGGAGTAAACCTATATGTTATCTAACATTACTCTCCTTACCATGTATGCAAATTAGCCATTAGGTTAAACCATATTAAATTGCTAATTATGGAGGTAAAAATAATTCAGTATTGGCTATTGTAAACTTTTCAACCTAATACTACCATTCTCATCATATAAATGAATCAGATGGGATGTACAGAGCTAAGAAGATAAGAGATAAGAAAATCAGCCCAAATTTGATTCTTTCTGAAGTGAAACAGAGGACGGCAGAACAGAAATTTGATCTCAGGGCCCCTCTGCATCTAAAGCCTCTGCACCATATTGACAGCAATTAAAAGTCAGCTTAGTAAATTTTCTCTGTTGCCTGGGATGTAATTTTACTGGGCTTGAGATGAATCAGCACAGCCTGAAACTCTTACCTCCCCACTCATCCTGGGCTTCATTTTGCTTTTATCAGGGATTCCCCACACTTTCCATCACCAGCACTGGGCCACTCCAGTCTGCACCTTTCTGGCTCGGAACACAGCCTGAGGAGCCATCTTCGCTGTATTAGTTCCACAAGTGTCATTCTAATCATCAAGCATCTGCTCATATTTTTGACCTTGATTATATGTCCTTTTCATCTTAAGCACTTTCTTTGAGAATTCAAACCCAAGCTACGTGTTTGAGCATTATCCAAACCTCTGAGCACACTTTCTTTTGAGAGCCTTGGACCTTGGAATGCTACCTCTTTTTTGTTTGTTTTTTTGATTGCTTTGACACTGATGAGACTGTGCCTAGAAATCTGAGTTTTAGAGAGATACTCTTTGTTTGTAAAGGAGTGCATCAGCTTACGTTTTTTGAGAGATTACTATTTGCAGGCACTATGCTAAATGCTTTACACGTGCTCTGTATTTTAATTCTCATAGTAACACTCTGAGATATGTATTGTCATGAACTCACTTGACAGATAAAGAAAATGAATGAAGCACGTGGAAGTGAAGGGTCTTGCTCAAGAGTGTGTGGTTAGGAGGCACTGGTGCTGGGATTCTCATCCAGGCTGTTGGACTTCAGATCCTGAGCTCTGTCACAATATTCTATTGTCTCCTTGGTGTTGGATCCTGAATTATTTCTTCACTTATCTAAATATTTAATGCCAAATATTTATATGTAAATGGGCACACTTGTGATTCAATATCCAGCTTAAACATGATTTTAAATCCAAGTAGCCATAAATATATTCATATTTTGTATCAAGTAAACAAATCTTTTGACAAATAACATCTTTTTACTTTTAAGGAGATGTTTGGGTCCCTGTGGAAGTAGTCCCTAGCTAACGTGAGATGCCTTGATGCATGAGCCAAAGTGACAAGCATCTAAGCCCCTTATTCTAGCGATTTCTGCTGTTTTGTATGGGATTACGGAAAGACATGAGAGGCCATTTCATGCCCTGGAGCATTACTGCTGAGCCCCAGGATGTCACAGGACCCTGACAATAGGTGGTGTAGGATCATGCTCATGCTTAAGTGTTGAGGAAATTCTCTGCTTGTTAATTTATCAAAACAACATTTAGGAAAATCTTGCCTTTTAGCTTCGGGGAAACCCTGACCTTTTTTCTAGATTTTGTTTTGCTTTGTTTTGTGGTGCTTAAACTAATGAAGAATGATGAATGTGCATTACTTGTTTTTCTAAATTATTAACAGTTCCTTGAAGTACAGACAAAATCATGCAGGGAATGTATTTATGGCAGATAGCATGATATAGTGGAATGAATGAGACAGGCAGAAATTGAGGGACTGGCTTACATGTTGGCCCAACTACCTACCAGCTACATAAGAGTGGGAAAGCAAATTAAGCTTTCTGAATCTCAGTTTGTTTTTTCCTTCATTCGTTCATCTTTTAAGTTTCTACTAAGTGTCAGGTGCAGACTTAGGTCCTGAATAAGACACTGTAATGGTGTCTTTTTTCTTCTGTAAAACAGCAATAACACTACTTTGAGTTCAAAAATGTTTGTTATAAAATGCAATTTTCAGGCATGTGTGAGCATCTTCATATTAAGAAGATTAAAGTATGATTCACTTTATGCTTTTAAAAAATTTTACAATTTTAAAAATCATACTTAAAAATTATGGTAACATACACATAACATAAAAGGCAGTGGCTCACGCCTATAATCCTAGCACTTTGGGAGGCTGAGGTGGGTGGATCACCTGAGGTCAGAAGTTCGAGACCAGCCTGGCCAACATGGCAAAACCCTGTCTCTACTAAAAATACAAAAATTAGCCGGGCGTGGAGGTGGGCACCTGTAATTCCAGCTACTAGGGAGGCTGAGGCAGGAGAATCACTTGAACCCAGAAGGCAGAGCGAGCCGAGATCATGCCATTGCACTCCAGCCCGGGCTACAGAGCGAGACTCCATCTCAAAAACAAACAAACAAACAAACAAACAAACAAACAAAAGTACCATTTAAATCATTTTTTAAAAGTCAGTGACATTATTTTATTCAAAATATTTTGCAACCATTGCCATCATCTAGTTTCAGAATTTGTATGATCCCAAGTGAAAATCTGTATCCCATTAATCTCATCCCCAACTCCTAGCAGCCACAAATCTGCTTTTCGTCTCTATGAATTTGTCTATTCTGGATATTTAATATAAATGGAATAATAAAATATGTGACCTTTTGTGTCTTGGTTCATTCACTTAGCATAATGGTTTTGTAGCATGTTGTAATCATGCATCATTTATTTTATAGTTGAATAATATTCCATTGACTGAATACACCGCATTTTATCTATTTACCTGTTGATAGACATTTGGGTTGTTGCCACTATGAACATTTGTGTATATGTTTTTGCTTACACATCTATTTTGAATTCTTATGGGTATACACTTAGGAGTGGAATTGCTAGGTCATATGGTAATTCTATGTTTAAATTGTTGATGAACAGTCAATTATTTTCCACAGCAGCTATACCATTTGACATTCCTGCCAACAGCATGTAAGGGTTCCATTTTCTCCATATCCTCACCCACGCATGTTATTTTCCATTTTTAAAATTTTGATTATTCTAGTGGGTATGAAGTGATATCTCGTTGTTTTGATTTGAATTTACTTAATGACTAATCATGTTGAGCATCTTTTCATGTGCTCGTTGGCCATTTGTATATTGTCTTTGGAAGAATGTCCATTCAAGTCCTTTGCACATTTAAAAATTGGTTTGCTTTTCTTTATTGAGTTTTAAAAGCTTTTTATATATTCTGGGTGTTAGACCCATGTCAGGTGTATGATTTGGAAATATCTTCTTCCATTCTCTGAGTTGTTTTCTCACTCTCTTGATTATGTCTTTTGATGGACAAAGTTTTTTATTTTGACTAACTCCAATGTATCGATTTATTTATGTCACCTGTGCTTTTGGTGTCATGTCTAAGAAACCTTTGCCAAATCCAAGGCCCTGAAGAGCCACTCACATGTTTTCTTCTAAGAGTTTTATTGTTTTAATTCTTACATTTAGGTTGTTGATCCATTTTGAGTTAATATTTGTATATTTTATGAGGTAAGTGTCCAATTTTATTCTTTTATGTATGAATATCCAGTTGTCCCAGCACCATTTATTGAAGAGACTCTTCTTTACCAAATGAATAATGTTGGCACTGCATTGTACAACCAATTGACTATGAATGGTTTTATTTCTGGGATCTCAGTTCTAGTTCATTGATTTATTTGACTATCCTTATGCCAGTATCGCATGCCGGTATCACAGCTTTGAAAATGAAAATTTGGGCTGGGCACGGTGGCTCAGGCCTGTAATCCCAGCACTTGGGGAGGCTGAGGTGGGTGGATTACCTGAGGTCAAGAGTTCGAGACCAGCCTGGCCATCATAGTGAAACCCCATCTCTACTAAAAAATACAAAAAATTAGCTGGGTGTGGTGGCAGGCACCTGTAATCCCAGCTACTTGGGAAGCTGAGGCAGGAGAATAGCTTGAACCTGGGAGGCAGAGGTTGCAGTGAGCTGAGATTGCACCATTGCACTCCAGCCTGGGCAACAAGAGTGAAACTCTGTCTAAAAAAAAAAAAAGAAAAAAAAGAACAACAACAAAAAAAGAAAATGAAAAGTGTGAGCATTTCAACTCTGTTCTTTCTCTTCAGGTTGGTTGGCTATTCAAGGTCCCTTGTAATTTCATGTGGGTTTCAGGATTGACTGTTCATTTTCTACAAAAAAGATTGATGAAATTTTGATAGGGATTGAGTCTATAGATCATCTTGGGGAGTATTTTCATTTTAATGGTATTAAATCTCTCAATCCATGAACATAGTATGTCTTCCTATTTATTGATGTCTCTTTTTTTAAATTAAGGTTTTGTGATTTTTCAGCATGGAAATATTGGTTCTTCTTTGTTAACTTTATTTCTATGTATTTTATTCTTTTGAATGGTATTGTAAATGAAATTTTTAAAACAACGTTCAAATTGTTTATTGCTCATGTATAGATTTGCAACTGATTTTTGCATATTGGTGTCATATCCTACAACCTTGCTGAACACATTTATTAATTCTATTTTTTTAGTGTGCTCTGTAGCATATTCTATATATAAGATCATGTCATCTGGAAATAAATATAGTTCTACTTCTTCTTTTCCAGTCGAAAAGCCTTTTATTTCCTTTGCCTGACTAATTTCTCTGGCTGGAACTTCCAGTACAATGTGGAATAGAAGCAGTGAGAATGAATATCTTTGTCTTATTCCTGATCTTAGGGGAAAACAATAAGTCATTTTCTATTAAATTAGCTGTGGATGTTTCATAGATGTCTTTTATTAGGCTCAGGAAATTTCCATTTTTTTCATAGCTTTTTGAGTGTTTTTATCATGAAGGGGGTTAGATTTTTGTCAAATGTCTTTTCTGCATTAATTTAGAGGATCATATGGTTTTATCATTTATTCTGTTGATATGTTATTTTACATTAATTAATTTTCAGATATTAAACCAACCTTGAATTCCTGGAATAAGTTCCACTTGGTATGCATACACATGGTATACAGTTTGTGTTATATGTTACTGGATTTGGCTTGCTAGTATTTTGTTGAAGGTTTTTATATCTATATTAATATGATATATTGATTTGTTTTCTTGTGATATCTTTGGTATCAATAGGAAGTTAAGAATTTATAAGCGGCAAGGAGTAGGGGCAGATTGGAAGTATTCCAAGTCTCCTAACTAACTAGGGAAAATGTTTCAAGTCACACAACAGTGCAAAAAGAGCAAGAAAGAGTATACTATGTTTTCTGTTTATCTTTGACACTTACATTTAGGGCTTCCTTAATCTATTTTATCCCATTTGTGAGCTTACTTATTGAATTGGCTAAAGAGACAGGAACAAAGCTTTATAGCCATGAGAGAACTGCTGTAATCTTGGTATCATGGATGGAATGTGCCTTTGAATAGACTTGATTTCTCTTACCTCTTTGTTTCTCTATATTTAAGGGATGAGCTATGAAAAGCCTATTAAAAATAACATGAGCCAGTCTCATTATGCTTGGCTGAACTTAGATTCCAGTAAATGTTTGTGGATTCCTTTTCTAATCACTACATTAACTGGAATTAATAACTGAGAAACAAAATACTACTACTCCCAATTTTTTTTAAGTTGTGAGTGTATGGCATTATTCATTTCATCTCCTCCCAGCAACTTGTGTTTATGCACACACACACACACACACACTCCCCTGCCCCATGCAGGTATGAATATGTGTGTATATGCATCTCTGTGCTTATATGATTAAACATGACTCTACTTTTGAACATTCAGTGAAAATTAAGAAATAATTCATACAGATGATATAGGATGGCTTAAGCCTAAAGCTATCATTCTGGGTTAAAAGTAAAATAGTACATGCAAATGAATTTCCTATCATAAGTTTCTTATTTCCAATTTTCACAGCAGCTCTGACATAGGTTTGAGGGCTGACATTTCATCCTTGGCTGTGCAAAGTTCCCAGATCATGACGGTTTGTTGCTGGGAGTCCAGAGCAGAACTGGAGGAAAGGTGCTTCCACTGCTTCTTCCCAGAGAGGGAGGGGCTGGGAGCTCCTTGCCACAGGCTGACCTCTGTCCCCTCCCTTGTTGAGCTGGTGGTTGCCCAGTCCCTGCAAGTGTTACCTCATTTCCTCTATTTGGAGGTCCTCCTCTACCTCTTCCCTAATTCATCTCCATGACGTGTCTCAAACTTTTTTGCATGAAGTTGTCACTAATTCACTTCACTCACTCGGATCACTCCTTTGGGCTCCTCTATCTTGAGATAGGTCAGATGCCATTTACAGAAGAAACTCCATCTCCAGCCACGTAATGAAGTAAAGAGATAGTCATAGGTGGTGCTTAGTCTCCCCACTGGGGTAAGAAAATGGAGGCTGGAGGAACCCACAGGGCAAGGATGCTGTCAGGGCAGGGGAGGCTGGGCACAAGTGTCCAAGAGCACAACAATCTCAATCTTGTTCAGGGAAAGTTGTCAGCTGTGGGAGTGGAAGTGGGGTAGGCAGGTGGTGATGGGATCCCAGTGGTAGATGGAGTGTAGACCCTGAGCATATTGGCTAAATGATGCCAAGCAGTATGGAACCACTTAAAAAAATGGTTCTTGGAGCCTTGCCACCTGGTAGGGTGTTCAGAAGCTGGACTTCAATATTGAAAGCAAGGCATTTGGAGGACTAAATGGAGACAGAAAAGGGCACTTAAAGTCCTTTCCATAGACTAGGGCATGCACAGGACAGGGAGAGTTGGTAATTGAGGCACAGAACAGGAGCTCCCTGGTTAGCCACGTAATAAGAGTGATGATATTAGGTTCTGCCTGTTGAATAGAGAGAAGGGGATGGTTGCAAAAGTTTAAGTAATTGCAACCTCAGTCAAAACAGATTCAGGAACTAACTGTGGGAGAGGCAGTGAGCATGTGGGTATGGGTGATCCCTTAACTGAATTGTAAGAAAGTAGTGGGAGAGATCCAGGGTGAGGAGGTTACAGTGCCATGCCAGGAAAGGAGACCTGCTGATTGGGCCACTCGGTAGTTAGGTGAGTAAGCCAGGTCAAGGGCTTACAATTTTTCAGAATAGAGAGGATCAATTTTGTAAGGGCATCTTGAAGTGATCACATTCTCAGAAACAAGCCCATGGTAGTCAAACTCACATGATGCCAAATTATAATCCAAAAATAATCCTTTTGTGAATTTACCATAAGAATCATTTCTTTCTATTGATATTGACATATGTGACCCAGGGTACCACTTCCAAATCAGTAACTATTAGGATATGATTGGAGCACAGGATGGTGAAAACTCCCAGAACACTTCTAGGTACTATTCAGGTCTCTTTAATGCCAGTGTGGGCCCAGTCCCAAATTTGACAAGCATCACTCATGGCTTTCTTCTCCTCCCTTTTCTAATTCAGATTCTTTCTACCACCACCCTCTCCTCAGGTCTGTCTCTATCATTGATGGCACTACTCTTTCTTCATTTGATTTATGTGTGGTCTTATTCTCTCTTGCTTTGATTTAGGAGATACTGCTTTTCTAAAGACCACCACAGAATGCCACTTTCTGCATTGCTTGAAAATTCTGGTAACTGAACTTAGAAGCTCATCTTAGGTGTAAGAACAAACTCTTTTAACTTCTCTCTGTGGGCCAAACAGGCAAAATGAGACAGCCTGTGTCCTTCCAACATTTTAGATCCTTAGTCATTCTGATGAATGAGTGGATGGAGAGATGGACGAAGAGCTCACAAACTCAGAAACAACCAGAGGTGTAACATCTACTAGTCTTTTTGTCTTTCATGAAATCTCACCTTCTCATTATTTTCCTTATCTGTTTGATTATCACAATTGAGCACTTATTCCTAAGCACTATTGCTTATTATGCCTCTTAGGGTTTCTACTCCAGAGACACACAGCCTCTTCCTGACCTGGGAATGTACCACCACTTGGTGCTGAATTGTGACCCCAAAGTGCTCAAGGACCCTCCCCAGGAAGGCAGAACACATGCTTAAACCTGGGACTCTTGAGAAAATGCACATTCTGATTCTGTACATCTGAAGTGGGGCACGAGGATCTGATTTCTACCAAGTTTCCAGGTGGCACAGGTGCCACTTGTTCCTGGACCTTGAGTAACAAGGCCCAAGTGGTAAAATCAAGGGCTTGGAGCTTAACTCTCCTGAGTTGGAATCCCATTTTCCTCCATTATCAGCTTCATGACCTTAGACAAATTCTTCAACTTCTCTGAGCCTCAGTTTTGTTTCTGAGCATGGGGTTGCCACTTGGTTGCCAGGTTCTTGTGAGGATGGAGGTCACGTATGTTCAGTGCCTCTGCCAGTGTGTGCCACCTACAGCCCTCACAAGGCCCTTCCCTTCAAGCCCCATCTGAGTCCCTCCTCCACCCAACGTCTGGCTTCTCTATCTGGAGGATCCTGGAAGGACAAGATACAGCTGTTCCCAGGGCCTTTTCTAAGGCATGCAGTCTGCTCTGGGGCCAAGTAGCCCTGTGGTGTGGTTGCAGCCCCTGTTTCCACCAGGAGTCACCCTTCCTCTGGACTGCAGCTCCCAACCCCTGGGATCTTCCTGAGCTTTGGAGTTATGGGCATATCTGGCTTAGACTCTCATCTTCTACTGGCACTGTGGAAAGGTGCTCATTTTTTTTTTTTTTGAGACGAAGTTTCGCTCTTGTTGCCCAGGCTGGAGTGCAATGGCACGATCTCAGCTCACCTCAACCTCTACCTCCTGGGTTCAAGCGATTATCCTGTCTCAACCTCCTGAATAGCTGGAATTACAGGCATGCACCACCACGCCCTGCTAATTTGGTATTTTTAGTAGAGATGGGGTTTCTCCATGTTGGTCAGGCTGCTCTCGAACTCCTGACCTCAGGTGATCCACCTGCCTCGGCCTCTCAAAGTGCTGGGATTACAGGCGCTAGCCACTGCACCTGGCAGGTGCTCACCTTTATGTCATCAGCCAGGGAGAGCAGGTAAGTCAGTACCTTTCCCCCACCTCAGCACGGCTGCTAGCTGGAGAGGATGAAGAAGCCTTACTTCTAAATAAAATGAGGTTTATATTTGTTTGGGGAGCACGTTTCTCTCTTGTGGTGATCTGTCCCTCAGAAATTGGTTACTGGCCTGCATTTTCCCAAAGGCCTGGTAGCCTGATTTCAACCTGAGAAGTGGTTCCTCTTTGGCATTTAAAGACCACTTCAGTTTCCGTTGCCATGTGAGATGTGCAATCCCAGATTGCTGAGCAGGGCTTTGGCCACAGGCTTCCTGCCTGCAAAGGAGAGCCTGGCTTTTTACTTGAAAGACAGCAGGAGGCTCTTGTGTAGAGAGCAAGGGGAAATCATTAAGTTGTCCATGATTACCAAAGGATATGTAAGAAATATGTTCTCTAAAGTGGAAATTGCTACCCTTGGGTAACAGGAAAAGGCTGACCATTACATTATAAGTAGGAAATGGGAGATAATGAAATCGATGCCAAGCACACAGTGCAACCTCGATAAGGGAGTTTGCATCACAGCCCTCCCAATTCATTTTCACAGATGGTTCTTCTCTCGGGCATTTAAACTTTGTCTCTAATATTAATCAGTGAAATGAAAAAAGAGATTTGCCCAGTTGTGGTTATTGTTATTGGAGACTAATACCAATAAACTGGTAGTAAAATATCCCCACAATATCCTCTAACATTGGAAACAACCTCAAGGGATGAAAGCTGACTTGTGAATTCCCCCGCCCTCTGAAATGCTGCTGGTTCTAAGGTCTTGTGGAAATCAGAGAGAAGTCATTTCATTTAAGTCTTAATGGACTTGAGCTTTAAACAGTCGGTGTACACAGCCTCAGCATGTCAGGAGAGGCCATAGGTAAAGTCTGTAAAAGAGATTTGGCACACCGAATGATTCACCCAGTATATTAGGTAGACAGTTGTAATGCAGGCTCCTTCCATATATGACTCTATTCACAGAAGGTCTTGATCCTCAGTGATCGTTATTATAGAATTATAATGCCAGCAAGTACCCAGAGACCACCTCCTCATATCACAGGTCCAGGCTGCTCCTTGGCCTAGCAAGACACAGTCCACAAGTTAGGAGCCAAGCTGGGACAAAGACTCCCAACCCCCGTCCCAGAAGGAGTGCCATACAGACCCCCACAGCCCAGCCCTACCCGACCCACCCTCTGCTCTCATGACAGTTGTAATGTGAGGCCACCAAGGTGCCCAGTTCCCCTAGGGGTTGGGGAGGCCTTCACAGTCGGGTCTGTGGGACTGATGACTTCTGGAATCTTGCACCCATGGCCCACCATGCTGCCTGTGCTTGGAAATGGCTGTACTCTAACCTAATATACACACAAGAAAATCAAAGGTATCCTCAAAGCATGATAAAAGAAATGGATGGTGCGAAGCCCCCAGTCAGCAACAAAACCCAAGGGCATGGAGCTCCGGCCCGGACTCCTCAGGACAGGCAGCCATGGAGACCACAGTGCTGGGTTGGGCTGAGGTATCACCAGATCCAGCCCTCATGTCAGAAAAGGGAACGTTTGGGCCCCAGAGGAAATGGCTCGTCCAGCATCACTGGGGACATCAACTGGCTGAGCCAGGCTAAGGACCCAGGGTTTCTGGGTGCTTGGCTGCCACACTCTCCCTATGGCACCTTGAGGGGTACAGAGCACCCTGCTCTGGATCAGGGTAGGGCAACCTCCTGAGCTGCCCAGATGCACTAGTTAAGGCACTCTGGGGCCAATCAGAGTCACCTCCAGGGATCTTATGTAAAACAGCAATGTTTATTATGGGAAGGCACAGGTCTCTCTCTGAACCCACAGGAAGCTTTCAGCTTTTTTGCACTACCTCTGTCTCACACACACACATTTCTGTTGGTGTCTGACTCTTCCTCTACAGACCAGTGTTCTTTGTTCCTCACTGCTTATAGTAGAATATTCCATAAATCCACCCACCCAGGACTCTTTCCATCTCAACTCCACAGGGATGCCGAGTTTGAAGGTGCTGGTCTCTGATGCTCACCTGCGATTGCAGGTGGGGGCTGGCAGGCACACCTGGTCGAAAATTGGACAATGAGAGGCTGTTCCTGAGACTCCAGGAACCTGCACAGAGTTGTAAATGGGCTTTGCAGACATGTCAATAGGTGTCACTACATCTAGGGATCTGTGTCCTTCCCCTACACCCAAGGCAGCCTCACCCAATCCAAGTACTTACCAACCCTATGTTTCTGTCCTCTCCACTCCAATGACAGGCACAGGGTCCTAGAGGAGGGAATGGGGGACTTAGCCGCATGCTCACGCAGCCCTGCCTTTGCAGGCTCCGTCCTCACTCCAGGGTCAAGTGCACCCCTCAGGCGAGATTCGAGGAAGAAGCCTTCCCTGCATTAATGGCCATGATGCTCCCTCTGTCCAGTGTGAGTCTCCAGTGGGCCAGTGTTGGGGATGTGCGTATCAGGGAGGTGAAAGGTCTTCTTTTACAACCTGCATTCTTGCTTCAAAATAACCCAAGCTCCCCCTGGAACATGAGTGTTGAAGTTCATGGTCCCTGATAGCAGCCATGGGGAATAACAAGGCATGTGAATGGGGAGTCTGGGAGGCAGCCCATCTCTTCTGTGTATTGAAAGCCAATTTCCCAACTCTCCTTTCTGGCCCACTGTGCAGTGCTGCCTTTTCACGGGAATTTCTGAACTGTCCCCAACTGGTCTCCTGGCCTCCCAATTCCGTATTCTCTAATCCAGGCTCTGCCATTGGCTCTACTGAACTTTACAAAGGTAACTTTTTCCTTTCCTGTTTTAACCCTGCCAAGGTTCCCCGGGGCCAACAGGCTCAAGTCTAAGTTTGAAGCAGAGCTCTAAAGCCCTGTGCGACCTGGTGCCTTTCCTCTCCAGCCCTCTGCAGACATGCTCCAATCCTGGGACTGCAGGGAGCATGCCAGCCAGTGCAGAGCAAGCTTGGGGGTGTGGTGAGCCCACCTCCAGTGACAGGCGTCCTCTCTGAGGGCTCCCTGGGCCTTTCCCTCAGCAGCTCCAGCATGGGGACCTAGGCGGGGATGTTATGGGTCCTTGATCCTGTTTGATGCCATGACTCTGAGTGGTGAGAGGACATAGATCTATTGCAGTTCTAATTCTGATGGGGTGAATTACCTAGTTTTGGTCACACAGAACTTGGCTGAAGTTTTAGAGATTAAATGGTGCGTCTCTGCATCTCTTTATTACAACTGTTGTTACTTAGGCCCCAGGAAGTGCCAGGGTCCAAAACTGTAAGCAACAGTGTCTGAGGACTGCAAGGTCTGCAGGGACCAAGGAGCTCATAGAACCGGCACTGATTGAATTCTTGTCAATGCCCGACTCTGTGCTAGGTCATTTATAGATTATCTCAGAGGGACAGATGGAAAAACTGGCAAAGATAAGGCGAGTTTAATGACTGCTAATATTCAGAAAAGGACAGGCCTCAAGGGAAAAAGATATCGGGGAGAGAGACCAGCTCAGAAGAGCGCAGCAGAACTCAGGCACACGCCGCACTTGTCTCCACCTCAATCTTTGCTGAAAGATGAATCTCTCCTGGAAAGCATCATGCCACAGTCAATGGGATTCACGTGTCCAGGGCTTGCTGTGAGCAGAGTCCCTGTGCTCTCTGGAAAGCACCACCACACTGCTCTGGGGGCACTCGTGTCCCCAGCTTCTCACCAAGGAGGTGGATGAATGAGGTCTGGATAAATCCCTGGTGCCTCCAGGTCTGGTATGGGAGCAGTTCTGTCAGAGTTCTCAGCCACATCACCCCATCTCTGAGGCTCCCCTTTGTGCTAAGAAGGGTATGGGGACTCCACAGAGTGTAGCAGCAGCTGCTCCTACCCAGGCACCTGGGGGCAGCTGGTTGACCAGAGAGAGCTTCCTTCCAGAGAGAGGCAGTGCCTGAGGCTCCCTGAAAAAACAGTCAAGTGCCTCAGCCCCTTAAGAAAATGCTCCTTCCAGAAACAAGAACTTTCTCTTTTCAACTCAATTTCAGTAGCTGAGCACCTACCAGTCTGTGCTTCATGTCCAACTTCCTCATCTTCCTTGTCCAGCCCGATGCAATCTCCCTTCCCAGGGGCTTATCAGGCCTCACTGGATTTGACAATGAATACTTGGCCTGGCCTCAGTTTCCTGCAGAGGCCAGGAGACCAACAGCTTCTTCCCTTCATGCTGATGAGTTAATTAAAGTAGCTTGTCTTTATTTAGTGGCAGCGATGGGCCAGGCAATGTGATAATTTCATCATTTTATGTACTAAACCTGGTGCTACCCTCTGCTTTACAGATGGGAAAACTGAGGCACATAGGAGGAGGTGATCTGCTGAGATTTTGCCCAAGACGGCTGGGATCCCAGGTTGTGCTTCAAACCTACACTCTTTCAGGTCCTTTCTGGGAAACGGAAGTCAGCTTTTGTGAGGAGATCCATGGATGGGTTGTAGGAGGAGGGAAGAGAGCACGGTAGAGGACACAAGGTGCAGCATGTCCCTGAGTGGCCAGGAGAGGAGCTCAGCCCCTCCCACTGCCCTGGGGTCAGCACCAAGGCCTGGTTTGTGTGAGGGACACAGTGTAGACAAAGAGGACAGGGAAGGTGCAATTGCCGTGGTGTGTGGTGGTGGGTTGTGCTAAATTTGTTGAGACTGAAATGAAGAGGAGTGGGGAGTGAGGAGGCACAAAAATGTGCACATGTGGAAAGACCCAGAATAGCAGAAGGGCCTGTACTCTCCAGCCAGAGAGGTGAAAACCCGTCCCACTGCCTGGAGCAGACCTTGTTGGGAGGAAACGGAGCCAGCTGGTGAAGACCAGGCGCTCTCCAACCCTGGGCAGTTCCTCTCGTGTAGAAGCCAAGGTACGGATGTGGTTTCCAACTCTCTGGAGGCCCCAAAAGATATGTATCCTGGCCTCATGCACGCTTGATTGAGAGATAAGTGCTGGCCTGGAACCAAGGGGAGCAGGGTGCCCAGCACACGTCCCCACTGCTCCCCACTGCCCAGGCTGATGCCCGAGGTCCCCCTGCCATGTACACCCTGCTCCTGCCCTGCCCTTCCCCCAACCCACATCACACTGCTGCCTCAACCTGGCTGGAGCCTCTGCCCAGGCCAAGTACTGTGGCTTATGTCTGTCCCATGACCACGGACAGGGTCCCTCTCGCTCTCCTTCCTACCTATGCCACATATGTTCTCTGTGGATAGAGAAAACACACAGTGTGAGAGCAGAAGTATTGGAAGGATGTGTGCCCCACGTGCCCACCTGCCCGCCTGCCCCATCTCCTGGCCCATCCCCTGTCCTGGCCTGCCTCCCACTCTTTCTGTAGCAGCTGCCCCATCCCCTGCCCTGGCCTGCCTCCCACTCTTTCTCCAGCATCTTCCTGTTGCTTGCTCTTAGTTCTTGTTCCTGTGCCTTGGGTCAGGCCATCCGCTCCCCTCTGCAGTATGCAGGGCTCCCATCTGCCCTACCCACCCTCCCGGCTGGGCTCTGCCTTAAGCCTCAGCTCCAGCCTTGTCTCATGGGCTGCTCAGGGCCAGCCCCACTCTGTCCCCTGCTGGGTACTCTGTCATATACTTCCTCATTTTATTGGCACCATCTCTTTATGCATCTGTTGCTCTTCACTGAATATATGGTAACCTCACAGACCGGGGCCATTTCTCTTTCATCTTTTCATCTCAGCACATCTCACAAGAGCCCTGTACAATAGAAATAGTGGCCCTCACAGGGCTGACCATGTGCTCAGGGTTGGCAGTCCTCTTCCCAACAGGTTCTGGGAAGTGAGTGTCAGCTCCTGAGTGCACCCCTCGGTGGTCTTCGGATTGTCTGCCAACATCCCCTGGTGTACTGTAAGCAGGACTAAGATGAAAGTGCTCTGCCACCTCTAACATGAGCTTCAGCCTACAGGGTATTGTTATCCACACAGGACCTGTGGCAGGATGGCACACGGGCAGGCCTGGGTAGGAGGAGAGAAGAAAAAGGGAAAGAAAAGGGGACTGGGAGGGTATAGGGCAGGCAGGTTCTGCAGGGGCCATAGGATTCTACCTTGGTGACAGCAAGTTGCCTCACTGGCCCGGGTCTCAGCTTCCCTAAGCCTGGGAAGTGACCCTTCCCCCACTGGGGGTGCTAGAAGCATTCGCAGTCAGCAGAGCCCAGAGCACACGTGCTGACACCTGTCTCCCAATGCCAGCGTGGGGACACCTGCTTCCCGATACCAGCGTGGGGACACCTGCTTCCCGATACCAGCGTGTGGACACCTCCTCCTGATGCCAACATATGGACACCTCCTCCCGATGCCAGTGTGAGGGTGCCTCTTCCCAATGCCAGCATGCTGACACCTGCCTCCCGATACCAGCGTGTGGACACCTGCCTCCCGATGCCAGCGTGTGAGCACCTCCTCCCTATTCAAGCATGTAGGTACCTCCTCCCGATGCCAGTGTGAGGGTACCTCCTCCTGATGCCAGAGTGCTGACACCTGCCTCCCAATACCAGCGTATGGACACCTCCTCCTGATGCCAATGTGTGGACACCTCCCGATGCCAGTGTGTGGATACCTGCCTCCCGATGCCAGCGTGTGGATGCCTCCTCCTGATGCCACTGTGTGGACACCTCCTCCTGATGCCAGTGTGTGGGCACCTCCTCCCAAGGCCAGCATGCAGACACCTCCTCCTGACGCCAGTGTGCCAGTGCCTGCCTCCTGAGGCCATCCCTCTTTCCTGCTGCACTGCAGGTGACTCCTGGTTGCACCAAGTTCTGTCTGTGGAAGGGGCTGTCTGGCAGGTAAACATATGGAACCAACTTTGCTGACTGCAGGTCTGCCCTTAAATTTGGCTGAATTCAGCTGAGTCTGTCCTGGAGTGAAGACCTCCTGCCAACTGGAGGGCAGGAAAGGGAATGGCACACACAACCTGGCCTGCAGACAGCTTCTCTGGCCACTTGTGGATCCCTTGGCATTTGTCCCTTCTATCTCAGAAGCTGCCACATGCATCAAAACTGTTCTTATGATTGTGTACAGATCTCACCTCTCCATACCAGACATGCTTTGATGTGTTGAAAAAGTCTTCAGAACCAAGCACAAGATTTTGTAGTTGTGACTAAGGAAGGAGATAAACAAACCCAACAATATTATTACAAATAAAATTCTACCATTTTGCCTTTGTTGAGTAACTTCAGCTTATTTGATACCAGCTTATGAAGGACAGTCAGGTATTTATTCTGGCATTTTAAAGAGGGCTAAAGTGAATTGTCCACACCTAGAGAGTGGCAGAGAAAGTGTTAGAAGTTCTGTCTCTAGCTCATATGCTTCTCTCACCCTGGTGAGCAGAGACCACACATCCCGTCTTGGCCACGCTGTCTTCCAGTGTTCAAGAAGAGAGAGGTTGAAGGTGATCTTGGGTAAGAGATTTCTGGATACAGCAGGCTGTTGCACAAAGCTGCTTGGTCAAGCCTTCGAGTGTCCTCTCTGGCTCATGCTGGGGACACAGTTATTGCAAAGGTGATGCCCGCACAGATAAGGAGAGATTTGCGTAGTTCCTCAGCCGGTTTGCACACATTCCCATTTGACTCAACTCTCAGGTCATGAAACCACTCACTCATGGGAGAATTCAATGAAAGGCAACCATCCTCCCACCTCCTTCAAATTCTGTCTAATTCTGACAAGTCACTGAGTGGTCAAGCACAACTCCTAGTGGGCAGAGAATGTTTCACTTTGATCAGCAGAATGGACCATTGTTAGGAATACATGCTCTGGAGACACAGAGGCCCAACTGCCAGGTCCATCATGTTCTGTGTGACTTGGGCAGATAATTCACTTCTCTGAGTGTTAGTTTCTATTTCTGGAAAATTGTGATCCTGATAGCATTTATTTCAAAAGACTACTGTGAAAATGAATTAGGGTCACTTATGGGAACTGTGACAGCCCTTTAAGTGTGAGCTGTGGATGCTGTCTCTGGCACAGCCCTTGTAATGCAGGGTGGTGTATGGAGACACATCCTATGAGACAAGGTCTCCAGACCAATCGTTTCCATCCTCTAGGGAATCATTTTATTTGTACTTCAATACAAAGTGTGACTCTGGTAATTATTTTTGCAGAGAGTCATTAATAAGAGAATGGCATGAATGAGCCCTGGCAGCGACTCACATCACTTTCCAGGTCTTCTATCTCCATCAGAAAGGATGGGGTTGGGCTGTGTGTGTCCTCAGTCCCTCCTGCCTCCCGTCTTTCAAAAGGCTCAGCCTACAGTCAGTGTGTGTAGAAGACAAAGTGGAAAGGTGTGAGCTCTGCTTAGAGAAGCACAGAAGGAAAATGTCTAACCAACAGACTCAGTAGGGAGAGGGAGCCAGGAGTCAATGGAAGTGACTGCCAGGCACCGAGGGGTCCACAGGCAGGATGTGTGGAGCTGTGAACCCCTGCCACCATGCTGGAGCACATGGTGTGTGGTAGTGACCCTGGGCAAAGAGCACATGAAAGTGACAACTAAGTCTTACACACTTACAAGATGTATGCACTTCTTCTGTGTGAGTCATAAGGCCACCTTGCCTACATGACCTGCCAATTCAATGAAAAATATGCTAAATTATAGCAGTCAACCCTGTGTAATAAATATTTTGTTCTCTGAGGAAAAACCCCAAAGGTCTTTCTAGCAGGCAGGCATTTACGATTATGAACACTCCCCTCTGGGTCTCCCACGCAGGTTCTGGGATTCCACACTGACTGTTGACTATATCAGACTGGAAACAACCCCAGCTCTAGACCCACATCTACCACGTGTATGCCCTGTGTTCTTAGACAAGATTCCTCATCTGTATAATACCTGCCTCTTATTCTATTATTTATTATGTTATAATGATCAAATTAGGGATAATATATACCTATAAATTACTTTTTTTCAAACGAGGTGTCATGACCAAAATAAAGACCTGGCGTTACGTATTTGAAGCCACCTTACGTTTTTGTCTTGAAGCCTTTCTAAGATTCTGTTAAAATGTTTGAAAATATTTTGTTCCTGAAAAATAGATACCAATACTTTTAGAGGACACTTTCTTGAGAGAAATGTGGAATAAGTCAGGTCATGAAAGTTCCTTATTGCAGAGGGCATCTCAGTGATGGCTGCACAGCTGTGGCTGAAGCCTGGAATCTCTGAACAGAATACAGAAATGCTTTCTTTCATGCTGTGTTTTTCTCCTTGAAGAGAGAAAAGAAAACTATTTCGATCAAAAAAGATGGTCTACCTGTTTCGGCTGTGGACTTGTTCTATCCACTGTTGTTGGACAGGACTCAGGACACAGGGGTGCCCTTCTCAGTTAATAAAGATGGCGATGGCCTGACTTTAATTAGTGCTAAGTGCACAAAGAAAGAAAAGCTTGCTGGGTACGGCGACTCATACCTGTAATCCCAGCACTTTGGGAGGCAGAAGCGGGTGGATCACCTGAGGTCATGAGTTTGAGACCAGCCTGACCAACATGGTGAAACCCTGCCTCTACGAAAGAAAGAAAGAAAAAGAGAGAGAGAGAGAGAGAGAGAGAGAGAAAGAAAGAAAGAAAGACAGGAAGAAAGAAAGAAAGAAAAGAAAGGAAGGAAGGAAGGAGAGAAAGAAAGAAAGAGAATGAAAGAAAAGAAAGGAAGAGAAAGAAAGAAGGAAAGAAAGAAAAAGAAAGAAAGAAAGAAAAAGAAAGAAAGAAAAAGAAAGGAAGGAAGGAAGGAAGGGCACAATAGGGACAAGGTGAAGAATGGCAGACGACAACATGGAAAAGCAAAGGGCTTCTTGTATCAGATGACTCAGACCAAGAGCCCCAGTGCCACGGAAAGGACAGCCTGTGGTGGGAGGGAGGGCAAATTAGGACAGCCTGGGCTGTGGGGGCTGACTGCATGAACCAAGAAGGAGGAGGCACCTTTTTTTTTTTTTTTTTTTTGGAGACAGGGTCTCGGTTAGTTGAGAGGTACTATTCTGTACCAAAGTGTGTGTGTGCCCTCAGCTGAAGTCCATCTTTTGCCAGAAAAGTCTTGATGATGTTGTCCCTCCAGCCTCCTGTGCAGTGCTGGGATTTCACACATTGGGCCTTCCCGTGGTGTTTCACCCCAGAACCCATTTTTTATCCTCCCTCCCTGACCCCAGCATGCCTAACCCAGCAGTTAGTTCTGAGGGACAATACTTTAAACCCTCATGGCCTCCCTCACCCACCTTCTGGTGGCCAGCCTCTTGTCCTGGACTGACTGTGGCCCTCCACCCCGGTCCCTGCTCCCCCTTCGTGCCCTGCATCTCTCTTCCACAGAGCGCGTCAGCTTCACAGCATCCCCCAGCGCGACAGGTCCCACTCACAAACCTCCCGGCCTACCCTAATTCTGGGAGTCAGAACCGACGTCCTTCCCAACTGAGTTTCCCACACCCCACCCAAGGCCGCCTCTCCATCTCCTCCCTGCCCTTCCCTCGGCCTGGAAGGGCCACTCCTTTCCCCCACGTCTTGCTCAAATGTCACTTCCTCAAAGAGGCCTTCCCTGGCCACACCCGCTGGCCCATGCCACTCAGCTGGAGTAAGTCTCTTGCCAGCACCAGTGGGAAAGAAAATATCCACATTCAGATTTTGTCTTTGCTGCTATTTCTGGTCAACTTTCTCTCATTGGAAGCAACGTTCCCTGAGGGGAGTTGGTTGGAGCCTCCCCAGTTTCAGCCCCAGTGCTGCAGCGATGCCAGCCGTGGAGTGGCCACAGGGTCAGCCCAGAATGAATGAGTTTGAGGTGAACAACCTCATACCCGCTTTTCCTAACCCCTCCTTTTTAAGCTCCTTGATGGAAAACTTTGCTCGTTACATCTCCTTGCTTCCATCTCTGCCTGCTCCAGCGCCTTCCTCTTCCCCTGCCACCCTCCCAGGAGCATGAGCTCCCCATACACTGTGCACCCCAGGGTGTTTCTGCCCAGGGGCAGGCTAACGTGCAGTGGGGGCTGCGGCCTAACGTGGACTAGAAGGCCTTGGGTCCTGGTGCCAGAGAGCTCACCTCTCCCTCCTTCCTCGGCATCGCGGCCTTCCCCATGGAGGTCCCATCATCTGCCGCTGCTGCTTTGTCTTAGAAAACTCAGGGACACTCACTCACTGCCCCTGCTTCATGCCCCTCGTGCGTCCACACCACACAGTGGCTTATAGGGTACCCACTCCACGAGGGAGCTTAGGCAGATCCTGATGGGACAGAGAAACAAAAGCAGGAGCCCATTTCCAGCAGCGTTGCGTTCCGGGGGGTTCCTCTCCTAATCCAGGGGACAGAGGAGCTCACCGGTGATACTGCTGTGAGGGGAGAGGTGCGGCGATAGAGGGTGCTGTGGGACTCCCCAAGGACCCCATCGGCCTGGTGGGGGCTGGGGGTGGGTAGCCTAAGGTCAATTCCATCCCAGATTTATCTGGCCCAGCTCATCAGTCCCAGGAGGGATGCCTGGTGCTTCCTTCTCTCGATCCCCCATTCTCCCCGAGCCCAGTCAACGCCTGTGCAATGTGATGAGTCGCTCCGTGTTTAGGGAAGCGACTCATCACGGGTCCAGCACCCTTCACAAGCTGCCCCGTGTTCCTTTTTAGCTTCACCCCCACCCCCCACTTTGCACACACTCTACACACTGCAACCTCAGCCGACTTCCGTGGCCAGCTATGCAGGGTCTTGTTGGCCAGGCTGCTCCTCTGCCTGGAATAACCTCATCTTCCTCCCTGGCAGGCAAGTGTGAGTCACACAGGGCTTCAAAACATACTAAAATGTCACCTTCTCTTTGAACTTACCTGCCCCTCTTCCTGGCTTGCCCTCCCCCATCCACAGCCGATGCTGTCTCCTTTTGAACTCCCGTCAACTGGGTAAGACTTTGGTGCTGGCACTGCCTAGGTACATCGTAATAAACAAGTGCTTATTCACAATAGCAAAACAAACCTGGAGCCCATCAACAGTGGACTAGGTAAGGAAAACATGATACCTATACACCGTGGAATACTACACAGCTGTAAAAATGATATCATGTCCTTTGCAGCAACATGGATACAGCAGGAGGCCATTATCCTAAGTGAATTAACACAGGAGCAGAAAACCAAATACCGCATGTTTTCACTTGTAAGAGGGAGCTAAACATTGGGCACACATGAACATAAAGATGGCAGTAACAGACATGGGGGACTACTAGAGAGGGAGGGAGGGAGGGAGGGGGAAAGACTGAAAAACTACCTATTGGGCACAATGCTCACTACCCAGCTGATGGGATCAATTGTACCCCAAACCTCAGCATCAAGCAATATATGCACGCAACAAACCTGCACGGGTACCCCCTGAATCTAAAATAAAAGTTGAAGTGAAAGACAGAAAGAAAGAAAAAGAAAGAAAGAAAGAAAGAAAGAAAGAAAGAAAGAAAGAAAGAAAGAAAGAAAGAAAAGAAAGAAAGAAAGGAAGAATGAGAAAGAAGGAAGGAAGGGAGAGAGAGAAAGAAAGAAAGAAAGAAAGAAAGAAAGAAAGACAGACAGACAGACAAACAAGTGCTCCGCGAGCTCCAGGAGGGCAGGAGCTGATTTCATTCCCTGCAAATCCTTGTGCCTGGCTGGGTGCCAGCACACAGTGGGTGCTCAAAACATGTGGGCTGATGGAAGAAGAGAATTTGCTTCCATCACTACAACTGTGAAGTCCTTTAAGATAGCAATGTGATAGACTTGACCCCTGTAGAAAGCAGAGCCACGCTGAATAGAATCAGCTGATTTTTTTTTTTTTAACATCTGGCGAATGATTTCATGGGATCTGGCCTCAGTTTCCTCCCTGAGAGCGTGATGCGGGATTCTGTCTGTGGGCTCCGCATTGGTTGATTCAAGGACCTGGTCAGTACTGCCATCTGGTGGCCGTTTACCCCATTTGCAGATTGGGCTCTTAAAAGCTCCAGCACAGTAATTCTGCAATCATTATTATTTATTTATTTTGGTAAAATTCCCATTTTTTTCCCAACTCACAGGGGAAGAAAAAATACTTTTAGTGTGAGAGGGAGAGGATTTCCTCACCATTATTTCCCTCCTAAAATCCCACCCCCACCCAGACCTGCACAGTCCACAAGGAGAGCCCATGACGAATAGCCTGGCCTTGGTGGAAACCCACGGCACTCTCTGGCTGTCTGCACTTATGCATCTCCGAGGAGAGCAGAGATCGCCTTATCAGACCTCCCGCAGCGAGGTAAGCTTCAACTCCAAGGTCAGGAGCAGCTCAGGCTAGGAGTGGGCCAGCGACCCATTCTGTGCTCTGCTGCAGGCCCCTAAATGCAGCATTTGATTTCTCTTAGGACAAAATGAAGGCTTGTTAAATATATATATATATTTAAAAGGCAAGCACAGCCAACCAGTGCCACTCTCATTGCTTTATCTCTCCTTGTAACCCTACAACAGTCAATGGAAAGACAAAATGTGGGCTGCTAATTCCTCCTTCCTGGGACTTCAGGTCGGCATCTCCTCATTACAGCCATCATTCTAGAAATTAATGACTATGCTCTTTGTTCTTTGATACTTGCAGCGATGATCTAGGCCCTTAAATGCAGGGCTTAAGTTCCCCTCAAAAACCAGGGCTATGTCGGCAGGCTAGTCAGACTGTCTGGAAGAGCAGCCAACAGGAAGTCGTAGATTGTCTGTGCTTCTTCTGAGTTTGGATGCGTCTTTACCAGAAAACTATACTGTCTTCCACAGCAGCTTTCAACTCATGATCCTCCCTCTTGTCCCTCTTAGCAAACCACTACCAAGTGGCATTTTAAGATGTCAAAAAATCCCAGCATAGAATTGCTTCATTGTGAGTGCTGGTGCTGGCACACAGTGGGTGCTCAAAACTTGTGGGCCCAATGGAAGAGCATTTGCTTTTATCACTCTACAACTGTGAACGTCTTTATGTTTTCTCTGTACCTGAATTATAACAAGGCAAGGATTGGGGCTGATTCTGGGATTTTGGGACAGTTAAGGCAGCCAATGGAATCTGTTAGCACGAGTATTTCCTAGTCTTCCTGTGAGAAACAGAAGGAGGGACCCTTGAAATGAGGTCCCTGGGGCTCTTGGTTGAGGACCTGAAAGAAATGAGAGAAAGATGGATCTGAGCCTTTTAGGAAGACGTCTTCATTTGAGGTAAGGTTTTGTCTTAGGGCCCTACATTCCCAGCAACAGGCTCAGGGGATACCTCTGCAGACCACACAGGGAGATTTGCTCATTCATCCATCCATTCACTTATGCAAACGATGATCATAAACAGCTTGCTGCAGGGACTATGCTGGGTACTGGAAATAGGGCGCTGAGAGAAAATGACCATGGTGCTTGTTTGCAGAAAGCATAGAGCCTCGTGGAGGGAGATGGAGATTAACCAAAGTATCACATAAATGACTGTATGGTTACAACTGAGAATATTATGAAGGCGAGGAACCTATCATACAAGACCATAGAACAGAGGAGCTTTACTCGGCCCAGGAGCCAGCCAGGCTTCACTGCGGAAGGTAATCTTTTATGGAGAACTGATGGGTAAATGGAAATTTACTGGGTAGACAGAGGGGAGAAGAGAGCCTCCCCACCTTCCAGAAGGAACAGAGCTACAAAGGGAGAGAGAAAGAGATCTGAAAGAGGCAGTGTGCGGGATGGAGCCTGGGGGAGAAGGCACAGTTAGCACTGGGGTGGTCTCTGGCCTGGGCAAGCCTCTTGGACAGCAGCCTACAATGCATGGCCAGCCATGCTGAGCTCAGAGAGAGAATCGTACGAGAAAAGTGCAGGCTCCTCACTGACACACAGGATCTCTGTACTAGAGCAGTGCCTGGGGTAAAAGATTAATAGTTGCTTAATAAATTGTTATTGAATGAGTAAATGGAAAAATGCTTGGCCTCAGCCTTGGGAGGTGACTTCTAGCAGGGGGAAGCTCCTACCTCCCTTAGTTTTTCTTCCCCTCATTATCCTCAAGGAAGAGGAGTGCTTTTGTATTGGTCTAGTCCAGGGATATTGATTGGGCCATGTAGTTCTGGTGAGCATTAGACAGAGAGATACAAAATAAACAGGCATTAGGGTGAACACTGTTCTGTGCTTTTGCTCTGGTTCCTGTGTTTTGTATTTGCTTCTCCTTGCTGAACATTTTTCCTGCTACCATCAAAGGAGTAAGGATAATAACAGGGCTAGGCTGAGGAAAACAAAGAAGTAAAGTAGTTTTACTCCTGCTCCCTTCAGTTCAGGCAAGTGGTGTCACTGAAGTGATTCTACGTGGCTTTGAGGCCAACAGTGACACCCAGGGATTTTCTCTTGAGGCTTAGCTTCCCATGGGAAGCTTGCAGGGGTAGGTTGCTGACCCAGGGTCAGATTCAAAATTTAGGAATGCTAAGTGTCAGTCAGTAATCTCTATCTCTTCTATTTTTACTCTTGAAGATGGTGTATGACAGTAGATAGTGTCAGAGGTGAGCATACAAGAGCAGAAGAATGCAATGTGGCTTTGGGGCTCTCCCATCAAGAAGTGGGGTCCATTTCCTGATCCCTGGAGTCTGGACTCAGGAGCAGCCTGTGACTTGCACTGACATCAATGGATAATGAAATGGATGGAGACAGAGTTGTGCAAATTCCAGAAGCTACGCCTTGAGGGCTCTTGCAGATTTTGCTTTTGACCTCTTGAAACTGCCCTGAGACCACTAGGAAGGAATACCTATCTGGTTTTCTGGAGGAAGAGAGTCACATGGAGAAGAACTGAGGCAGCCACCAACTGCCAGACATGTGACCACCAGCTCTGCTGACCCCACAGCTCAAAGAAGCTGCACAGATGAGCTGAGGCCACACTCTTCAGGGAACAATCCGCACAGTCCTGAGAGACAGCAACTCCTTGCTCTTCTGAGCCACTAGGCTTTGGAACAGTTCATTGCCTCTTTTACATGACATACTCTAATTGCATCATCTTGTTCAATGCTCACAACAACCCTGCAAGGTTCTTATTAATTTTCCATTTTACAGATAAGAAAACTGAGCCTCACAGAGTAGATGCAAAACCGTTAAGTGGCAGGACTGGAATTTGCACTCACATCTATGTGGCCCTAAAGGCCACCCTCTCCCCATTTCACTGGCCCATCAAAAACCACAGAGACCAGATAACAAGAGCTTGTCATAGTGCTGACAGCAGAGCTGAGGTCCCAAACTGCAGCATGCTCTGCATTCTTCTGGTCACAGGGCAAAGGCCATCAAAAGGGATCAAGAGAAGACACAGGAGCTTCCAGGATGTCAGAGAAAAAGGATGGGCTTGAACTTCTATTGACTTCATTGAGTCAACACAGGAGTCAAAAACTGTTGTGACTGGGGACTCACACCCTGTCTATTCTTGTTGATCTTTGGACAAACCATTGCAGCAGACAGAAACATTCAAATAAAGCTTAGAAAAGTGAAAAAAGAAAGGGGGGAAGAATACCATAGTAAAAGAAAATAGAAGAGGGAAATGGTGAGGCAAACTTATCACTGGCATCATGATCTATCAGATTATGTGCTCAAAATAAGGTTATGGATTTATTCTTAGTGGAGGGACTGGGGCTCATGGCCTGAGTATCATTCACAAAGAAGCCAGAAAACTCCATGTGTCCACGTGTCCAGGGGCAGGAATGCCCACGCAGGCACTGTATCGCTGCAGCTGAATACCTGCCAGAGAAGCTTTGCTACCCTAAAGCCAAGGCCAGGCCTTCTAAGAATGCGCCACACCAATGAGGTGACATGTCCTGTGATGGCCTAGTATGGTTATGTGCTTTGCCTAGAATCCACGATTGCATTATGATGGAATTTCTGGTATAGAAAAATTGTAATGTTCCAACACTGTTTTTGAAAATAAAGTGCTTCTTCATTAAAAAAAGTTTAATTGTAGTAAACTACACATAGCATAAAACGTACCATTTCAGACAATTTTTAAGCATATAGTTCTGTGGCATTGAGTACATTGACACTGTCATGCAACCATCACCACCAGCCATTTCCAGAACATTTTTATCTTCCTAAATGGAAACTCTGTATTTATTAAACATTTAATCCTCATTCCCACCTCCCGCTATCTCCCGGTAACCACCATTCTACTTTCTCTATGATTTCCAGAACTTTTTCATCTTCCTAAACAGAAACTTTGAATTCATTAAACATTTAGTCCTCATTTCCATCTCCCCCTATCTCCTGGTAACCACCATTCTACTTTCTCTATAAATTAGACTACTCTAGAGACCTTATATAAGAGCAATCAAACAGCACTTATTCATTAATGACTGGCTTATTTCAGTTGGTATAATGTCCTTAGGGTACATTCATGTCATAGCATGTGTCAGAAATTCCTTCTTGTTTAAGGTTGAGTAATATTCCGTATTGTGCATTTACCACAGTTTGTTTATCCATTCATTTATAGATGGAAACATCCACCTTTTGGTGGATGTTATTGTGAATAATGCTGCTATAAACATGGACATACAAATATCTCTTTCAGATCCATTCTTCTGGGCAGATACCGAGAAGCAGACTTGCTGGGTCATATGGTAATTCTATGTTTAATTTTTTTGAGGAACAGCTATACAGTTTTCCATAGCAGCTGTACAATTTTATATTCCCAACCAGGATGATGATTTCTCCACATCCTTGCCAATGCTTTTTTTTTGTGTGTTTTTTCTTTTAACTTTTTTGAATGAGTAGCCATCCTAATGGGTATGGAGCTTCTTCATTTTATAGAATAGGAAACCAAGACATAGCAAATGTTAAAAGTTTCCCCACGGTCACACAGCTAATAAATGGCAGAGCTGAGAATTGTACCAAGGTGATCTAAATCCAAGGAGCAGAATTTTAAAGTTTTTATTTCCAGGTTAATGGTGGACAACCTCAAGCTAAGGGATTTCTGCTAATTGTATGGAATTGCTCATCACTGGGAGGCTTGTTCAGCATACACTGGGGTGAGGAGGAAGACATAAAATACCTCCATCAGTGAGAAGCATTTGGTTCACTCAAAAACAAGTTGAAGACCTGGAACAGATAAAATCAGAATAACTCCTGACCTTTGGTACAAATGCCAAGGGACTCAAATGTGGATAATTTTGGAAGCCAACTGAAGAGTTGAATTATTACTTGTCTCAATGCTTCCTGCTTTCGGTTGGTTCTGGAAATGGAAGTGCCAAGCCCTGCCAGGAAGTCTTCTCTCGTGGTTTTACTGGTCAGGGCTAATTTAGGAAGTGCTGGAAATCTCGTAGAAACCCCTTGGGAAATTTTTACCTTGTTTTCCTACATAAAAAGTTCCACTCAGTTATAAAATCTCAGAGATGACATCTGGCCTCCCCACTGGCTTATCTGAGCTAAACCATGTGTCTTTTCCCAGTGCAATTCAGTATCGGGCAACATAACCTGGGCCACTTGGGCCATTCCAGGAGAGGGGAGACGTTTTGCTAGGCATTCTGTGGGTTCATGCAGGTGCCTTCTTCTCAGTCCACTCACACATTGCCCTATGACATGGTTGGTAAGATTCTCGTCTCACTGTGCAAGACCTTAAGGCTCAGAGAAAATGGGCTAATTTATCCAACACTACCCAGCTAATAAACAGGAAAGTCAGCACACAAATCCAAACACATGTCATTCCCTAAATTACGCTTTTCTCTTTACCCCTCTCTGTTCAGAAGTATCAGAATAATTCCTTTATTTAAGGAGATTTGAGTTCTTACTGTAACATGTTCAATATTAAATTTCTCCATTAAACAGAAAGCATACATGTGTCATGAAGTCCACACTCAGGCCCCCATCCATGCCCAGTGGCTTCTGAGAGTCCCTCCTTTCCTTACTCAATGCCATCTGCAGCCCACCTGCTCCTTGCTGCTCCAGGACAGGCCTGCGCTTCCTGCACTCCCTACCTGTCCTCATGCTGTTCCCTCTGACTGCAGTGCTCCTGCTCATGCCATTGTCTTCACTTGGCCAGGTCCTACTGATCATTCATGATTCCTGCCCTATCCAAAGGACCCCCAGAGAAGCCATTCTCCTTCCCTCTTTTCAGTTCTCACAGCATGTGCCCTGGACCTTTCTCTTGTGCATCACTGTTTCCCTGCCAACTATATGCATGTCTTATTTCACCCCCAAGAAGTCATGGATGTGAAATGTGTGGCAAGCTGAGGACACACCTGGGAGTTTGCGAGAGGATGATGTGAAAGATGGGCCAAACAGTGACAGGGGTGGATGCAAAACAATGGCAAGTTCTATTCAAATCAAAGGAGAAAGGAAAATGTGAACTTGCATTAGAAAATGAGTAAGATTTAGAAACTAATATTTGTGGTCGGACGCGGTTGCTCACACCTGTAATCCCAGCACTTTGGGAGGCCGAGGCTAGTGGATCACCTGAGGTCAGGAGTTGGAGACCAGCCTGACCGATGTGGTGAAACCCTGTCTCTATTAAAGATACAAAAATTAGCCAGGCGTGGTGGTGCGTGCCTGTAATCCCAGCTACCTGGGAGGCTGAGGCAGGAGAATCGCTGGAACCTGGGAGGTGGAGGCTGCAGTGAGCTGAGATCACACCACTGCACTCCAGCTTGGGCAACAGAGCAAGACTCTGTCTCAAAAAAAAAAAAAGGAAAAGTAACTAATATTTGGATGGCGGAGGTTCAGGACTGGGGAAACAGGGTAGGCAAACATCAGGGAACAGAGAAGAGGTGGGCAGTCCAGACGTGAGGAGCAGGCCCACCTGGTTAAAGTGCAGGTTCCTGTTAGGACTGACCCAAATGTAATGCTGCACTTGTATAGGGTGCCAGATGAAAGATCCTTGCCATCTGCAAGAAGTGAAATTTTAAATTTCTTTATAAAACAAAGAACAAAAAATGAAGTGTATATCATTATGTATGGCAGTTGAAAATCAACCATTATTAATTCATTTATTAAATAAATATTTGAGGGTGTTTACCCCATTTAATGAATAAGTTAGCCTGTCTTCTTGCCCTCATAGAGCAGATAGTTGAATAACAAGAATCAGAAGCAAGTCCTTGCATTGTCTTTTCACCTAACATTCATTTTGAAAGGATGCCTGGTAATTAACATAATCTAGAAAATGGAATAATCTTTTTATCCTGGAAAACTACATCCTACAGGCTTAGTTTTACTGGTGGCAAAATTTTATTCACATTTGCTCAAGAGTACACCTTAAAGGTGGAATATGAAAAGATAAAATTCTAGTTCATTTTCCCTTCCTTAAAATCAATGTTAATAAGTAAGAGCTGAGTGTCTCATGAAAGATTAATCTGATTCTATTCCCTTGAAAAATTAAAAGGTGAAAAATCTTTTACTCATGTGCTATTCTTTTTCATAAAGATACAAGAAAAAACTTGGCATCTTGTTTTCTTAATCTATGATTCAAATACGCTCTCAGCAGTTTGGAAATTACATGTAAGGTTTGCAAACTCAATTTACATATCCAGCAGTAGTTTGAGTTAAAAAAAAATAAATTAGAATCAAAACATCACCTTTCTCTGGAAAACTAAGTACCAAGGCTGGTGGCAACCCCTTGCATGAGTCATGATGATCACTTTGAAGGTCATTTTCATACTCCTACCCCACAGAGCACCGGGCGTCAGGTGCCTGCAGCGGGCAGGCCGCTGAGTCAGAGTGCGGCCCTCAGCCTGTCACCCACCTGTTCCCTGGCCTGGCGGCATGACTCATCCCTGAGGCCCAGCCCCCGTGAGCCTCCTGATCCTCCTCCGCAGGATGTGATCTTCCTATCTCCCAGTTCCCAGGCTGGGAGGGCAACCCCCGGGCCTCTTCATCTCACTGGGCAAGGAACAAATGAGCTATTTTTTAGTGGGAATCAGTTTCTGGAGGTCTAAATCAGTCTTGGGAGTAGATTCTTACTCCTCTGTTCTTGGAGACAAAACAATGTGATGAGTTTTAGTCATGTCATTGCTTCAGACTAAGAAAATCTGCAGTTGGCAATGGTGAGAGAACTCTCTCCTCCTTGCAGCAGCAAGCCTTCCTGTCCAGGTAACGGTGATAGCCTTAAGAGGCCATCTGTTCCCCTCTCCTGTGGCTCTGAATGGTGGGTAAGGTGGGACTGGGCCATGGGTCCTGAGGAGAAAGAGGTGGCTCTGGCAATATGGCAGCTGCATCGGGGGCTAGGACGAGGTGACCCTGGAGGTGGTAATGTCAAGCCTGGTCGGGAGCAGGGGTAGCTGAGGCGTGCTTTTAGTTTTCCTCTCTATATTGCCATCCTCTTATGTAAGCCAGCCTGAGGAGAGTCTGTTAGAAGTGACAGGTGTGAGCATAGCTGGGCTTTCAGGGCTAAAGGGATGAGTTTTGATGGTGATCTCATTGAAAGCAGACTGAAGACTTCTAGAAACCTGGAGGGGTGAGGAGAGTGATGGCTCCTGTCAGGGTGGATCTGAGAGAAGCGAAGCTCTTCTGGGAGCAGCTGCTGGCAGGATGGGGCCCACTTAGTGCTTGCTCAGAGGCTGGGCTGCTGGAGACCAGTCATGTTTACATTCTCCTCATCGTGGTGAATTTCCAGAGAAAATCTATTACAGACCAAGTGTCATGACATCCTAAGCCCAAGGTTTATTCTTCTGTAATGCTAGTGAAGAACCTAGCTTAGGATCACATACTGTGAGAATCAGTGCGGACTGGAAAAGCCAGGACTCCCTGAGCAAATGGGCAGCCAGTTTAGACTGTCCCTGAAAACCAGGGACAGTCAGGGGTGGGAATTTTCCCCATATTTGAGTATTAACAATATGGTCTCAGCAAACTGACATCTCCACCTAAACGAATTGCTCAGGTCTTCTTCAGAGAGAATCGTGTGTCCACATCCTTCTTCAAAGTGATGGTTAATTTTGTGTGTCAACTTGGCTACACTACAGCGGCCAGGTTCTACTCAAATAACAGTCTAGATATTGCCTTGAAGTTATTTTTTGGATGAGATTAACATTTACCTCTGTAGATTTTGAGGAAATCAGATTGTCCTCTGTAATGTAGGTGGACCTCATTCTCTCGTTGAAGGTCTTAACAGAAGAGACAGCCCCTGGGAAAGAGGGATCCCTGCCTCCAGACTGCCTTTGGACTTGAGCTATTAACATCAGCTCTTCCCTGAGTCTCCAGCCTGCTGGCCTGCCCTGAAGATTTCAAAACAGCTGGCTCCCACTTTCTCATGAGCCAATTCCTTAAAGTAAATCACTCTGTATACAGACAGCCTATTGGTTCTGTTCTCTGGAGAACCCTGACCAGTGTACCCTGTTGGGTCATGAATGTAAGCATACAAACATGTTTCAGGATCTCACATCTTAAAAGACAAAATAAATCCGTCCCTTGCTCCCACCTCTCCACCCACTCTTGGCCCATTTTTCTCCTGAGGTCACAGCAAATCTCCATGCCGGCCTGGCTCCTGGCTGCCCAGCAGTGCCAGACATGTACTCTGTCTCAGCCCTGCCAGTGAGCCTCTTCCCTCAGGAGATGGCCCTCGTCAGGGCCGTGAGGATCCCAGGCCATGATGGCTGCCAAGGTCATGTTCCATTCTTCTTGTCTGATTCCAACCACTTATCGGCATTTGGCACCATTTTCTTTTGGAAACTGCTTTTTCTCCAGGCTTCTGTGGACTCTTACCTGGTGGATTTCCTTCTGCCTGTTTCCTTCCTAGTTTCTTACTTATGGTGCTGAAATGCCGCAGCCCCCGCTGGGCTCTGCTCTGGCCCTCTCTCTCCTTTACCACTCTTCCCGGAACCTCCTCCAGGCCAGGCTTGTCCTGATGACCCCCATTCTGTCTCTCTCATCCTGGCCCCTCCCTGAAAATCCAGACCCACACCTCCACCTGCACACCTGGCATCCTACGCAGGCTTCTCATAGGCTTCTCCACCTCTTCAGGGGCAAAGCGGAGCTTGTGGCTCTCAACTCCAGTGAACTGATCTTGCAGTCTCAGTAAACAGATTCATGCAGTGGCTCAGGCCACCCACAGGCATTATTCTTCCCCTCCCCACATACTTCAATGTGTTGTAGTGTTATTGAAATATAATTTTATGCCATGAAGTTTTACTCACTTAAATTGTACAATTCAGTGTTTTAAAATATATTCACAGAGCTCTGTAATAATCACTATAATGTAAGTTTAGAATACTTTCATTCATTATTTGTAGAGACTAGTAATCATTCCCTATATCTTACCGCAAGCTGGTCTCCTCCCCAGGTAATCAATAAATTACCTTGTGTCTCTATGGAGCTACATGTTCTGCACATTTTATATAAGTAGAATCATATACTCTGTGGCTTGTGACTGGCTTCTCTCACTTGGCGTGATGTTTCTGAGGTTCACTCATGTGGTAGCATGTGTCAGTACTCCATTCCTTTCATTGTCAAATAATATTCCATTGCATGGACCCACTACATTTTGTTTATCCGTTCACCAGCTGATGGACATTTGGGTTGTTTCCATCTTTTTGCCATTATGAATACTACTGCTGTAAATATTCATGTACCAGGTTTTGCAGAACATAAGTTTTCATTTCTCTTGCCTCTATACCTCAAAGTGAAATTGCGGGGTCACATGGTAACTTTATGCTCAATCATTTAAGGGACTGATGGCAGACTTTTTCCCAGAGTGGCTGCACCACTAGCAGTGTATGAGGCTTCCACCTTCTGTACACGCTCGCCAACATTTGTCTGCCTTTTTGATCTGTGCTGTTGGGTGACTGATTTGGTGTGCAATGCCTCGCTGCTCCAATCCCTACTGCCAAAGCTTTGGAAATATTCATGCACAAGAAATGATCACCAACCCTGCCACGACTTTTTAATAGCTACTGCAGGCAAGTTCCTTTTCTGATACCCTGAGAAGGCTAAATAAAAGAGACAAATAAGATGCAGTCTTTGCTGTAAAGTGCCCCAAAATTTGTTTTTTTGAGTTAAATACCTTTTAAAACACTGATATTTAGGGCAGGATTATATGAAATCCGGTTAAAAAAAATCAATGTGCAAACTTTTCCTGGGATCTAGAATCTGAGTAGGCATTGGAAGGATGGAAAGGATTTTGATGGCTATAGGGAAAATAGGGAGGTCTTTCCTGGAGGATGCAGTAGCATGAAAAAATACTAACTCTCTAAAGGCAAACAAAGCAATTTGGCTCCAGGACTGAGGCTCAGGATACTCCAGTGGTATCCTAGTTTCTGAGATTGGGGGTTACCCTCTGAGAGGTATAGTCATTCCAATCGCCATATTGATATGGCAGCTTTGACAAAGGGAATATTTGGTCATTCATTCCCATTTTATGGCTCTCCCCCTAACCTCTTTCCCATCTCAGCATCTTACCTTATTGTCTGACCTCCACTCCAACACTGAGCCATATCCCAGTCCTGTCTAGTACCCCAACTTTCAACCTGATTTTATGGGTGACTTTCATTCAGTAAATGAAAATAATACTATTTAGGGTTCTCCCCACCCCCCAAGACTACATTAAAACATATTATGCCCATTGGCTATCACGTAATGTTCATATCAAAATTTCTTGCTTCAGGTCAAAATATAGAGAGAATTGAATGAATTGCTAGGTTAATTTGCCAATTGCCAATGGGAAAGTTACCATTCTGAGTGGTAGAGTAAGGGCTGGGACTGTACTTTAGGAAGACAGACCTGGCAGTGTGTGAAGGACGGTTAGAGAATCAGTGAGTGAAGAACAGGTAAGGAGCCACGGCTTCAACCCAGATTATAATTCCTGAGAATCTAACTAGAACAACATCCCGAATATCACAGGACAAGTATGAGTTGTGGAGCTAGAAGTGACTGGACGTGGAAGGGGCTGGGGAAGCCAATATGCTTCTTAGCAGAGTTTATTTTTCTCTGACATATATCGTAGTCTCTCACTGTTATATGTAGTTTTGCTTTCTTCAATTTAGTTACCTATGGTCAACTGCAGTCTGAAAATATTAAATAGACAACTCCAGAAATAAACAATTCATATGTTTTAAATTGTGTGACATTCTAAGTAGTGGAATGAAATCTCTTGCCATCCCACTCCATCCCACCCGGGACAAGAATCATCCCTGTGTCCAGTGTATCCGCACTGTCTCAGCTACCCACCATGAGTCACTTAGAAGTTGTCTCGGTGATCAGATCAACTGTCACATCATCACAGTGCCTGTGTCAGGTCACCCTTATTTTACCTAATGACAGCCTCAAAGCTCAAGAGTGGTGATGCTGGCATGTTGTTATAATTGTTCTATTTTAGTATCTGTTATTGTTACTAATCTCTTACTGTGCCTAATTTATAAATTGAACTTTATGATAGGTATTTTTGTTTGGGAAGAATAGTATAGATAGGGTTTGGTACAATCTGTGGTTTCAGGCATCCACTGGGGGTCTTCAGGTATCCTCAGCGGACAAGAAGGGGCTATTATAATGCAGTACTAGCATTTCAACAATATCTGTTTTTTTGTTGTTTGTTTTATTTATATTCACCACAGCTTTGTATGGCAGAGGCAGATAGTCACCTTGGAAAGGATCTTCTTTGTTAAATAAGGTGTCATTTAAGCAAAACATCTTACAATGCAGAAGGATAGAGTGAGACTTTTCATTTGCCTCTAAACACAGCCTCTTCCATTAGGGATGAGGAGCACTAGAGCAACTTAGGAAAGGAGCCCAAGCCATGTGGGTGGGAAGGCTGAGACCCTCACATCCCTCTAGCTGGGGTTTTAACTTAGCTTTGCTGTTTCAAAGGAGCTGATTCAGCAGGAGGTCAGGGACCCAGCTGCCACCTGGCACACAAAGGTCAGCTGCTTAGCTGGCTGCCCCATGATGAGAGCTGAAGGTGAGCCACTTTGGGAGTGGAGAGCGCACATGGTGTGTGAGCCAAGAGCACATCCTGATCATAGGGTCCAGGTACAAGCACCAACGTGGCACGTGTTGGTGCCTGGACCAGCCCAGAATTACTGCCAAGTGGGTTCTTTAGGCTGACAGAACCACCCAGCAGCAAGTGAGTGGAAGGTACGGTGGACCCACCAGGTATCCCATTCCCTTCTTCTCTGCTGCAGCCTGGAAACGAGACTGACCCCTTGGACCAGGTGAGCCTAAGCAGGTAAATGCAGGCCTTGCTAATAAGAGATGCTGGGGGCTCAATCAATTAACAAGGAAAAAAAGCATGCTTTCATCTGTACTCCAAGCTGATAAAACAGGTCACATACAGATATTTAAAAAACCGTTTTCTACTCCAGTATATAAAAATAGCTTTGCTTCTTCAAACACAGCTAATGGACCATTATCACTCACGAGCTACAGAAAGACTGACGGAAAGGCAGTATTCATAAGTTTTCTATATTTGTGAAGGAATTATCTGTGTATCCTGAAAATGTTAAGCAAGTGTTAAGTAACGTGCCTGCTCTACGCGGGCATCTCTTTCCCTGGATGGTGTGCCCTCCCGCATTGCATGTGATTGTCAAATTTCTGCTCTTTGAGTCTCCTTAGCTCTGTGGTCCTGCAGGAAGCTGTACAAATTCGGCATGGGTTCCAGGGTTCTTTGTCCTGTGCCCGCCCCATCCTTCTTGAAATGGCTGTGACCTTTTTGTCTATCGGCAAAGGGAAGGGTCAAGTCTGAAAATGGGTCCCAAGGTTGATGATCACAGTTTTTATTGTCTGAAATCTAAACAAAATACTATCGCCATTCACTCAGCTCGGCCGCTCACGTTGAAAAGACGTGCGAGAATCAATGAGACGAGAAGCCAGGATCGCCTCCTTCTCACATTACTGACTGCTTGGAAATAGTTTGTCAAATTGTATTTATGGTGAGACAAGTTCAAACAGCAGTTTTAGAGCTACCCGCCTGGAACTGTATTGGAAATGGAAAATGACGGGAGCAAGAGAATAATAAAGGGTCAATTAAGGCTCCGGGGAACATAGGAGAAAAGACAAAATCGGAAAGAATGCTAAAATGAATCTGATTTTTTTTTTTTTACTGTTTTAAAATATAAGGGAAAAGGAGTGCATCAAGAGAAAGTAGCTCCATCAGCACGTGGAGAAAGCAAACTCAGGATGCATAAAGTAACAAATTAATAACATTAATCATCATCATCATAGCTGCCATTTGTTGAGTGATGACAAGTTAGTTAATAATGTTAATCCCCATAATCTTAGGCACCATTTGCCAAGTGACTCCTCTGTGTTACTGATGGTGGAGCTGGTATTTGAGCCTATGATTTCCAACTCCTGAGCTCCACTCTTTCTACTTCACCACTGCCTCTAAATGCGGGGACAAGGATGGAGACTCTTTGGCCAAATGCTGGTCTCCCCTGATTCTGAGTTAGTGAATCATTTGAGATCTCCAGTGCACCCTGGCACTGTCAAGCTCATGGGAACCAAGAGTGCCACGGATAGGAAGTGCCAAATCATCTTTGGAGACAGCCAACTATTTCAGAGAGCCAGCCTGGATTCCTGGCAGCAAGCAGAGGCCAGGCTGGTGAGTGGGAAGTGATGCCAGGGATTAGGAAAAGGGAATGGAAAAGAACAAAACAGGGAGGGAGAAAAGTCACTGGGCTCTGTTGGGCTGGTGTCCTCCATGCAGCAGTGGAATGTACCTCAGACATGCCCACTGGCTCCAGTACCCTGCTGCTGCTCATTGGGCACCTCCTGAGGCTCTAACTCCCTTGCACTTCCAAGTTGGCTCAGTCAAGTGCTGTCTGCATTTAAAGAGGACTGAGGCAGAAAAAGAGTGACCATCCATGCCCAGAGGCAGGTGCTGTTAGTAAGGCATGTGGGAAGCTGGCTGCCAGCAGTGGCTGGAGCCAAAGGTGGTCGGAGCTGTGGGAGCCAGGATGCAGCAGGTGGTAGATGAGGAGGAGTCAGAGCCTATCCATTATCCATCAAGAGGGCTCACACACTGTTAGCGTAGAGAAGGGGAGACATGCCCACCACCCTCTGAGGGTTCAGCAACTGAGTCTTTAAAATAAACTGACAACAGGCAGATTAACAGGAGAAAAAGTAGACAAATTTATTATGTGCACAGGGGCATCACAGGAAAGAAAAGTGAATACTCCAAAATCCAGTGATATGGTATTTGGCTGTGTCCCCACCCAAATCTCATCTTGAATTGTAGCTCCCATAATTCCCAGGTGTTGTGGGAGGGGCCCAGTGGGATGTAATTGAATCTCCCACCGGGATAGTCAGGATAATTGAGGGCGGTTTCCCCCACACTGTTCTCATGGTAGTGAATAAGTCTCACGAGGTCTGTTGGTTTTATAAGGGGAAACCCCTTTCACTTAGTTTTAATTCTTCTCTCTTGTTGGCCACCATGTAAGACATGCCTTCCACCTTCTGCCATGATTGTGAGGCCTCCCCACTGTGTGGAACTGTGAGTCCATTAAACCTCTTTTTCTTTATAAATTACCCAGTCTTGGGTATGTCTTTGTCAGCAGTGTGAAAAGAGACTAATATACCCAGTGAGATTTAGAAGCTTATATATCTTCTTCATGGGGGGAAAGGAGAGGGTTGTAGGCAACATAGGTGAGAGTAATGATTTTTTGGAGAAAGGTGAACTGGCCCTTAAGAGAATAGATGATGGTTGGTGGCAAGGTCTGTCTGGGTGTGATGTCACTTTAGCTTCCTCCCCTGTGATGAGAGTCCATCTTCCCTGGATAATGAAACTCCCTGGGAGGGGATTGATGAAAACTGAGGTCCTTTGGGGACTCTATCTTTGGACTGATAAGGGGTGTTCACGCTGTTTTGCAAGTGCCTTCAGCTCAATAATCAATATACCAAAGCAGCAGACTTGGGAGTGGCATTTCCTGAACTCCTTCATTAACAATTTTTTTCCCAAGATGATAACTTCCTCCTGGCTATAAATGGATCAAGGGCAAGGAGCATTGCTTGGGAAATCCCCAAGAGTCTTTTCCGGGTCAGACCAGTAACACTTTATCACATTTGCATAGAACTTTACAGTTTTGAAAATGCCTTCATGTACACCAATTCATTCCACCCTCATGGAAATCTGTAAGTCATCACTATGAACCCCATGTTACCAAGCAGAAAACTGAGGTCCCCAAATATTGCACAACTTTTAAGCAAGGGAGGACAAGTCCAGAGCTCTTATCTGCCAATTTCTACAACTTGGGCCGTTTTGTTGTTGTTGTTTGTTTGTTTGTTTGTTTGTTTTGAACCAGAGTCTTGCTCTGCTGGAGTCTTGCTGGAGTGCAGTGGCGAAATCTCAGCTCACTGCAAGCTCTGCCTCCCAGGTTCACGCCATTCTCCTGAACTTAGGCGGTTTTATGTGATGATAAAGTGTGGATGCTTATGCATGTATGTTCCAAGACATTAGTAAGAATACTTTGCAAATAAAGTCTACCCAAATTCCTCCACACACGGTCTATTTAGTTAGTAGTGTACTTTAAAATGGAGGAGTAGGGAGTGGGAAGAGAAGGTAGCAATGGTTGGTTTTCCTCATGAGGAGGCATTCATAACTTTTCTTTGTTTTCATTTTGCACTTTAACCAAGCAACACTATATTCCCCTCACAAAACAAATAGAGCTGTAAAGATGTTTCAGATTCCATGGATGATTTTAAATATCATCATATTTCATGTATCAAGCATTGGTCTCTTACCTGAGTGCCAGCTACATGCTACACACCTGTGTCAGATATTGCATTTAGATCCACAGCAGCCCTGACAACATGAGAATCATTATCCCTGCTTTATGAATAAACCTGAGATTTCCAGAGGCTTAGCATCTTACACTGAGGCATGCAGCCGACAGCCAGTCAGTCCAGCATTAGAGCAAGAGCCAATTGCAGCTTACCTTTGGAGAGAGAGGGGAATGGAAGACATTTGAAGGAAATTAACCCTCATTTTTGATGGGAAGTTATTTATTCAAGTCATATAACTGGAATCACTATGTTGGGACAGAGATCTCTGGTTCTAAAGCAATAGAAAACCCTGATGAGGACCCTATTCAAGGTTGCAGACTGGCAACTTCTGGTTGCATCTTCACATGGCAGAAAGCAGAGCAGAGAGAAAGCAAGCTCTCTATCTCTGTCTCGTGTTTTTTTTTTTTTTTAAATAAGGGCACTAATCCCATTCATGAGGGCTCCACCCTCATGACTTGATCACCTCCCAGAGGCCCCATCACCACATATCATCACATTGGGATTAGGGTTTCAACCCATGAATTTTGGTGGGGGATGCAAACATTCAGTTTATTGCACTGAACGTCTGTCTACTTGAAAAATTTAATGAGCTAGTGCATTATCTAAAAGAATCAAGTATTTATTTTAATAGGAATATGTTGTTAGTACAGCTCACCAGATACTGGGAGACGGAGGGTGTTAGAGAGATGAGTGAGATCAGTTTGTTGCCTTTGATGGTGCTTACACTCGAAAAGGAGTTAGATGTGTGCATAAACAGTAGGGAAAGTGAGGTGGGGCAGGACGGGCCAAGTAGGAACTGAGAATGAGAATGCCGCCGATTAGCTGGTGGAAATACCACCTGGTTTTCAGGCTGTGGCCCCATTACCTGATAACTGGGGGTAGAGGACCCACTAAAGATGGTAGCCAAGGAGGCTGGTTAGTGTTTGGTCATTATGCACCCGTTCAACAGCTATACCCTAATCCTCCCGGGGATTTAAAAATCATCTTCTTTCCCAGCAATCTGAAGGGCCTTGTTCCTCTGTTTGTTTCCCTCTTTGAGAAATAATCATTCTCAGAATTGGTACACACTCACAATCAGATGTGATGATTTAGCAGCTGATATACCCTGTTATTCCTCTCTCTTACAACAAGAGATTATGGAAGCAGATATGATTATTAGTATGAATCTTTAGAATAGAATTAAAAACTTTTTTAAAACCTCTTATTCAGAACCATGGCATTTGAATAATTTTTGAGCTACCAAACGGAATTTATTTAGGCTAGTTTAAAGGCTAATTGATACAATTTCAATTTCAAATTGAAACACTACTTATAATGCATTGTCATTCATCTTAATGGGTGTTAATGTTGAAACATAATTGCGACTCTTTGAATAAGAGCATCATTAACCCCGTTATTGCTGATCAATGTACAGAGAGGCTCTAATAAAAAAGCTTGTCCGGTATGACTGGATGTATGATCTGGTATCTCCAATCACGAGCATTTGTGCAAGGAAAAGGGGCCTGCCCAAATACTTTGACACATGACCTCCGGATGTTGAGGAAATAAATGAGCTAACACATGAAGTGCCTGCCTAGCATCGTGCCTGGAAAGCAATGAGTACTCAACAAACAGCTCAGTGGGTAGTAGACTGTGATTTTTGCTGCTGCCCTCTGAAAGTTATTATCTTTATTTTCTTCTCCCAAGCCTCTCAGAGATTCCCACTGGATCTAGACTATATGTTAGATACAGAAAGTGTCTTAGAATGCATATTAATTGTGGCTGGGCACACTGGCTCACATCTGTAATCCCAGCCCTTTGGGAGGCTGAGATGGGTGGATCAGGAGGTCAGGAATTTGAGACCAGCCTGGCCAACATAGTGAAACCGCATCTTTACTAAAAATACAAAAAATTAGCTGGGCGTGGTGGCAGGCACCTGTAATCCCAGCTACTTGGGAGGCTGGGGCAGGAGAACTGCTTGAGCCTGGGAGGTAGAGGTTGCAGTGAGAAAAAAAGAAAGAAAGAAAGAAAAAAAGAATGCATATTAATTGTGATGGTCATTAGCTATTGCATTTCTTGTATATAGCAGGCACTCTACAAAATCTTTGTTATATAGCAATAACACAGAATAGGTATTATTATGCCACTTTACATATGAGGACACCAAGTTTCAAAGATGTTAAAGAAAAAGTCCCGAATTCACACATGAAGTGCCCATTAAGTGGCTGAGCTGAAATGCCATTTGACATTATGACTCAGGCTCTTAACAACCATGCTACCAACCACATGGAGGGATCTTCAAGGACAGTGGGTCACATCTGCCTCTGGTCAAAGTTCATGCAGCTCCTCAAATTTCCAGAAAAGGAAAGTGAATCGGCCTGGCTTTCTCTGTCATGCAACCACTGCCCTTTCCAGTTCCCCTTGCCTCAGGCACCCAGCACCCAAGGAGCCCAGAGCCCACCGCTGTGACCATTTCCCCGAACTGACTCTCCCGGATTCTTCGCTATAGTCATCAAAAACACAATGCACTCCACCTCTGCATTCACACTTGCAGGCTGCAGTTCTACAGTATCACTGACAGCCAAAATGTTAGGCTTTATCTTTCCCAGATAGTGTTCCTCGAAGTTCTCTAGTGGTGGCAGAGACCACAGTGAGTGGGTACATAACACCCTACCTCTTAGGGCCATCCCACTTGAGCTCATCAAGGTGGTGAGTGCATTGAATGCCTCCTACTATCAGCCAGCCAAGTTTTGCTTCACTGTCATTTAACCTACATTTACTGACAGGACGTGTGTGCTAGGGCTGTGCACTCTGGGTAGTTGTATGTGGACAGATCCAGCCTCTTTTATCAAGGAGTTGCCTGCAGTTTAGTGCAGAATTTCAGGTATAAACAATACAGTAGTACATGGTAATTACTATAACTATTTATTTTAATTGCACAGTATGTGCTTATATTGTGCTAAGTATGTGCTTAGGGTTCAGTCCTCACAGTGAACCCGAAGAAGTTAGGAATATTCTTACTCCATTTTACACGTGGGGAAACTGAGGTCTAGAGAGATCAAACAACTTCCTCTACATTCTAGATTACTTGGTGGTGACAGAGTTAGGGTGTCCATCTCACTAGTCGACCCGCAGAGCACAAGGTTCAAAAGGCCTCACAGTGGATGACAAAGGAGAGAACATTCCACCACTGACTGGCAAAGGAAGAGAAGGCCACACGGAGGAGGTAGCATCTAATTATAATCTTACGACTTGAGTAAGAACATGCAGGTGGACCAGAAGACCTAAAAATTCTAGCTGAAGAAAGAGTACAAAGCTGGGAGGAGGCCAAGGTCATCTCATGTTGTGGGAACTGCTTGTGGTGTTACTCAAAGCAAGGTTCCTGGTGCAGGCAGGGGCAGTGGGTGCTAGAGAAGGGAAGTGGCAGAGCTGAGGCTGGGCATGTCAGGGAGGGCCCTGCGGGCTATGCAAAGGCTGGGGAGCCCTTGAGGAAGTTGGGGACCCAGGTTAGGAAGCTCATGGTGCCTGTGCCTGCTGCAGGGAACAGGGTGGACTGTAAAGAAGATACCTGGGTGTGGGACCAACTCCACATCTACTGCCGTGGCCCAGGTGGAGCACAAAGAGGACCTGAAGGCAATGGCAGCAAAAATGGAAAGAAGGTTCACTTACTCAATGGGTAGAATGATCAGGACTTGGTGAATAAGTGGACCTGTGTGCGTGTGGTCAGAGGGTTGGATATTTAACACGCTTTGCATTATAAGCAGCAGAAACTGACTAATGCGAGCAAAATAAGGACTGTGTCTGAGGGACACAGTCAGCACAGCTCACACATATGAAGAGCTGGCATCCCGGCTGCACCAGGGGCAAGGCCCAGAAACCCCAAAGGCCTCCAGGATCAACTTTCTAGTTATGCTAATAGTGGGATTTGGGTGCAAAGTCCCATTTTGTCTTGTCTCTCTTTGACTCTAAATGTGGCCGAACACTTGCAATATCTGCTATTAGAACAGACATATGGCCATATCTACAGGAAGCATTAAGTGGAGGCACGGAGGGACAGACGTTAAATCTATTTCCTGGAGGACTGCATGAAGCAAGGCCAAGGGTCCTCTAAAAATGCAATCTAGCCTTCCACTCTAGAAAAGTTTGAGGTGAGCTTTGTATTTTTAAAGCAAAACAGTATTTTTTCATGGGTGAAAAATATTAAGATTTATAACACATTATCTATGATTGTAAAATACAAACCAATTTTAACTCCCCACTATTTAAAAGGAAGTTCATCCACAGCGGTAGTTCTCCCTGGGCAGAGTGGGGTGGTGTCAGCCCACTGATCGTTCGGTACACAGTAACTGTCAGAGTCTGAGGGTTGAGGCGTGGGAACAGATGGAGTCCAAGCATGTTGGTTGAACGTCTAGTGGAGGAAGCATACGTCTAGGAGGTGACACACCTGGGACTTTAGACTAGACCCTGATGGTTACTAGCTGTGTGCTTTGGGGCAAAATTACTTATCTCTGTGAACTCGATTTCTTCAGAAATTTCAGCAAAATATCAGTTCCAGACTTCACCTCCTTACAGTCTGACTCAGTAAGTCTGAATTTCTTACTAAGTTCCATATTATGAGCAACCACAGTTAAAAACTGATGTACAGGGCTAGGTGCTGTGGCTCACACCTGTAATCCCAGCACTTTGGGAGGCCAAGGCGGGTGGATCACCTGAGGTCAGGAGTTCAAGACCAGCCTGGACAACATGGTGAAACTCTGTCTCTACTAAAAATATAAAAATTAGCTAAGCGTGGTGGCGGGCACCTGTAATAACAGCTACTCGAGAGGCTGAGGCATGAGGATCACCTGAACCTGGGAAGTGGAGGTTGCAGTGAGCCGAGATCATGCCATTGCACTCCATCTGGGAGACAGAGCCAGACTCCATCTCAAAAACAAAAACAAAACAAAACAAAACAAAACAAAACAAAAACTGATGTACAGGAAAACCCTCAAATTTTCCATAGTCATTTATTCATTCACTCATTCATTCAAATCCTGTTTTTCCAGCACTCACAATGTGCCTGGGCCTGTGCCTGGCACTGGGGCCAGAGCAATGGAGATGACACACAGGACTCACTACCTCATGGAACTTATGCTCTTAGATGTAGTTATCAATAAATTAATCTGGTGAGAGAAAAATGTCACATCAGCTGTAGGGATGGCACCTGATTATCACCTGCTGGCAGCTTCCTGAAACTGCCTTAGCTCCTGAATCCTAAAATGCTTTTATTAGCAATTCTAAAGCTAGAGAAAATTTCCATTTACTATACCCAAGGACACTTCAGTTGCAAATAAATATTCAGTAAACTCACTTCACATTTCACTGTGGGACATTTCAGTAAGCACCGTGTGGGGAGAGGGAGGTCAGCATGGGCCATATGTGACGTTCTTTCTCCAGCCCACTGTTTCTTCTGCTGTACCTATTAAATCACAAGACAGCTTTTGCACTACCTCGTGGCATTTTTCTGAGCATAAATGCGAGTCCTTGGTGTTGAGTTGCTGCCATGTGAACGAATGCTTTC
Organism: Homo sapiens; assembly: GCF_000001405.40. Lineage (NCBI taxonomy): Eukaryota > Metazoa > Chordata > Mammalia > Primates > Hominidae > Homo > Homo sapiens. The sequence goes on along the minus strand of NC_000007.14, from coordinate 50,183,258 downwards.
CCCCTATAGGCTCAGCTCCTTCATTCAAGGGGATCACAAGCAGAGCTGAAGTGTGCATCCAAGGTTGTGCCTCCCACCAGCTTGGGGGATGAGAAGCAGTTGTCCTTGCAGATTAGAAACTGCAGACTGCCCTCTCTGAATACTATGCAGACTTAGAACATAGAAATGAGCTTTTTAGACAATTAGGGAACTTGACAGTAGCAGATGAGACTCAGAACTGAATCCAGCAATGAGACGGTTAACATGGATAGCCTGAGTGATACGCATTTCCTTGGGAGCAGAAGTAAGGAGCCCACATGGGAAGAGGCTGGCAGGGTGGAAAGAGGAAGCTGCAGCCTGTGCTTATGTGGTCAGGGTTGGGGAGGCGTGCAGCATGGAGGGCCAGGACAGGAACAACCAGGACTTGTGGGACTTTGCAATGCTGTTGTGTTCACAGTGAAAAATAAAGTGATTTGAGAAGCTGAATGTTTTAATGCAGATTCAAGGGATATATGCATCTCTTGGCGGAAATGAATAAGTGACTATTTTCTTTAACAATGATTTTTTTTTTTTTTGAGACAGAGTCTGGCTCAGTCACCCAGACTGGAGTGCAATGGCGCAATCTCGGCTGACCACAACCTCCACCTCCCAGGTTCAAGTGATTCTCCTGCCTCAGCCTCCCGAGCAGCTGGGATTACAGGCATGCATCACCATGCCCGGATAATTTTTTTTTGTATTTTTAGTAGAGACGGGGTTTCTCCATGTTGGTCAGGCTGGTCTTGAACTCCCGACCTCAGGTGATCCGCCCGCCTCGGCCTCCTAAAGTGCTGGGATTACAGGCGTGAGCCACCGCACCCAGCCCTTGACAATTATTTTTATCTGGCATTCCTAATGGCGCTAGCACCCTCAGTGCCTAGCATAGCCTCTGTAAGTGGCCGGTGGCAGCAAATGTTTGTGAATGAACAACTGGCCTACTGTTGGAATGACTGAATAAATCCTAGAATCGTGATTATAATAGTAACTAAATGAAGCAATACCAATTGCCAACATTGGCTTTGGTACAGTGGAGATGAATTTGGGCCTGGAGGAGGACCTAGCTCTCACTTCAGCATGGACTAGTAAATAAGAACAAGGACGTTGGTATCAACTGTCTTGGGTTCAACTCCCAGCTCAACCACCTGCTAGCTGTGAGACCCTGGACATATTATTCAATCTCTCCATAGTTTGGTTTCTCTAAATTTAAAATGATGTGTAATAGTACTGTGTCTGTGTGTGTGTGTGTGTGTGTGTCAAGTGAGTTATATATGTGAGATGCTTAGAATCATGCCTAGAACACAGCAAGGTCTCTGAAACTATTAGCTATTATTATTAGTTGTAAGAGACAAATAGATAACATCAGTAAACAGCATCTGGCACAAAACCTCTGTTCAATGCTTATCACCTGTTCCAGACACAGGCTACCTGGTTACAATTTTATCCTGTATTTCACTTCCTTTTTTACCCCCTCACCACTTAAAAATAAATACAACTCCAAGTATATTCCCAAAGCAAATTATATTTAAGGTTTCAAATAATTAAGCAGTTACCAGGGAGAGGTGATTGTTCAGTAAGGACAGAATGTGCCATGCCTTAATAATTACAGTTTTAAAAATCCTTGGCATTTGTGTTCCCAGTGTATGGAATGGTCCTCTGACTCAGGCACGTCAATGGTCCTTGATCAAATGTCATAATTTTGCCAGGATCCAATGCATCAGAAACCCAAATGGCCATCCTCACAGACACTCTGAGGGTGAAGCGCAGGAGAGACCCTGCTGCGTGGTATTCCAGGAGCCCCTTCAAACCAGGACCACCGCAGACTCAGCAGCTTCCTCCCTGAGGGGACAGGGGAATTTTAAAGTGGGACCCTTGGGCAATCCCCCGGCTCTTACCCAAACGGTCACAGGGTCTGCAGCGGGTGCAGGACAGTGATGGCTTCTCCTGAGAGGAAATGTGACCAGGGAGAAGTGCTGGATAAAGGGAACTTCTGGGCTGGCTTTGTCCAGAAATTTCCTGTTGAGTGTTTCACTTCACGTTTAGGAAAGGATTGAGGAACTCTTGGGAATCCAGTTAACAAAGGTTTAGAACGCAATGAAAAGAAATTCAACACCCATGTCTGGCTCTCAGGGCCTCCTGGGACATGCTGCTTCATGCTAAGGCCAAGGAGACTTGAGATTTGGCCTTTCTTCTAAGAAATGGAGCCAATTTTACATCCTGTCTTAGTTTCTCAACTTTCTGGTGGTCCTGAGCATGCAATTGGAATGCACTTGGCATTTGTCTTTTTCTCCCCCCTCCAGGTTTAAAAGAAGAAAAAGACAGGAAATACTGGAAGTGGCTTATTTCTTCATGCACACCCATGTCTTTTTGCAAAGTGCAACAGAATGACCACCACCCCTCCACTCCAAAATGCGTTCCTGCTTATTCTAACCCTTTATACCAATAACATTGTCCAAAGCCAGACAAATTGAAATAAAACAAAGCAAAATAAAACAAAAAACAAAACAAAACAAAAACAGGCTGGACCAATGAATGTAATACTTATATTAAAGTATGCATTAGAACATCATGCAGAAAAGAATCTATATCTTTCAAAGAGAGCATTTTCTTAGTACTTCTCCATAGGTTTCAAAGAGCAATTTTTGGAAGACTGGAGAGAAAAAAAAAGAGTGCAGGTTTTCTTTTCATTTCATGGATCCTTAACCCATATTTAATGCAGGCTCTGGATTTTAGACACAGCAAGTGTGCTTGTAATTATTTCAAACAGTTAAAAAAGCTAGTTAATGATGTTCAACATAAGTAATCATGTTAAATAGTAAAATTTAATTTCTTAAAAACTTAAATCCTCATATCTTCTGGAATGCATTGTACTGTAGGATGTCTGAGTAAATTAAATTCTCTCCTGCACACTAAAGCATCAATTTCCTTATGGTAATTATCTGCTAGATTGGATCTGTCAGAGGCAGGGAAGCAAGCCTGACATTATACCCTCTTTACAAAAAATGATTACAAAAAATTAAGACGAATGAGTAAAATTAAGGCTGTGGCTGGTAAGCCTCTATAAAGCTCTCATGGATCACTCTACAGAAGATACCATTGTACTGGGGACTAAGCTTTTAATGACTAGCCGTATAATCAGGTGAAGTCCATTAAAGAAGGGCAGAAGTAACCGATCACAGAGATAACAGTGAGAAATGATTTTCCGCCAAGTAGAAGCAATTTATTAAACACAAAAACGCATTTTTAACGGAAGTGTCTGGATGGATAAGGAACTTGGTAAAGGTGACAGGATTTATTTCCTGGAACGTTTGAAAAAATGGTAATGCACAGGGGTCTATGTGTGCTTTTTCTTTGCCTTTGGGGTCTTGGAGGGTTCCAGGTGGAATTCCCCAGGGTTCTGGCAAAGCCAGTTGCACAGCCAAGTGCCTTTGGGGTCACGCTGCCACCCGCCTCTGAGTTCTCTGGTCTAGATTCCTCAGAAGCTAATTCGACCAGAGATATCTTTCAATTCTGTGCTGGACTCTCACCGACTGCACCATGGATAACCAAACTGTTCATCTGCTGTTGTTAAACCCAGCCGTGTGTGAAAGCACTTAGGGAATATAATTGCATGGCTATCAGGGCCAGCGCATCGGTTTAATTAACTCTAAGGCAAAGAAAAAACAAAACCCCCATGGAATCATGAGGAAAGCTGCCTGAGCTCAGGGCATAAATTAATAAAGAAAAATGCCCGAGTTGGCATTCAAGGCCCAGGAGCAGCTACCATCTGGCCATGTCCCGAGTCCCTTCCCTGCTGTCCCAGAAGTGCTTTCTGCTAGTCCTGGTCATGCCTTTTTTTGGGGGGCTATTCCTTTCCAAGGACTCTCTCCTCCTTGCAAGTGACTGAGATGGCTGGTCAATCCCTGCTCTGCAGTGGTCTTCCCCTCTAGGTCTCAGTTTTCCTGATCTGGAAAATGGGATCGTTAATGACAGCATGACCTGTCAGGTTTACTGGAGCATAAGAGAGCTCCGGGCTTGTTGAGGTGCCGGCACATACATACTAACTGGACTGCAGGATGGCAGCCTTCACCCGGCTTCACCATCAGCTGTGTGTTTCCATCTTGCCCATTCTCTGTGAGCCCTATGAGTGCCAGGAATGTGTTTTGTTTCCCATTGTATTCTCAGCACCCAGTACAAATGCCAGCAGATAGTAGATGCTTTAAAATGATTATTGAATAAAAACTATGAAGGCACAATTGGAATTTTTCTAGTCATGAGTGAAAACTAGGGGCAATGAATTTTTATTTGTAAGCCTTGGTTTACCTCCATTTGAATGCTATAGATAATCTGGTGTATGGCTTTCTTGCATCTCTGGTACTAATGAAAGCAAACTAGCTTTAGGTGAACTGTGCACACTCAGACTACTAGCTTGCTGACATAAAAGCCTTCAGCTTAACTCATGCCTCAGCGTGAAGTATATGTGAGGTAGTTTTCCAATGACAATTTTGCCTTGGGCATGCATGGCATTTCCTAAGGCAATCCCAGGAGCAAAGGCAGGCTTCTTTGGGAGAAGTAGCAGCACCATTGAAAGTAGCAGCACCAGGCAGAGGCCAGCTCAGATGGTTATTAGAGACAACCTATCATCTCAGTCCTCATGATGGTGTTCAGAGCTCTTCATGGGCTTGTCGCAGGTTCAGCATGAGTTCCTTCTCTCCCTGCCTGCTCTCTCAGCAGAGCACCGGGCCCAACTGGGTCTGTGTCATTGCTCACATTGGGCATGTGGTTGGCACGCTTGCTCCCTTTCTTTATCAGAAAGACCCTGAGCATTCTTAACGCAAAGTACTCCGAGATGGCTTTTCTAATGTGCTCGGGGAAAATAAACTGCTTTCATTAAATTTTGTTTATATTTCCATAAAAGCACTGTCAGCTAATTGGATATGTGTTTGTTGCTCCAGGGAGTTAGTTATTTGAAAGCGCAGGACATATTTTTCATTCTCATCAATGGTCTGGAAACCTTTCCTGATATAACTGGTAGCCAATAGAAAATAATCTTACTCCTAAGTGACGATGAATATAAAATGTGTCCAAACGATGGTGCAAATAAGTAATTACCTATTTGATTGAGCAAGCCGCCTTTCCCTCTAAACCCTGGAACTCTGATGGTCTGCTGATTCCTTTCTGGTCTCTTCCCTTATTCCTCCCTGTTGTCAATATTGGTCATTTCTCATAACATAAGTTTTGTTTACAACTATGGTAAAATACTCATGACATAAAATCTATCATCCTAATCACTTTTAAGGGTATATTTAAATAGTGTTAAATACCTGTTGTGCAACCATCACCACCATCCATCCCCAGAACTTTTTCATTCTCCTAAAGTGAAACTCATTAAACACTAATTCCGCATTCCTCTCTCCAACCACCAGCCCTAGGAAACCACCGTTCTTTTTTCTGTCTATGAATATGACTTCTCTAGATACCTCATATAAGGGGAATCATCCTCTATTTGTCCTTTTGTGACTGCCTTATTTCATTTAGCACCATGCCTACAAGTTTCATCCATGTTGTAGCATGTGTCAGAATTTCCTTCATTTTAAGGCTGAATGATATTCCATTGTATGTATAGACCACATGTTGTTCATGCATGCATCCATCCATCCATCTGTCCATCCATCCATCCATTCATCAGTAGACACTTGGCTTGCTTCTGCCTTTTGGCTATTGCGAATAACACTGCTATGAATGTGGGTGTACAAGTATTTCTTTAAGACCCTGCTTTCAATTCTTTTGGATATATACCCAGAAGTGGAATTATTGGATTATATATTTAGTTTTTTGAGGAACCAGCATATTGTTTTCCATAATCACTGAACCATCTTACATTCCCACCATCAGTGCACAAGGGTTCCAGTTTCTCCATATCCTCACCAGTATTTGTTATTTTTATTTATTTTTTGAGACAGTTTCACTCTTGTTGCCCAGGCTGGAGTGCAGTGGCATGATCTTGGCCCACTGCAACCTCTGCTTCCCAGGTTCAAGCGATTCTCCTGCCTCAGTCTCCTGAATAGCTGGGATTGCAGGCACGCACCACCATGCCCAGCTAATTTTTGTATTTTTAGTAAAGATGAGGTTTTGCCATGTTGGCCAGGCTGGTCTCGAACTCCTGACCTCAGGTGATCTGCCCGCCTTGGACTCCCAAAGTGCTGGGATTACAGGCGTGAGCCATGGTGCCTGGCTGTTGTTTTTAATAGTAGCCATCCTAATAGGTGTGTAGTGACATCACATTTTAGTTTTCATTTGTATTTTCCTAATGATTAGTTGATCAGTTTTCATATGCTTGTTGATCATTTGTGTATCTTTTTTAGAAAAATATTTATTCAAGCCCAGTTTTTAATTGAGTTATTTGTTATTGCTGAGTTAAAAGGTAATTTATATATTTTGGATAATAGTCTCTTATCAGATATATAATTTGCAAGTATTTTCTCCATTCTGATAGTTGCCTTTTCACTCTGTTGATAGTATTCCCTGATGCATGGAAGTTTTTAATATTGATGTTATCCAACTTAATTATTTTATTTTTTTACCTATTTTTTGGTGTCATATCCAAGAAGTCATTGAAAAATCCAACATTATGAAGCTTTTCTCCTGTGTTTTCTTGTAAGAGTTTTCTGGGCTGGATGTGGTGGCTCATGCCTGCAATCCCAGCACTTTGGGAGGCCAAGGCGGGCAGATCACTTAAGGTCAGGAGTTCTAGACCAGCCTGGCCAACATGGTGAAATGCCATCTCTACTAAAAACACAAAAATTAGCCAGGTGTGGTGGCGCACGCCTGTAATCCCAGCTACTCAGGAGGCTGAGGCAGGAGAATCATTTGAACCTGGGAGTTGGAGGTTGCAGTGAACCGAGATCGCGCCACTGCACTCCAGACTGAGTGACAGAGTGAGATTCTGTCTCAGACGAAAAAAAAAAAAAGAGTTTTCTGGTTTTAGGTCTTCCATTTAGGTTTTTGATCCATGTTGAAGTAATTTTAGCATATGATAAAAGTTAAAGGCCCTAATACTCTTATATAATAGTACAAGTTTTATGCTAACAAATTTTGGTCTTTTTAAAAAAATTTATGAAACTTACTTTCCCTTGAAAGAGCAAGGAAGAGTAAAGATGACACTATGAGGGACAAAAGAAATCTTATCATACCATATTTGTATCAAATGACACCCAACTCAACAAATATTTGTAAACTTTGAGTACAAATTTCTATAGAAGCGAAGAGAAATGCATGCCTTGGGTTTGCACCAGAGTGTGCTATGCTTGAATGTTTGCATTTAGGGCAGAATCTTACTCCTTAATTGACAGTACTGCAAAGTCAGGAGAGAGGAGCTAGTGACAATGGTGGGAGAAAGCTTTTTGAAACATTGTCGTTGCAATGGGAAATCTGGGGAAACCACTGTTTTTCTGTGTTAAACACTCCCATCACCATTGTGGGATCGGGACATGAGGGAGATACTGTCTCCCAGGAGGTGTGAAATGAGTGACCAGGCCCAATAAATTCACATGAAAGTCTCTGAAACTAAAGAGAATTAATGCAAATGGACAGCCTAAGGTGCAGGAGTGGGACCATAGACAGGAAGAGTGCTGAGAGTCAAGAGCTGGAAAGAAGAAACACATTAGAACAGGTGAAGTGTTTGTTTATTACCTTTAATAAACCCTGTGTTATCTGTGAGCAAGTTTCTAGGAGGCCCATTTGCATGAAAGCCCTGTGTTCCTGAGCAAAATGGTGAAGGAAGCACCAGAGATGAGAGATCTGGTCCCTGCACCATGGGAAGGTAGACCTGGAGTCACTGGGTACAGTGAAATCTACCAGATAAGCAGACTCTGGCTGGACTGCCTTGGCCTCCCTGGCCTCCAGGTCTGGGCCATTGATTCTTGAGAATAACTTGGGTATAGCACAGGCTAAAGCTGGCTGAATGCCCTTGTGTTCTCCAAGCCACCCAAATCCCTAACCTCTCAGTGATGTTATTGGATGGGGCTTAGGCATCTACGATCCTTAAGGTTGTGACCTACATCCTAAGAATGTGTGAATTAAAGTTCAAGGTGAGTGAAACTTCATGGTCCAGCTTTGCACTCAGGGCTTTGCATGTGAGTTCCTCCTCTGTGGCTCTGAAATGAATAACCAGAAAGATGACATATACATCAAAGTCATCATGACATTTATCTATTGCCATAAATTGGAGGCTTATATCCCTCCCAAATTCATATATTGAAATCCTAACACTCAAGGTGAGGACATAAAAAAGAGATGAGGTCTTTGGGAGTGATAAGGTCATGAGGGCCAAGCCCTTGTCAGTGGGATCAGTGCCCTTATAAAACAGACCCCAGAGAGAACTTTCTCACCCCTTCTGCCCTGGGAAGGCAAAACTGGATGGCTAAATCTATGGACACCTTGACATTGGACTTCCCAGCCTCCAGAACTTTGAGAAACAAATTTTTGTGTTTATGAACCACTCAGCTTAAGGTATTTTTGTTGTTCTTTTTTTGTTTGTTTTTGTTTTTGAGACAGGGTCTTGCTCTGTCACCTAGGCTGGAGTACAGTCGTGCGATTATGGCTCACTGCAACCTTGGCCTCCTAGGCTCAAGCGATCCTTCAACCTCAGCCTCCCAAGTAGCTGGAACCACAGGCATGCGCCACCATGTCCAGCTAATTTTTGTTTCGTTTTGTTTGTAGAGATGGGGTTTTGTTATTGTTGCCCAGGCTGGTCTCAAACTCCTGGGCTCAAGCCATCTGCCTGCCTCTGTCTCCCAAAGTGCTGGGATTAAAGGCAAGAGCCACTACACTTGGCCAAGAGAATTTTGTTGTAGCAATCTAAAAAGACCAAGACACCTGTAATTTCAACAAGCACCTGAAGTAATCTACACAATCCTTATAGGTGCTTCAGGGTTGGCAAATTTAGTCAGGGATATTCTTGTTAGTCACAATATCCTAAAGATGGGGATGAAAGATAATTTAGAAAGCGAAAACTTCAATTCACAGAGGGGTCACCTGAGGCCCAGAGATACCATGTGACTTGCTGGAGCTGGCCGAAGGCAGAACTTGCTGTCCTGGGCCATCTTTGCTACATAATTTCTACTCCTGTAATTCCTTACAGGCCAGTTGACAGGATTTAGTGATTTCTCAGACTGTTATAAAATGCATGCTATCATATCAGGTGCTTTTGCCTAAGTAATTACAGACTAAGTTTTAATTATTTAATTGGCTAAACAATGTTTTGACATGGTGGCAGTCCATACAAAGTATTTAATTATTCTATAGGAAAGTTAATAGCAGGAAAGTACAAACTATGCTCCAAAATGAACTCGGGAGCCATCTAGGATGTTAAGAGGAGACCTCACCCTTATTTTATGTAAAATCAAGGGAGTAGGCTTTTAGTTAATAAACAGATGAAAACACTTTTTTTGAATTAAAATAGCGAAAAACCAGCTTCATATTGAAAAAATTTGAGAAGGCTCCACGGTGCATTCTCCTTCCTGAACAAAGACACGGATGCGAGTAAGGGGCCCTCAGTGACAGTGGAAATTCTCGAAGGATAGAGCTGGAATAACATGGGATTTTGCCATCCGTGGACAGCATCAGAGGGCAAAGGCTTTGTATACTGAACAGCTTCCTCCTACCTGGCCAGCTCTGTTAGATTCAGAAAGGAAACTTCCTTTATTTTATTCTCCACTATGCCTCAGCTGCAGCCCACTGCCTGAGGGGTTTCACAACACCCCCACTGTGACTGTCTCCTGGCAAGCATCCCTATCAACACGCAAGCTTCTCCCACAAATCAGCACACAACAGTGCTCATTCCATACAAAATCTTCTCCAGGTGTCTGCACAAGTGACCATCGTGTAGAATTCTTTTTAGCCATGCTGTGTGCCAACGACTCACTTCCATTTGTAGCTAGAATGTAGTGCATGTTTTCCTGAGACATAAGACGCATTTAGTAAATGTTTCCTAAAGTAGTGAAAGATTTAAGTCAGTGAGTTTGGAATTTTTTCAATTCATCCTCAGCATTTTAAGAATCATATGAGACAAGATCGTAGAGGTGTAAATAGATACAACTTTCTTTGTCTCATACATGTGAACTTCAATTTCCTTCTTCCAACTTCAGTTGAGTTTCTGAATATATGCCAGGCATTTTTTCTACCCCTAGAGGACATAGTTTCCAGCTGTTCAGGACCAACAGGTAAAATATGAAAAAAATCCATTAATAGATAGATATGTGCCTAAGGTGCAATGAAAATGATAAGGAAGGAGTCATTAATACCCCCAGTGGGTTAGGAGGACTTCACAAAGCATAGGATATTACCATGGGGTCTTTAAGTTTAGGGTGAGAAAGTTGGTGGGGAAAGGCAGACATTCTAGGCAAAGGCGAGAGAACCTATAAAGAGGTGTGACACAATTCCTGGCAGCTGCCATGGCAGCAAAGGGGTGGGATGGGATGGGATGGTGGCCGGCAGAAGGTAGCCTGGAAAGAGAGGAGATGGGGACCATGTGACCATGTTCTGAGAGACCGCTGTGTCCTGAATGGGCTAGAGATTTGTTGTAAAGGAAATGGGAGCCATTAAAGTATTTTTTTAAGCACAGAATTAAATAAACAAATTCATATTTTAGACCCATTATATACCAATACTGAGGAAGATGGATTTGAATGAGAATCCATGTTCCCCAGAATAAGAGAAAGAGGGAGAAAGGGAGGGGGAGAGAGAGAGAGAGAGAGTGAGAGAGAAAAGAAGAAGAAAAAGAAGAAGAAGAAGAGGAAGAAGGAGGAGGAGGAGGAGAGGAGGAGAAGAGGAGGAGAAAAAGGAGGAGAAGGAGAGAGAGAGAGAGAGAGACCCCACTGAAAGGCTATTACAAAATATCAGGCATAAAACATTGAGGGTCTAAATTAGAGGAAAATGAGAGTTAGGAATGGAGAAAAGAAGATTTAAAAAATTAGTAGACATATTTTTTAATATCTATATGCAGGGTTCCTGACTACAGGTCTGGATCCCTGGTTGGGGTATCAAGATTTATTTGTGGATCACCAGCAGATAGAAGCAACTGAACACACCTTAGTAGGGCAAGTTGCACGTGAATGTTATTTTCCTGTGTTTCGTTTCTCTCCTATTCAAAACTTCCTGTAGTTGATTCAAACTCATCTTAAAACACTCAGAAATCTTTATAAATCTTTACTTGATTGTTATTTACAGGGAAGAGTCCAAAGTTCGCATATTGGCATTCAAGGATCCTTTAAGATCTGGCCCTAGCCTGCCTCCTATTTTCCCTGTACCTGCAGTTCTCAAAGAATTATTTGAGAAAACTTGGGATACCCTGTACCTTTCAGATATCTGTGAGGTCAAATCACAGATAGGAAAAAAGTCCATTGGAAGTGTGTATTTGGTTGAAGTGTTTGACTAGAGAAGCAGAACCAGTAAGGTACCTATGTTATATGTGTATGTGTATGTATGTATATGTGTATACACACACATAGGTAATTTTTAAAATGATCTTAGTACAGAGTGGGCTGGCTAAGCAGCCTATTACCAGGCTGCCCTGATTCTGAGGCTGGAGCCGGAAGCCCACTGGCAGGCTGTCAGGCAGGAAGATCACCAGCAGCCTGGAACCACAGTGCTGAGCTGGACAGACGGAAGCTTGTGTCTGCTCTTGTTGCCACTGATCTTATTGACAAGGGCGTGTGGTGAAAACTGGGGTCCTTCCTCAGGGAGCAACGCACACCTGGCCCAGGAGGCAGAGAAACTGAGGAGACTCCTGAAGGGGGGCCTCTGTTCCCAGCATTTGACAAACAGCTGGGGAAAATGTGTGCAAGATACAAAATGGCCATTGCTTCTCTCCCACCTTCTAACTCCCTTCCTGAGAAAATCTCCCTTATAGCCCACTCTTACCAAAAACATGCTAGAATGGAACTTCTGGGGAATGGAGTTCAACCTGGCCAAGATGGTGCATCACAAAACCACCACAAAGCAATGGGCCAATCAATTTTCAACAGAACACAGTTTCCAATAGCACACGGCAAATAATTTTGCAAAAACTACCTCTTGTCAATTTTTGGTATAGAATCAAGGAATAGTATCTGTAATATCCAAAAAAATATTAAAATACTCCTCTCCTTACTAGTTATCTGTGTGAAGCTTAACTTTCTTCATATTCTTCAACCCAAAACACCTGTTGCCACAGATTTGGAATGCAGAAGCAGGCATGAGAATCTGGCTCTCTTCTGTTAAGTCAGACATTAAAAAGATTTGCAAAAATATGCAATGACACTCTTCTTAATTTTTTTTGTTTTGGGAAATATAGTTATTTTATTTAAAAAGTAATTATTTGTGTTAACATAAAATTATGTTATTATTATTATGGTTTCAAAATGAATTGATCCAGATTCTGAAATTTCTCAATTTTAATTTATAATACAGTAAATATCAATAATGTAACCCATATGATCAAAAGTCCTTGGGAACCTTAATAAGTTTAAAGGGTGTTAAGAATTCCTAAAATCAAAATGTTTGAGATCTTCCCACATGATGGAGGGAGTCATCAGTTCGAGTCTCTCAAGTGGAGCCAGGAATGTTCTCCTTACTCCTCCCCCTCATAGAACTCTTGATATTCTTCAGGGCTTTGCTGAAGTCACTGACCCCAGGAAGTGGCCTGTTCTTCCGTGAAGCAGGAGCCTCCATTCTTCTCTCGGAGTTTCTTAGGTAATACCTTCTTCTCCTTGGACCTTGCCTCGCCTATGGGATTTATCTCTGCAACAAGAAAACATCACATGCCCCTGGGGAAGTAACCTTCCTTCCTCCCTCTTTCCCTCCCTCCCTCCCTCCTTCCATCCCTCCCTTCCTCCTTCCCTCCCTCCTTCTCTCCTTTCCCTTTCTTCCTTCTCTCTTTTTTTTTTTTGTGTGACAGAGTCTTGCTCTGGCACCCAGGCTGGAGTGCAGTGGTGCGATCTCGGCTCACTGCAACCTCCACCTCCCAGGTTTAAGTGATTCTCCTGCCTCAGCCTCCCAAGTAGCTGGGATTACAGGCATGTGCCACCATGCTTAGCTAATTTTTGTATTTTTAGTAGAGATGGGGTTTCACCATGTTGTCCAAGCTGGCCTGGAACTCCTGACCTCAGGTGATCCACCTGCCTCGGCCTCCCAGTCTTTCTTTTCTTTCTCTGTCTCTCCTCTCTCTCCCTCCCTATTTATTTATTTATTTATTTTTCTTTTTTTAAATCAAGCTCTCCTGTGTGTCTTAGACTTTTGGAGACACATCCTGGGGTTCATATGCCTCGCACTTTAGGAGGCACATCCTGGGGAGTCTGTATGCCTTGGACTTTACAAGACACACATGAGAGCTTGTTTTTGAAAAAAGAAAGAAAGATGGTGGCTCCTTATATTCCAGGTTGATGTATTGAATTTCCAGATAAGCAGCCCCAGAACTGTTCATTTATTCTGAAGGGGAATGTGCACAGAGAATAAGATGTTCTTTTGAAAAACATTTGCACTTCCATCTGACATGGGGCCCAAAAACTGGAATTAGCAGTATTTTCACAGAAATAGTTTCTCTCTTTTAGTAATATTTAGAATGAGCGGTACTTGAGTAAATATAGTTCATAGTCATTTGCAATCAGAATATCAGTGGTCTGACACTGGTTGGAGGCAGATCTCTGCCAGATGCCTCAACCCACCATGAGCTAGTGTGTAACCTTGGACATGCTGTCTGAATTCTAGTTTCCTCATCTGTAACATGTAAGAAATAATACCTACCTTGTAGTGTAGTTGGAATAACTAGATGAAATATTACCAGCAGACCCACATTGTAAGCAATGAGGTTGGGGAGCAGAGGGAAGCAGCAGACAAGAGGAGGGATACTGACCAGAGCAATAGGTGAAAGAAAATGATCTGAAGGAGAAAACACAGGGAACAAAAAGGTAGTAATTGGGAGTACAAACACAGAAGAAAAAGTATTGGAAATTTCTGACTTTCCACCTTGTGAATTTTAGGTTTAAATATCTTCTGCTAAGGGGACTGCTTGGAGTTCTAGGTGACTAACCATCCATCCATCCATCGATCTATCCATCCATCCTTGTTGCAGATATTTGCAAATACCTAATAGTACCTGGCTACATACATTACCCTCATTCACACCAAGAGGAATAAAACATGACTTTCAACAAGAGGAGTAAAACCAGACTTGAAGGAACAGGGAAAATAATACATAAAAGGGTCCTTTCATGACAATGAGATCACTGCTATAACATATTACAGACAAAACCTAAGTAAGGCAATATCGGAAGTACCATAAATGTGGGGGTTTATCTGAGAGCTCTGGATTCTAGGCTGGCTCTCAGCCTCCAGTGCTGGTGCCCATGTGAGTCCCAGTATCCCTGGCTCCTCAGCATTGCCAGAGGCCCAGGCTGGCTGGAGTAAGAGGACATGGTTAGCTGGGCACAGTGGCTCATGTCCATTATCCCAGCATTTTGGGAGGCTGAGGAGGGGGGATCATGAGGTCAGGAGTTCGAGACCAGCCTGACCAACATGGTGAAACCCCATCTCTACTAAAAATACAAAACTTAGCCGGGCGTGGTGGTGTGTGCCTGTAATCCCAGCTACTCAGGAGGCTGAGGCAGGAGAATCACTTGAACCAGGGAGGCAGACATTGCAGTGAACTGAGATCGCGCCATTGCACTCCAGCCTGGGTGACAGAGAGAGACTCCGTCTCAAAAAATAATAATAAAAAAAAGAGGACATGGTACATCGTGATGGCTCCTGGGGCTAGGCAGGGTGGGGAAGGGCTACTTGTTTCATGGACTGTACCTGCAGGCCAAGAAGTGGTGCCAAGGCGTGTTTCAGAGGATAATGATTTTTAATATTCACGATTGGTAATATGTATTGATTGCGTCTAACGTGCCAGGTACTTCTGCATATTCTCTTCTTCAACATCCACAACAACCTACATCTTCCCAGTGAGAAATGGGAGGCTTTGAGGACATAAATTCCATGCCACAAATCAGTGTGAGTGCTGGATCCTGTGTCCTAACCTCTCCCGGAGCAGCAACTCTGACATAGGCCAGGTGCGTGGCTTCCCGGGTAGGGCCTAGTGCAGCACACAGCCACTGTCCAAGGGAATAGGTTATGGCTTTAATGGTATTTCCATGTGAACTTTGAAGTTGTAGAAAGTTAGAAACTTAGGGAAATAAAAACTAAGTATTAGGGAAAATTTCTACCAAGAAGGCAAATACTCTTGTCCCACAGCCAGAGGCGGGGGTACGTGAGCGTCAGTCTCAGCACAGTTGGAATTTCCGCGTGCCCAGAACGGCTGCTCCTCTCCTCACCCCTGCTAAACATCCCTCCCCCTGCCTCTCCCTGCCCCCTTCAATGCTGCCCCTCAGGCAGGAAGTGAACAGGAGCAATTCACTCACAAGGGGTGCCTCTGGGGAAAAGGGTGGCCTCTCTGCAGGGTGTGCCAGAAAGGAAGGGGTGTTGTCACTGTGAAGAGGGCTGGGGCTTGCTCTCAGGAGCCCCAGACTCCAGGAACCTTGAAGGACAAACGATGAAGAATTGAAAGGAACTAGAATCAAACCACAACCAAAACAACGTCACTGCCCTGCCTTAGCTAAGCTAACCTTTTAAGCAGAAGAGGGTAAAGGTTTTGTAAAGGTCCCAGTGGTTTGGAGAAATATCCCATGCTCTCACCTCTGCAGCACCATGGAGTTCACGCCTGAGCTCCAGGAGCCCTCCCCAGGCATAGCCTGGCATCCAGCATGAGGATCTGGCTGTCAAGCTGAGTGAAAGGCTGGGCCATGCACCCACGGGCAGCCCATGAGCCTTCACAGAGCCTGTACTCCATCTGGGGAGAATCTTTGCTTGGTTCCACTGGTTTTCAGAGCCAAGAACTGACTTCACTGCACAAATGCTCACAGTAGCCCCAAAAGAGCAGCGACCACTCATCCTTGGGAGGTTGTGAAGTCCCCCGTGTGTAGATCAAAGGAATCCACGTGTGCTCCTGTGGGGCATTTACTCAAGACAGCTCCTCGCGAACATGAGAGGAAGGTGCTGGCCTGCTGGGCCTGGTAGCTGCTGTAAGGGGAGCATGCCTTGGCCCAGTCTCTGCTGTGCATCCCCTTTTCTGGCTCTCCCTCCTTCCCTACCTGCTTCCTCAGCTCCTTGGCTGAGGTTCCTGTCATTTCAGGGCCCTGCCTGGCCCTCCCAGGTGTCTGAACACCACATGGCCTTTCCCTTGTCATCCTCGGAGTCGCAGAAAGCCCAGTGGCTCTTCCTCCCCTGTGTGTATTTCAGTTGTGTTTAAAGCTTACTCAGGAGAGGTCCTTTTATTTTGCTACTGGTAAATTCATTATTAAATAATTCTTGAAGAGATACAGGCCACTGATTTTCTGCAATTTGCATCACCACACTTTAACTTATATTGAAAGCTGAGGCTTTTGGTCTTCTAGTTTTAGAAGTATATTAATATTTCTGTGACCTTTTCCAGATGGCAGTTGAGAAATACTCTTTTAAATAGCAAGACCGAGAAAACCAATAACCTAAAATGAATATTTCTGACCCGAGTTTAATGAGCAAATTAGGAAAGATAAGTTTTTTCCCAAAGAAAAAATGAAGTCAAGGGGACTTCTAAGTTCAGATAAAATGATATGTCTATATCTATCCATATTCCAAGATATTCAAAGACGGATAGATATACAAAATATTGGAATATGAATATATTGATATATAACGTGAATATATGAATATATCCATATTCCAATTTTTGTAGACGTGGATTCAGATACATCTTTTGATATGCTGTAGCACTTTACACCCCTTTAAATTCCATATTATATCTTACATAATCTGCTTGCATATTAAAAGGATTACACATTTAGTATCCGGATGACAAAATGAAAGATAAGAGAAGCTGTCTGCTCAGCATGGAGGGTGGCTGCCTCAACATAGATCAGCAGCGAGCACACAGCATCTTCTGGTTTCCTGCTGAATGCTCCTCTGTTTCCATAAACGTTGGCCCAAGTGTGGCAGGGCCAAACTTGCCAATAAAACCTGGATTTAGGCTGGGCACGGTGGCTCACACCTGTAATCCCAGCACTTTGGGAGGCCGAGGCAGGCAGATCACGAGGTCAGGAGTTCGAGGCCAGCCTGTCCAATAAGGTGAAACCCCGTCTTTACTAAAAATACAAAAAAAATTAGCCTGGTATGGTGGTACGCGCCTGTAATTCCAACTACTCAGGAGGCTGAGGCAGAATTGCTTGAACCCAGGAGGCGGAGGTTGCAGTAACCTGAGGTCATGCCACTGCACTCCAGCCTGGGCGACAGAGTGAGACTCTGTCTCAAAAACAACAACAACAACAACAACAAACCTGGATTTGATTTTGCAGCCATGAGGCTGCTTCCTGGGAGGGGTCCCAATGGCTGAGGAAGGTAGAGTTGCAGTGGTTTCTCCCACCGCTATCCACATTGTTGAGCTCGGTTCAGCATAAGCTGGACCTCACACTTTGAACACTGAGCTTCTTACCAAGGCCTGTGCCTTAACAGAGGCCACTCCACCATGATGCATGCCAAGGAAGCAACCAGAAGGCCAAGACTTTCCTTAGAAACCAGTCCAGGTGCTCCCAGCAGCATTTGACATGACTGTTATCCTTGTAGTCTATTTAGGCAAGCTTTAGATTATGGACTAGGAGTCTACAATTGCTCACATGATCTTAGAATCATCCCAGGAAAGGACCCATAGGGCATCTACCTTGAAACACTGACTTTTTAGTAAACTTCTCAGGGAAGACTTTGGTTGTATGTCTTCTTAGATAACTGAGTATGAAAGCATAGTACTAAGCCGTTAAATGTTGGGGAATATTTACTCAATATACTAATTTGTGATTGGAAGTCATTCTTTCCAGCAAGTAGACAACAGTCAGTGTTCTGATACCACCCCCTACCCTCAGCTATCAGACATCAGTTCTCCTTGATTTCTGCTTTGCCCAGCACGGTTCCCACTCAGCCCACAGCCCTGCCCTGAGCTCAGCAATCCTGCATTGGAACTGTGCTTAGCACTGTGGGGTTGCCATCCCAGGGCTGTGTCTGGGCCCTGCCCATGGGTCCCTCCAGAGCAGACAGCCTCAATCCTGTGACACTGGCCTTCCAGTGCAGATACCCCAACCTTCCACAATGTGCACCCTACAACCTCAGGGCACCACACCCTCAGCGCCTCTTCCCCACCCCTCCTCTGCCCAGACACCTCTTCCTGCCTGTCCTCACCGGCCCATTGCTGTCTCACTTTATCTTTTATCTTGTGGCTCTGCCCACGGAAGACACAATAAAAACAATGTACCAGCACTGGAAACGTAGATTAACACTGAACACTTTTTAGGGCTTTATTTCCAAAGTGTGCATGTAAGGAAGTAAATCTGTTTCCATTTACAGTTTACAAACTAGAACCAATGGGATTTGCCCTGGAAACCCAGTCTGGGTAACCAGCCAAGTCTGGGCCGGCACAGAGGAAACCAGCGCTCTTCCTGTGCACCTGTAATTAGCAGGTAAGATGAACAGGGCTGAAACAGCTCTTCAATGTCAATTTCACCACTCCATGAGGAATCTACATTTATAGAGGGTGAAATGGGAATTGCTTTGACAACAGTAATTGTGAGTATTATATTTAAACCAACCATAATGAAAAAAATACAATGGCGTCAAATAAAACCACAGTATTGTTTCTGAATATCATTTGGATAGGATGCATAAGGGTGTATTACAACACAAAGTAAAAGAAACAAAAAACAAAACAAAACAAAACAAAACAAAAAAACACTGAAAACCATGTCACCCAGCCCAGAGTCTGTACTGTGCTAAAGGGAGCAAATAGATTAAATTTGGAATATTTTCACTTATTAGAAAATAATTCTGGGTTGGTAAGTTATTCCTACTATTGGATAATTGCCTTCTCTGACCACAAGGGCAATTTGGACAATTATCAGGACATGGACTAATTTTTTTTTCCTAAAACCAACGCTCCATTTTGTGCATGAAACACTCATGGGAAACAAATTAAACGTGAAGCCACGTAGGTTTTAGATTTTTCTGTGTCCACTTTAAGTCCTTTCAGTATTAGGAGATACCTTAGATCCTTGAGGAAATAGAGAAGATACAAATTTTATTAAAATGTAGCTAATGCAGGAGGAAGCAGGCACACAGCCCTCAGAGTCATCAGTGGTTGTCAAACTTGAACCTGGGTCAGGATGACTCCATTAGTGGCTTATTCAAATGTCAGTTTCAAATGTGGAACCCTGGCTCAAGTGTTTAAGCTATCAGTTAATATGTTTATTCACTTCAGCTTTGAGCTCCCCGGCAGGCAGGGGGAAGTGGAAGCACTTTACCTTATGTAATTTCACTCCTGTATATGTTATAAACCAGCAGATTTTATAAGAGATTGAGGTGGGTGACTTATATGATTCTCATACTCTAAAACCAGGTTTTTTTCAGGAGGGACAATCATTTTTCTGGTTCTAAATTATTAAAAGGAATGTTTTGGATAGTTTCTTATGTAAGGACCTTTGAAGAGAAAGGGCATTGACTTTTTTATAACTTCTTAAGTTTTCCAGTTTTTAAGAACACATGCCTACTGTAGTAACAGTATAAAAGGGTAATCACCTGTAATCTCAGAACTAGTAACTATTTACCTTTTCTCTACAGTCTTCTATGTATACATATATTTAAAATTTAAATAATTAAATACACGCTGTTGTAATACCTGCTTTTGCATTTAACAATATTGCATATATATCTTTTCATGATAATCAATACGAAGCTCTATTATCTTTTTAATGCATATATTTCAGTACATTAATGTACAACAATTTATCACATTTTCTCTCTCTTTTTTTTTTCTTGAAATGGAGTTTCACTCTCGTTGCCCAGGCTGGAGTACAGTGGCCCAATCTTGGCTCACTGCAACCTCCGCCTCCTGGATTCATGTGATTCTCCTGCCTCAGCCTCCTGAGTAGCTGGGATTACAGGTGCCCACCACCATTCCTGGCTAACTTTTGTATTTTTGGCAGAGATGGAGTTTCACCATGTTGGCCAGGCTGGCCTCAAACTCCTGACCTCAGGTGATCTGCCCACCTTGGCCTCCCAAAGTGCTGGGATTACAGGTGTGAGCCACCGCGCCCGGCCTATCACATTTTCTTTCGATGGGCATGTTGTATCGAACTTTGCATCTCAATAGGGAAGACACTAGGTTCAAGAGGCCGAAGAAGAGATCCAGAGACAGCAAATGAAGCATGGGATTTTATTAGGAGCATACTATACAGGGGAGAGAGTCCAATGCAGGCAGGCTGGATAATAGGACTGCCTTAATTACAGAAATGGTGGTGGTAGCCTGGACAACATAACCACATAACCCAGTGGCAGCAGGCTGGCCAGGAAAACTGCAACTGCTTGCAAACAGCATGCAGTTTATATAGCATTTTCACTTAACATCCTCCTCCTAGTGAACTCCACCTTCCAACCTTCATGAACCCAAAACTCAGGGCCTCAATCTCTTGTTCGGCCATGTTCCACAGGATGGGACAGGGGCTCAGATGTTTATCATAGATAAGAAACCAATCTCTGTGTTAGCCACTCCCAGATGCCCTAGCTCAGAACACACATCAGGTGCATCTGCCATAAGGGTCATTCTAAGAGTATGCTTAAGTTATTGCTATCAGTTGTGTTTACCCTACAGGACAGTAAGTTGTTTTCATTTTCTCTCAGTTAAATAAAATGCTGCACCTTTAATTCTTTATGCATATATATTTGCTTACTGTGTGATTATTTGCTTTGACAAAATCCTAAAAACGAAATGACCAAGTTGAAATGTAAGCCACTTGCGAAAGCTCTTAAAACATTTTGCCAAATATCCCCTAGGAAGGTATTACCCATGTAAACTACCGGTGGTATACAGACATCTATTTCTGCTCATAAGCACCAGTTTGTGGGTGAAAAGTGAAATACTACTGTCATTTCTCTAATACTACTGAGGTATAAAAATTGTATTGGCCATTCATATTTCTTATTTTTTATTAACATCCTTTGACTTGTTTTTATTAGTATAATCATTTTTAAATCATAGGCTGTTTTTACAATGAGAATATGAATCCTTTGACATATTTTCCTGGCAGTTTTATCTTAAAATTTTGGTTGTATTTTTTATACTGAAAGTAGCTTTTTATCTCCTTCAGTGTCCTTTTCGGAAATTTTTTTCACACCCTCCACCTTATAAACCAATTCTCTTGAATTTCCGAGTAATCTGTAACTTATCTATTTAAGTCTGTATTCCAGGAACAATTCATTTAGTGGATCTACATTTCTTTTTTGTTTCAAATAGTTGTCCCAATACCATCTATTGAAAAAAACCTATCCTGCACTCAGGAGTTCAAAATACTTTCCTCTGTTCAATTCTAGTTTCCATTCTGCTCTGTGTTGAGTGCCATATTTTTTCATAGTATTGTACTTTTGTAATATTTTAATATGCTGCATTCTAACATCCTTATTTGCTAGAATAAGATTATTCACATGGATTTTCTTCTTTCATTTTCTTTCTTTCTTTCTATTTATTTATTTATTTTTTTTTTGAGGCAGGGTCTCACTCTGTCACCCAGGCAAGAGTGCAATGGTGCAATCATGGCTCATTGCAGCCTCAACCTCCAGAGCTCAAGTGATCCTCCTTCATTTTTTGATTTTTTTTTTTTTTGTAGAGAAGAGGTCTCACTGTGTTGCCCAGTCTGATCTTGAACTCTGGGCTGAAGCAATCCTCCCGCTTTGGCCTCCCCAAATGCTGGGATTACAGGTGTGAGGCACTGCCTGGTTTAGCATGTATTTTTTCTCTCAGGTGAACTGTATAATTTATAACATCTTTCACCTAAATGCTATAAAAATGCCACAGTTCTCTGTATTTGTGTCATCTCTGGGGATAAAGAAAAGCTGAGAGGGTGACTTTATAGAGGAGACGGTGCCCGGAGGGTAGGGAGTGAGGGGCAAGTTGTTAGTCCGAGGAAGCACAGCTCTGCTGGCTCCTGGTGAAAGAAATCATGCAAGACCAGAATTCAGAATCTGAAGAGCAGATGTGTATCCCTGAGACTATTTTCCATGGCTTTTGTGACTTTTAGTTGTAATGTTGACCACAGAAGCCCAAATACTACAACTTACACCCACCCCACAGGTCAGGGTCAGGAACACTGGTAATTCTATGTTCTTCCTTGTTGTGACTGACCTTGGGATTCTAGGTCTGTGGTGAACAGGATTTGCATTTTTATCTTCACAAGTGATAAGTCTGAACAAGCAAATGAAGAGTCACCATCTCTCTTTTTCTGAATGAGGCCCAGGGATGCCGCAGACAAAGCCAACATCCTTCTAGAAGCAGCATTGGGGTGTTCAAGTGCTCTTACAGGTGTCTAGGTATCTGCACTGTAGAGAATGGAAAAATTATCTTAGCCTGGAAAATGCTAAGATCCAGTATTACTGAAGCCCTATCCAGGCCCAGAATGATGAAGAGGTGCCTCAGATTTTGAGCACCACCACCCCCTGGCAAAGTGGCCTGCCAGGGATGTTTACTGCAAAATGTAATCTCAGGTACCTACGTTAACCTGCTTCCTGAAGGAGGCTAATACTGCCCCATTTGTGTTTTGCTGAGAACATTCCAGAGTTGAAGATTTTTATTTGGGTCTATTTTTTTTCCAATTTACTCTTTCTAAAAATAATGAAACTACAAGATTGGGTTCAGGGGGAACCATTCCTTTTGCACGCAGGCACGTCCGCCCTCAGGATGGATGGCTGTTGCCCTTCCTCTTTCATCCTGGTAAAACACTCACCATCGAAGCATGTGTTGTTGTCCATTGAGGCAATACATGATTCCATCACAAAGATAGCTGACTTCCCCCTTTCTGTGGGAAAATCAAGAACAAACTACCCCCAAAAGAATTTACACATTTACTTGGAGTTCTGAGGTATAACTATCTTGATCTTAATTTCTTAGAAGTCAGATAAAAACCCTGAGACACTTCAGAAAAGTCTAGAAACACAGGGAGGGTTTTTTTTTTCAGTTTCTATTTGTTTTGTTTTTATAATTCATTGAAGGTTATCCAATTTGCTGAAAAAATGGAAGGGTAGGAGAGGTATAATATCTAAATTTAGAAAACCTGGATTCTAGTTATAACTCTACTAATTATTAGTTGCGTGACCTTAAATACTTCACTTCTCCTGGCCTTAGTCTATTTAATTCATAAATTGCAAGATATTTGTAAAATGCCTGCTATAAGAATTTATTACAAGGTTGCAGGATCAAATGAGCTAAGGTTTACAAAAGCACTTTGTAAACTCCAATAGGCTCTGTGTATGTGTATATGTGCATGCAAATACTATATAAATGTACTTTATGTGTATATTCCGAAGGCCAGAGGGCTCCCCCTCAGCCCACATGCACCCCTGAGAGATTCTGCGAGCTGGTGCTCTCTTTGGTCAAGGCCGGGTCAGGCCACACTCTAACCCAAAGTGGTCCTGACTTAGACTTCAGGACCCTCATGGGGACTGGGGAACACTTCTCTCTGAAGGAAACACTGGAGCAGGCCAAGAGAGGGTAGATGTTGTCCCCTTGTGTGATGTCCCCTGCTAGAAAAGAAGAACGCACTTTCTCAGTAGCTCAGGGTTCCCACTGACAGCATACGGATTTTTGACTAGACTGCCTTTGAGATTCTAAAATCTATGGTCTGCTCTCTGCTCTAGAATCCCTGCACTGAAGTGGTGCCATGTGAAACCTCTAGGTAGACCCAATATTCCAACCCTAAAGAGGAATCTTCTGCAACACAGGCCCTGCTACCCTGCTGCCGGCGGCTTGGGAGTCTGCGCCGCGGCTGGCGGGCGCCCAGTGTCCAGCTGAGCGCCGCCTGCCGGGGGAGAGAGGCGGGCTGGGCAGGGACGCGCAGGCCAGCGGAGAACAGCACCGAACCCACCACACTGCGCAGCGCGGAGAAGCAGCCTTTATTTCCCACCGCCGCACAAGCCTTCCCCAGGCGGAGGCCTGGACAGCCCGCGCAGGGCCGCCTCCTCTAGTAGTCTATGGTTTCTTTGTCCTTCTTGTTGAAAGGGTTGTAGGGTCTCACAGTTGTGACCAGTCGAGACAGGGGAGCCTGGTGACGGAAGAGGTCAACTGCCATTTCTTTCTGGAAGACGCTGGGGCAGGATGGGAAAAAAAGGAGGAAAATGAGACATAAAAGACATGTACAAATACACAACCTCATCCAACTAATGATACCCCTGTGCGGGAAGGGGAGGGGAGCGCGCACTGCAGGCAGGGAGCGAGGATGACTCGTGCTGGGGAGCACTCAGCTGCAGGGATTGCACCTCTGTGCTGCGCAGAGAATTATGGTGGGTGCTAGGGATGGGGGTGATCTGCAGAAAGCCGCCCAAGGAACCCCACCGCACCGTGCCTGGGGAGGGCCCAGGGCACGCTGGGGAGAGCTCTCTGGGTGGGGTGGCCGGGGGAATCAAGAGGAGTCTCCTCCAAGGAGGAGTGAGGGGCGGACAGATAAGGCCCAGGGAAGCCAGGACAAGACATGGGACAGGCAGACCTCACCCAGAGGGTAGTAGAAGACATACCTGGGTCACCCAGAGGCCTGGAGAAGACATGGGTGACATGGATAGGGGGAACCCGGGCCTCACCCAGCGGCCAAGAGGAGACATGGGTGGGGTGGGCCTGGGCCTCACCCAGAGGCCAGCAGAAGACATGGCTGGGTCACTCAGAGGCCAGAAGAAGACATCGGTGGGAGGGGCCCGGGCCTCACCCAGAGGCAAAGAGAAGACATGGGTGGGTCACCCAGAGACCTGGAGAAGACATGGGTTGGGGGACCTGGGCCACATCCAGAGGTTGGGAGAAGACATGGGTGGCAGGGACCCAGGCCTCACCCAGAGGCCAGAAGAAGACATGGCTGGGTCACCCAGAGGCTAGGAAAAGACATGGGGGGTGGGAGGGATCCAGGCTTCACCCAGAGGCTAGGAGAAGACATGGGTGGAAGGGTCCTGGGCCTCACCTAGGGGCTGGGAGAAGACATGGGTGGGGGTCCTGGGCCTCACCCATGGGCCATAGGCCAGAGGCCAGGAAAAGACATGGGCGGGAGGGGCCTGGGCCTACCCCAGAGGCTGCTGGGGGAGGGTGAACAAGGCCGGGTGTACAGGGTTTTACTGGCTCTGCCAGTGTATTTAAGTTGACTGTTCCCACAGGAGGCTCATGACTGGGCTTCATTTTACTTTGCTTGTATACCCAGTAGGAATAAATTTGCCCTATCAAGTTTGGTGTGATAATTAAAATAATTTTTTTTAAAAAAGCTTTGAAAATGTGGAATGCTTTGCAAGTGAAGTTTTATCCCCTTGGGTTACTGGCATTCCCAAACTCCCTATTCTGCCTGGAGATGGCTATCCTAGTGTCACAGGAGTTGGGCCAGCTATTATGAGCAACCCCACAAGCCCGTGGCCTGAAATAATTTTGCTGTGAATTTGTTGCTATCTGAATTACACACACAATGCAGTGCTTGTATTAGCAGCGAGTTACAATGCTGGTATGGGAAATTAAAAAATTAAAAATAATTAAAATTAACCCTCTATATAGTGACCACATCTAAAATGGCTTTGTTTTATGCTATGATCACCTTGAACTAATATTTTATTTTGCTTTATATAAATACACACAGATACACATATGTATATTATATGTTGTGAGAAATGGCTGCAGAGGTGGGAAGGCAAGTTTCTGTGAAGGTTACATTCTGGTGGGAGGGTGTGGGCAAGAAACACTGGACTGCGGTGGAAATGGGAGCTAGAAAAACACTTGCGCCTGTATTCCCCTTGCTCACGACTTTGGAGACAGGTCACATCCCTTCTTCTCCACCTCTAACACATCCCATCTACTCACTTCAAATCTCTTTGAACTGTCCCTTCCTCTCAGTTTGCATTCCATCCCAATGTTCATCCTGAGGCACTGTGGGGTCCCTGTGCACTTTGCTCCAAATATGGTGTGGGAGTATATGGCCATGGACCCCTTGGCATCAACATTTGAGGCTCAAACAACTTAAAACCTCCAAACCACCAGTGCAGTTTTCTCGATTACAGAGATCCAGCCAAATGCACTGTTCCTTGCCTCTGCATCAAGCGGATCCAATGGCCTCTCTCTTGTCCCCCTTCCAGTGTACAGCCTGGCAGGCAGGAGCATGTCACTTGACTGCTGGTGTCAGAATCCAGAGCCAGGAGGTTCAGGTTCAGGAGAGAGTGGGCAGGAAGGAAGTGAAGGCAGGAGGCACGGGAGATTAGCTGTTTGCTTTTTCAAGAAGTTTAGAAGTGAAAGGAACGAGAGGGGAGAACAGGGTGGCAGCTCACAGGGAAGCCACAGGGAGACTCCGCTGGGGTTCTTCATAAACAACTGGCCAGCTGGGAGAGGCCAGCACTGCGGGGCAGAAGGGAGGAAGCAGGACTGATGGGACCACAGGACTCAGAGCTCAGAAATAATGATCAATATTTTAGAAAAGTAAGAGTGTGTCTTCCTGGGGGAAAAGGGAGACAGCAGTGATGGAAATAGAGCCTGGGATATGGAGAGGAGGAGGGGACACTAGCAGGGAAAATGAAGGGGTCACCTTGGGTGCCCCAGCAAGCAGGAGGCAAGACCAGCTG
Source organism: Homo sapiens (assembly GCF_000001405.40). Classification (NCBI taxonomy): domain Eukaryota; kingdom Metazoa; phylum Chordata; class Mammalia; order Primates; family Hominidae; genus Homo; species Homo sapiens. The sequence goes on along the minus strand of NC_000007.14, from coordinate 50,156,558 downwards.
AGAGGGGCGTGGGGAAGTGACTGGAAGCTCGTGTGGCACAGGGAGGTTTGAAGACAGCCACCACAGGAATGGCATTAGCTCTTAATAAGTGAGGAACCTATTGCAGAGAAGCAGTGAGAGTACAGTAGCGGCTAATATTCAGGAGTTCCCAGGGGATGCCCGTGTGAAGATGACTTCTTAGAAATAACAGGAAAAAATGCATCAGATCAAGCAGAAACAGTCAGGAGGAAGTTAGCTCACTATGTTCTCATGACACTCATCAGAGAGAGATCAAGGCTCATACTTTCACTGGAAAATTTTAGAAAAATAAATTATAGTGCTAGATACAATCAGAGTGATACTTTTTGATGTGAAGAGCCTGGAAGGCCCAATTTTCTGATCATAAGGGCCAGGCCTTCCTGCTAGAGGGCACAGTCCTTATGAAAGCACAGTGAGTTTTTACACGTTTAAATTCCCTCCTGCCCCTCCGCACCATGCTTTTTCATGCCAGAACACCACCGCTTGCCAGGAGCTGCTGTTAGGGGAGAAGGCAGAGGTGCAGGCCTTGACATCTGGGCCCAGCACGAGCCATCACTTAGTTGTGGGTGACACTTTGGTTAGTGTCACTTTTTCTAGAGAGTTATCTGCACCCTGAGAATAAGAATCCCAGAGAAGCTACCTCAGAGGGCGATGGGTCCCACTCAGGCCATGGATGAGAGCTGTATGTGCAGTATGTGTGTATAGTGAGGGCCATGGATGACAGCCATGTGTGTAGTATGTGTGTATTGAGAGGGATTGCGAGGACCCCCAAGAGTCAGCTATGGGCCTGAATCTGGATGTGAAAGTCTGGCTGAAAGATACAAGTTATATTCTCTGGGAGTAACAGTAGGGGACAGTTTTTCATTTAGAAATAGGATTTATCTGAAAGATAATAGGAACGTTTTATCACACATTGGATGGCTTGATTATGTGTTGTGTAGATATGTTAGAGCAATCAGAAATCAGGGTGGGGTCTGAGATTTGGGGGTGAGAAGATGGATTGTGCACAAAAAAGAAAAGGGATTAGCATTGTTTATAGCTGCACTGACAAAGAATCTCTGCATCGGATCCCTCCTAAATCATGAACCAGCCACAAGGTTTCATCCCACTCTCTTTGGACAGTGAGTCTAAATGATCAGTACAAGGATGTATTTAATTTTGACATTGTTTTATGTCCCTCACATGAAGTAAATATATATTACTTGTCTAAATGTCTACCAGCTTTGCCTTTGGAAATGGATTTATAACATTTCAAAATGTGTCTTGACATTGGCCTTGGCAATGGTTTCTTGTGTATCACACCCAAAACTTAGGTTACAAAAACAAAAATAAGTAAATATGACTATGTCAAACTAAAATACTTCTGTGCAGCGAGGGAAACAATCAGCAAGATGAAAAGGCAGCCTACAGACTGGGGGAAAATATTTGGGAACCATATATTTGATAAGGGGTTAATATCCAAAATTTATAAAGAACTCATACAACTCAATAGCAAGAAAACATATAACCCAATTTAAAAAATGGGCAAAGGACCTGAACAGGCATGTCCCCAAAGACAACAAAAATGGTGATCTGGTGTATGAAAGAATGCTTAACATTGCTCATCGGGGAAATACAAACCACAGTGAGATATCACCTCACACCAATTAGAATGGCTGCCATTAAAAAGACAAGAGATAATAAGTGTTGATGAGCATGTAGAGAAATGATAGACTGTTGATGGGAATGTAGGTTGGTGAAGCCATTATGGAAAACAGTATGGAGTTTCCTAAAGAAATTAAACATAAAAATAACGTATTCCTTCTCTGGAGATACACTCAAAGGAAATGAAATTACCACCTCATAAAGATATCTGCATTCCTGTGTTCATTGCATCATATTCACAATAGCCAAGATATGGACACAACCTCGATGTCTGTTGATAGATGAATGGATAAAGAAAATGGAATATTATTCAGCCTTAAAAAGTAGGAGATCCTGCCATTTGCACAACACAGATGGACCTGGAAGTCATTTTGCTAATAGACACAGAAAGAAACATGTTGCACTATCTCACTTACATGTGGAATCTAACAAAGAAATAAAAGGTGAAATACACAGAGATAGTGAATAGAACAGTGGTTATGAGGGATTCGGTGGGGGGTGAGGCAACGGGAGATGTAGGTCAAAGGATGCTAAGTAGCAGACACGCAGGAGAAACAAGCCTGAGACATAAGATCCATCATGAGGACTACAGGGCGTCATAGTGCATCGTATTCAGGATTTTTGCTAACTGAGTAGATTATAGCTGCTCTGACCACAGGGGGAAGGGGAAAATGGGTAACTATGGCGATGACGGATATTAATGTGTTCACTATAGTAACCATTTTACTATATACCCATATGTCATCATAATATCATGTTGTTAGGATGATATACACAACAGAATTTATTTTTTAAATACATGCAAATATTGAGACTGGGAAAAAAATGTGTCTTGAGAAAAAAACAAATGCAAGTTATCAGCCTAGAAAGCCATTGACCTCCTTTTAAAATGTTTCTCATCAAATGGCCTGGAGAGATGCTAGAAAATTACCAATCCAGAAAGTGAGACGTGTTGATAAAGCCTCCTATTGGCAGGCACCTTAGAAAAGGCCAGGCACACAGGGCTTGTGGGATGCTTAGAATTGTCTGTATGCAGTGGCCTACAACAGGCTAGTCGGGGCCTGAGAGCCACCCCCTAGGGTGCCTTTACTGTGCCATGAGGAATGCTTGCTGCCCTCAATTACGTGGGACCAAGCCCCACTCCTTCAAGTCACTGCCTGAGCCACTCCTCTGTGAAGTCTTCTCTAGTGCCCCCTCCCAGAGCCCCAGGCAGCTTGTGTGTGCCTCAGTTTCCTTATCTGTAAAATGGTGATAGTAACATTCCCTTCCTCACAGGGTTCCTGGGACCGTGACATGAGTTAGTACCCACAAAGCACTCAGCCAACAGAAGTGATTATTAGTGTTAAGACATTTTTTGTCATCCTCTGCTGCAATTGTTTATTTCTCATTGAGAGATGGTGAGCTCCTTGCAAGCAGTTCTTGTGATTTATTGGAGCACAGTAAACATGCATTGACTTAGTAAAAGATCATGTGAATCCACCAGCAAATGGGTGAGTGAATAAAAGGATTAGCAGCTGGGTGGACCAGAAACCACAGCCCAAGAGGCCCATGCATGGCAGCTGTTCCCATTTATAGCCATTGCCTTTCTGAAAGTTTTAAGAAGCTGATCAGAGCAGGAGCTCTGGCTTGGTACCCATGGCCTGACAGTCACCTTTTCAGAAAGCTCTCCCTGACCACAAAGCTCAATAAGCCCCTTCTGAGGAACTCTCTCCTACATCAGTCTTTCTTTTTCATTTCACTAGCTAAGATTATTATTTCATTTCTTCAGTTACTTGTGTGCTTCTTTACTGTCTATCTTTCGTACCAGAAAATAAGCTCCTAAAAGCTGGGACCTTGTCTGTTCATCCCTGTATCTTCAGTGTCTTGAACAGTGCCTGGCCCAGAATTGATGCTCAATAAATGTTTGATAAGGCCAGGCACGGTGGCTCATGCCTGTAATCCCAGCAGTTTGGGAGGCCAAGGCGGGAGCATCACTTGAGGTCAGGAGTTTGAGACCAGCCTGGCCAACATGGGGAAACCCTGTCTCTACCAAAAATACAAAAATTAGCTGGGCGTGATAGTGCACGGCTGTAATTCCAGCTACTCAGGAGGCTGAGACATGAGAATCTCTTGAACCCAGGAGAAAGAGGTTGCAGTGAGCTGAGATCGCACCACTGCACTCCAGCCTGAGTGACAGAGTACTCTGTCTTAAATAAATAAATAAATAAATAAATAAATAAATAAATAAATAAAATGTGTGATAAACGAATGAATCCTCTACCAAAAGAATGTGATCTAGAACAAGCTCTCCTTTTGGGGGCGAACTGCCGTCCCTCTAGTCTGCCTTCCTACTGTGCTAGCATATTCATCTGCACTGGGCCAACAACTAGACATCGTTCAGACTGTGTTTGCATTTTCAAAACCGTTTGCAATGCCAGGAATTCCATCAGGTGCTTTCAAATTTGAGTTATAATAAATGAGTAACCATGTGCTCCTTCTCACTAGTAGCTTCAAATAAAGGAATCTTCAGTAACCTTGCATCTAACATTTCCTGTTTTCTGGGATTTTTTTTTTAGATGGAGTCTCACTCTGTTGCCCAGTCTGAAGTGCAGTGGCACTCTCATTTCACAGCAACCGCCACCTCCCAGGTTCAAGTGATTCTCCTGCCTCAGCCTCCCAAATAGCTGGGATTACAGGTGCCCACCACCACACTGGCTAATTTTTGTATTTTTAGTAGAGACAAGGTTTCACAATGTTAGTCAGGCTAGTCTCGAACTCCTGACCTCAAGTGATCTGCCCACCTCAGCCTCCCAAAGTGCTGGGATTACAGGCATGAGCCACCATGCCTGGCCACATCTCCTGCTTTCAATTTGCAAAATGTGGGTTTAAAAATATATGTGACTTTCAACAGAATTTTTTCTTTTATAAAAGTAAGGTGGCTGTTCACAAGAAGTAACTATGTATCTGATGTATGTTCCATGTGTCTTCTGATGATCATGCAGAAGGGTGATGTGTGTGCACAGCTGTGAGTCTAAGAAGTAAAGATGCCATTCCTCTAATGCGCCTGAAATACCTTCATATGCCCCTTTTGGCCACATTCGTAATAACATTAATCTAAACCTGGTTTTCAGTGTAATTTTGGGTAAGATTCAAAAAGGAAACACATACAAGGCTTAATAAAGTTCCCCTCAGTAGGAAAATGGAAAATTATCTTTTTTTCTGTTTCGGACTTGATGCCACATTTTTAAAAACAATGTAAATTTGCTTTTACTATTTAATTGTTCTTTAATGGAATAACCACAATTAGGATTTCCCCTCCTAATGTATCTGAGCAAATTGAGTAATAGGATTCATACTTACCGGTGCAGTTCTGAATCTGGTGATGGGGTTGTTGATGGAATATTAGAATTTGCTGGGTGGGTGGCTGTGAAATGAACCTTGCCGGTATATCCTGGAATATTTGCAGCACTAAAGTGAAGAGTTAAGAGAGGAGGAAAAGAGGAAATTAAAATGATGATTTGTGAAATTGTCATGGTAACTAGCACCCAAATATGAAAAATATAAAGAAATATGCAGTCTAATTTTTTTTTTCCTGTATGAGGTGTGGAACTTGGGCTGTCCAAAAAGGAAACAGTGCAGGCCTGGGGCGTGCTGATGCACAGGTACTTAGATAACAGCCCTATGCTGGGGTCGATAAAATTTATTTCAAGTTCATGTTTTTCTGCTATTTTAAATTTCCATGTCTTTTACAAACATGACTCACTGCTGAGCTCTGTTTCATAATGAAGGAAGATACCAGGTCTTGACAGAGTGGCAGACCTGTATCCCACACATATTTCTGTAATGCAGACTCTAATATTAATGAATATACACTCTTACATTTATAGCATTGTTACTTTTATCAGATATCTTTCTTATCACCATTAATGTACTGCATTGTAAATTTCAGATGATTTCCTAAAATTGCCCATTGGAAACAAACGTACACCAGCATTAATTCTACAACAGTCTGTTTAGAATTTGAATTTAAACAGTTTAGTTTGAATTCCACTGACTCTTCTGCTTCCCTGTTCTTTTCTCCACCAGGGACAGTGGGAGATAAAAGGAAAACACAAGAGTGAAGAAGCCGTTCTTCAGTGTGTATAAAAGCTCTCTCTCTCCAGAAAAGGCAAACGAGCATTCAAGAGAAAGGCTTAAGTAGGTAGTTCAGAGGAAGGAATGTGAAGAATAATGAATATTCTTGCCATGATAGCACACAAGTTGGTTTACACAGATTATTTCCTAGGAGGTGGGTAAGGCTTATGGGACAGGCCCAGCATGAAGCTCCATCCTGTGTGCTGCAAGGAGTTGAGGAAAATAAGATTTAAATTGTATTTCAAAGTCCAAGAACACAACATTTACAGATCATGAGGCTCTGTGTAATAGCCTACCATCTTTGCAGAGTCGTATCAACGCCATGGCCTCAGCTTACTGTGCTGGCCTCAGGGAGGAATAAGAAAGGCCACCATCATGAACTTGCCCCCAGGGAGGAAAGGGCCAGTGGGCAGATTGCAAATTTCATTCATCTCAGTGGCTTTCACTTGCCATCCTTGGACCTTTCTCTGAGAGCAGGACATCCTTGTGGCATGGTTCCCTATTCAAAATTGGTGCCCAGACAAAATGCAACACAGTAGCAACAAGCAAACCTCTGTGGGTGGTGGAGGAATGGTTCTTCAATGGCTGCCTTGGTTATATCCATGACCTTCCCACACGACCAGTAAGCCACACAAAGCCTTCTCCAGGAACCACTTATCTTAGGAGTAATTTTCAAAATTTGGAGCTTATAGGAGTTGCTCCTGAAAGTATCAGGTGACAAGGCAGGCAGAAGAGAGGTTAGTGAAAGGGGTGTGTGCTTAAGGGTTGGGAGGAAGATTCAGTCCCCGGTTCCCCATGTCATCTCTGGGATCTGGACTGGACATAGTCTTTTGGAGCCTTCTAGCCTCAGCCTGACCCCGGGTAGTGATACCAACCGGAAGGACTTGGGTGAGGGAGAAGTGGAAACGAGAAGGATTCACACTGCAATTTCTTGGTGTCCTTCCCACATTGATTATGTGCAAGTATCAGAATGTTAGGGGGAAAATACATATCAGGCAGGGAATTGCACTAATAAATCTCCTAATTCTCTTCCAGCTGTGTAATTTATGACTCTGTTGGTGATGACTTATTGGCTTGCAGGTGATATAATCAAGGACACCCAGAGACTAACAAAGTGAAGGGAAATTACATCTATGGCAACAGCAGAATAAACAGTACAAAATAACAGATTTTGTGAGACTAGGAAAATAAGGCAGCTAAAGAGTGGGGGCAGCCCACTGCATCGAGAAGCAGGCTTCTGTGGCAAGCCTGACTCTGCCCCTTAACCAACTGTGAGGTTTTACTCCAGTGAAGAAAGCTCTCTGGGCTTCAGCTCGGTCAACTGCAGCATGAAGAGGACAACACTAACCTCTTAGGGGCACTCTGGGGATTAGAGGAGACTTCAATGAATATGAAAACAGCTAGCAAATTGTTAGCACTTAATAGATGCTAAACTAATTTCAGTTGAAATACAGTAATTTAAAGAAATAAAACATTTACAAAATAAGGGCCATGCACATGGGGATTGCAAAGTTTATCCAGTACAGACAGCTGAAAAGATGCTAAGACAGAGGTTCCCAATGGTGCTGCACACTGACATCTCAGAGGCATCTTGAAAGGTACCAATGCCTGGCTCCCACTCCCACATTTTTTTTTTTTTTAGATGGAATCTCGCTGTATTGCCCAGGCTGGAGTACAGTGGCACAATCTCGGCTCACTGCAACTTCCACCTCCTGGGTTCAAGTGGTTCTCCTGCCTCAGCCTCCTGAGTAGCTGCTATTACAGGTGTGCACCACCATGCCCAGCTAACTTTTGTATTTTTAGTAGAGTCGGGGTTTCACCCTGTTGGTCAGGCTGGTCTTGAACTCCTGACCTTGTGATCCACCCGCCTCGGCCTCCCAAAGTGCTGGGATTACAGACGTGAGCCACCGTGCCCGGCCCAGCCCCATATTTTAATGTAACTAGTAAGTGGTGTAGCCTGAGCACTGGGACTTTTGACAGCTCTCCAGATGATTCTCCTGTGCTGCTAAGTTCAGGAGCCTCTGTTTTACAGCCACATTGTCAAGCTTGCTGGAGGGACCTAGGTGAGTGAACTGAAGCTGCTGAATTCTAGGCAGTGCCCTGCAGGATTTTTTGGAATTTTGTTGGAAAAGTGCAGCTGTAAGTTAGAGAGGTAACCCAGAATGAGGCAAAGTTATTCATGCGTGTGTCTCTCCCCCAACCATTCATTAAAGCTTCCATGCATGTTACAAAGGAAATCCCCTCCATCTGTGTGAAAGGTTTTTTCCACTGCCTTTGAAAACACCTGCAGAATTAAAATGCCTCTAAAGTCATATCCTGCCATCAGAGCAGTTAAGAAGTCAGAGGGATGGACGCAGGCCATCTGTCAATCACATGAAAGGCTTGATAAAAAACATTGCACAGCCTCTGTGCCTCTGTGGCATGCATGTTATTGATGCTAAATGGTATCATATGTTACATTGTCTTAATGCTATTAGATTACATCATATTTAATAATAACATTTCATGGAAGATTAGACTGATTAGCTGCTCAGTCTTGGGAATGAATTCAGTTGCATAATAAATTGCCAAATATTTGAAAACGAAAGTCCTCACCCACACTGCTTCTAAATCTACTCCATTTAACCCTGGCACATATGGCCATAACAAGGGGAATTTTGCCATCTTAAGTGCAACACAGCGACCTTATATTAAGAGGAGAATACTCTCTGGGGAACACTTTAGACTGCTGCTGATAGGAGATATTATTTTTCAGCTGGAGGGAACAAAGCTATTAAAGATACTGAAACATACAAGCCGGGAAATGGATTTCCAGGTTAGTCGCATGTTCAAAGAATTCCACTCCCCATTTGAGGAAAGTAGAGAGACGCAGAGACCCACTTAAAAATAAGAAGTCTTCATTTTTGCCTTTGCTCCACAGCTTCTAGTCCTTTAAATACCTTATTTTGTACTCCCTAGTTCCAAATAAGCCAGGATTTTGTTCACTAATTGATAAATTTGAATATATTATTGCCCAAGTCTACAATGAATTGGTTCTCAACCAAACATGATAAAATAGAAATTAAGTAATTTAAGAAAATCAAGAAGTTTAGTAACTCAGAAGAAGGGAGCACAGATGGTATATAAGTTAAATATGAGAGGAAAAATGTGGAGAAAACCATGTTATACGTAGAATATATGTATTGTATATGTGCATAAAATTTAGGCATGCATAGAAATTCTCACTCTACACTGTAAACATGACTAATAGTCATTGAGTATGTTCTATATTCCAGGCACCCTTTTAAATGCTTGATGTAAATTGACTGTTTAATTCTCACAACAATCTTGTGTCATAGGTCCTATGATCATGTCCATTTTATAGATGGAGAAACTGACACAGAGAAAGTCTAAGTATCATGGCCAGCACCAACCAAGCTGGCAAGTGGTAGAACTGGACCTCAGTGCAACTGAACTGAATAGGAAGGACCATTGGCATTACTCCCAGCCCAGCCAGGAGAGCCTCATTAGCTCACAGTGGGCTGCAATTATACAGGGTGGGGTGTAAGTGCAGGTTCAAATCAATGTGATAGTCTTTTATTTAGAGCCATTCTATATCAGCTACAGTTCTAGGCAGACATCAAGCTGACTTAGCTCCCAACAGCTTTCACACTAATACTTTTAATTTAAAAAATGCACATTTAAATGTTTAAAGATCCCAAGTGAACAAAGACCATGGATGCGACATAAGGGAGGGGGGTGTGAGACAGACACATTTAATTCCAGGGCTGCCCTGACCAGCTGTGTGAACTTAGACCTCAACTGAAGTTTTCTCAGGCATCCTCACCTATAATTGGCCATCAGTCAGGGTAGCTGCACTCCCTTGGAGGGTGCTGGGGGCGATGTGATGCAAGTAAAGGCCTGGCACAGTGCCCAGCATGCAGCAGGTGCAGACCCATGTGAGAGGAGCAGCAGGTCATGGATGGAAGTTAGGGTGGGCAAGGGGAGCAGAAAGTGGGAGACGGAGGAAGAGTAGTAAATTCCAGGCTTGGACTTTAAGGAGGGTCAGCCCAGAGGGCTGAGAGAAGGGAAGGACTGCAGAGAACTGTGAGGCAGATGTGGCTGGAGGGGAAAAGACAGGAGTCCATTGTGAGTTGGGGTTTGTCTGATTTTATTGTTCAATGACAAATGCAAATAAAACTGGAATCATTTTGCAATGACTTTGATCACTGGATTGCATTTTTCTGAATATCATAAGATGTCGTGGCCACAAGATATTTTTTAGGAATTGCAGGTTTATTGATTATTCTCTTCATCTGGTGGGTATATTCTTTCCTCCTGTGTTCTTGGGATCTTCAATTCTTCCATTTAGGAGGGAATGTAGAAACAGTATAACTCAAAGCTCCAAGAACCCATTATTTGCCAAAGGCAGAAGCCACGTTTAATGTGAGTTAAGGCAAGAGCTTGCCCTGGGGATTAAGAGGCCAGTTCTCTGGACTTTTTACCACTCATGAAATGAGTGATCTTGGCTCTTTATGCCATTTCCTCTGGCCTCAGCCTCCTCATCTGCAAAATGGGGATAGAACTTGCACCTTCATTTCTGGCCTCATCACACTATTTGAAAAACAAATGAGGGAGTGTGTGAAAGTAGTCTGAAAAGGCAGAAGTATTGGGCTGATCTAAGGAACTACTATTCATAGAGTTATTCTTTAACCTGGGTTGTGGTAAAATTTTGTTAAGCTGCAACACAGTCCAGCGACTGACAGGGAAGCCCCCTTTTCCATGGGAGACATGTGCCAGGGGCTGCCTGGGGGTCCATGTTGGACAATTCCTCTTTATTTGCAAATGCTTCCTCAGAGCAATCATTGAGGTCAAAAAGCACAGTAAATATGAAACCTTGTAACGTCCTTAGATAAAAGATTATAACTTAGTGGAGGATGGTACCTCATAGGCAGCTGCCTAGTTTGGAAAAACAAGCAAATGGTGACTGCAAGTGCTGGGTTTGGGTTCAGAAGGCATGGGCTGTGCTGCTCTGTTAGCTGGGCCTGCACCTCACCTTTGCTGAGCCTGTTTATTCTTTGGAAATACAAGTGTGAGATGCATATATGTTAGATCTCAGGGCTCTCTCCCATATATGTAAGATGTATATATATATATATATATATATATATATATATATATATATACACACACATATACACACACACACACACACACGCACATATATATATATACATATATATATATGTATATATAATCTACAATAGAGTCTGTTACAAAAGAAAAAGTACCCCAACACTCTTTCCATATCCTTGGGAAAGGACAGAGATCTGCCATTACAGATGATTCAATTTTTATGTTCCTTGTACTGATGACTCATGACTGCAAAGCACTGAAATTATATGGGACTGTAAAATGGTTACTAAAAGGGACTGAGCTTATCTTCAAACTTGTTCACCGAGCCCTTGCAAAGAATATGGATCTTATACTGAAGAGGATAAAAACAACAGATTTGAAAAACAGGATTCTTTTTTTTTTTCATTTTTGAGACAGGGCCTCTGTCACCCAGGCTGGAGTGCAGTGGCGCGATCTTGGCTCACTGCAACCTTCACCTCCCAGGCTCAAGCGATTCTCCTGCCTCAGCCTCCCTAGTAGCTGGGATTACAGGCGCTCACCACCAAGCCTGGCAAATTTTTGTGTTTTTTAGTAGAGATGGGGTTTCACCATGTTGGCCAGCCTGATCTCCAACTCCTCACCTCAGGTGATCCACCCGCCTCGGCTTCCCAAAGTGCTAGGACTACAGGTGTGAGCCACCGTGCCAGGCCTGAAAAAGCAGGATTCTCATCTCAGTCTTACCTTAACTTTCTGCTTGACACAGATTATAAGTGCGGATGAATTTGCATCATTTTAAAAAAATTCCTGAACACTACCCAGATCCGGTCAACAGTTCATGTTTGTTGAAGAAACAAAGATAATTGTTTAGCTATACTGAGCTTCAATAATTTTTGTTGAACCCAATGACTATTTTGGATTCTTTCTATTTCCTAAACTAGTCTCAAGTTATAATAAGTTAGGAACTGCAGTAGAAACTGCGTTAACATTTTGAGTTCCTGAACTCTAAATGCCATTTAGTAACTGGGCATGCCTACCAAATTCAAAAATAATTTTAATAAGAAAACTCAGGCAACAATTTCATTTTTAGTGATTTGTTCCAAAAGAATGCATGGATAAGTGTACAAACATATATGTAGAGGCTGTTTTTGCTATATTGTTTACAACAAGAAAAGTATTCAGGGCTTGGGCAATATAAACTTGTTATAGATTTGGTGGGATACATCTAGCCATTAAAAAGATTTTAATATGCAAAAATATCTAGTGCATATTTCAATCTTACATACACACATACACTCCACCTATCCATGCACACACAATACACTTGTACATATATGTTGCACACATTCATAAATGCATGAGGGGAAGAGTCTAAAAAGAAATCAAACTTTTAATATTGGGATTGAAAATGAAAGAGATATTTTACTTTCTACACTTCAAAAATATCTGAATTATTTTCATAATGAACACTTTTGGAAAAAAGTTATTTGTGGAGCTTCAATGTTACTATTAAAGGTGAGCATAAATACTGAGCATAACCATTGGCTCACCAAACCTCTGTAAATTCACATAACACTTCAAGAAAATGATAGCCATAAGTTTAAGAACTTTTTAAGAATGTTTACATATTCTGACCCCAGAATCCTTTTGAAGGAATGTCACTTAAGTAAATAATTTCAAATCAAGAAAGAGTCATATAAAGAATATGGAAACAATTTACATATGTAACCTAAGTGAATGAGGCAGTTACAGTACATCTACACAAATAGAAGCTATGATAAGCTCATAAAAACATGTACCCATAATTATGTGGTAATGTTATAGTGGTAAAAATGTTCTGTGTAGTGTGATCATAGCTATGTAAATATACAAAAGCAAGATTAGAAGTGTGTATGACAGATGGAAATATGCCAAAATGTTAATAATGGTTATGAATAAGAGTTTGGTTATATTGTCATTGTTATTAATATTTCTATACTTTTTCTTTAATGATCAGATTCAGTTCTACAATAAAAATAAAAACTACTATTTTTAAGCTATTAGCACAATCACTACCAATATAAAAAACACAGAGCATGTCAGATGACTTAGTAACCATAAAACAAAATCAACTAATGAAGGAAATTTTTAAAACTTTTGCCCTGTAGAAAAATTGGTGATTCCAATGCTGAAGCCACTTGAACTAGAGAGTAAATGGCCTTGACCCTTGCCTGAAATACGGTTTTTGGGCCGGGTGTGGTGGCTGACACCTTAATCCCAGCACTTTGGGAGGCCGAGGCAGGCGGATCACTTGAGGTCAGGAGTTTCAGACCAGCCTGGCCAACATGGCGAAACCCCCATCTCTACTAAAAATACAAAAAATTAGCCAGGCATGGTGGTGTGCACCTGTAATTCCTGCTACTCAGGAGGCTGATGCAGGAGAATCACTTGAACCCGGGAGGCAGAGGTTGCAGTGAGCCGAGATCACGCCACTGCACTTCAGCCTGGGTGACAGAGTGAGACTCTTGTCTCAAAAAAAAAAAAAAAAAAAAAATGGCTTTCACTGAAAAGGCAGGGGTATAGCAGTGTTTCCCAGCCATGATTAAGTGCCACCAATCATTAAAAAGGACCCTAAAGATACTATCATAAAGCCATTTCTCTTCAAGAAACTTTAAGATGAAAAAAATTCAAGAAGAGACATATTTGCTTTCAATAGGATGGCTCTCTGTACCTTACTTGGCACAAAGTAGGCGCATGTGCTCCTATGCAAATGACATCATATTGTTTATATTCTCCTGTACTTTGCTTTGTAGCTCAAGCAGTATTGTGGAAACTACATAATAATTTGTTTAGAGATTCATATGTATGTATCAAAACTAGAAAGAAAAGTAAGCAAAAGAAAGGCATAAAGTCTAATGAGTATAGCTTCTGAGCTGGGGAAGCAGAAGGCATGGGCAATGAGATTGGGGCCACACACATGGCTGAAAAGATTTGAGTAAGATTCTGTATGTTACTAGGTGGGGGATACACAGGAGTTTACTTACGTTATTTGATATGTTATATGTGACACTATATCTTTCTGTGTCTATAAATATTTTATAAATAAAAATGAAAAACATTTCTTTGTGTTAACAGGTTAAGATTCCGTTAAAAATTGAAAGCGAATCAAAAGAAGAAACTTTGCAACCTTGGAGGCCCTCTAGTGCCCAAATCAGGTAAGTACAGTTAATATCTTCAATTCTTTTATATGATTCGCTCAAAATATCATTTGCTTAAAAACAGAAATTAACAGCAAGATGAGGCAGGAATGCTATATGCCCAAATTTATTGAAGTTAAGTGGTTCATTTTTACACCAAATCTTTAAAATGTTGCCATACTGCTCTTCACTCTCTTTGAAGAAATGACCCCAAATAATATGTTTTGATTCTTTAGAAAGAATATTTCATACAACATTTCAAAATTTAGATATACGTATCAAAGAAGAAACAATCCTAAATTGTTGTGCCTGAATATTTTAAATTAGCTTTCTTCCTATATCCTTCCTTTAGATTTTTAGAATTATTATGTGTAGTAGCAATGATTTCCTTGCAGAATGTATGGAAGAATCCAGCCCACTGACTCCTTCCTCAGGACGAAGCACAGCACGACAGCCTTCAAGTTCCTATGTGTAAAAGTGATTCCTCTCGGCTGGGCGCGGTGGTTCACTCCTGTAATCCCAGCACTTTGGGAAGCCGAGGCGGGCGGATCACAGGGTCAGGAGATCGAGACCATCCTGGCTAACACAGTGAAACCCCCTCTCTACTAAAAATAGAAAAAATTAGCAGGGCGTGATGGCAGGCGCCTGTAGTCCCAGCTACTGGGAGGATGAGGCAGGAGAATGGCGTGAATCCAGGAGGCGGTGTCTGCAGTGAGCCGAGATTGCACCACCGCACTCCAGCCTGGGCGACTGAGCGAGACTCCGTCTCAAAAAAAAAAAAAAAAAAAAGTGATTCCTCTCTGTTAGTGATCTGCCGCGTCTCAGATACTTTACAAACATTATTGATCCCCCCACGATCACCTTGCTTGGTGGCATTTTTTTTCTCACAAGTTTCAGATGAAGAAACTGAAGTCACAGAGATAAAGTGACTTGCTCAAGGGCCCCAAGTGAGTCAATCCCCAAAATCTCCTTTGTGACAAACCACATTTCTTTTAGGAAGCAGGTATCTTTCTTCTTCAGCAATGTTCAATAAAAGCCACGTTTAAATTCCTTCATTTATGGTAAAGTCCATCATCATGTTTCATCCTTAGTAATAAAACAAGTGAAATAATCATGAATGGAACTCACCGACTTGTGTTTGTATAAAGAGGCTTAGAGTACCGCTGCTTGGCTAGCGATGCGATGTCTCCCAAGGGGTTGTCAACATCATCAGCATTTGTAGACTGCACATGACCACTGTTAGAATGGAAAGGAAAGAAGGCATATATTTCTGTATAAGAAACATAGAAGAAACCATTGAACAGTATTCTAACTTCCAAAGGAAATTTATTTGCCAAAGTAGATCAAAGGCTCAAAATGCAAAATGTAAAGCATAATGATAGAACAATTTTCCTTAAAAAATATAAAGATAATTTTCTCTTCTTCAGAATGAGCGGTGGCATGCTCCTTGATCTTAAGTTTGAGCCAGAGTGACAGTAAGGGCTGTTTTGTGTTTCTGAACAAAGAAGCGGGCTGTTCCTGCAGCCCCAGCACAACTCCTTTGGAGACCGGCTGGAGGCTGGGCAAGGAAGAGGCTGGTGTGTGCCAGAGATTATAAGGCTCCTGGTGAATGG
The DNA here is from genome assembly GCF_000001405.40 of Homo sapiens. Taxonomy (NCBI): domain Eukaryota; kingdom Metazoa; phylum Chordata; class Mammalia; order Primates; family Hominidae; genus Homo; species Homo sapiens. Next base: position 50,140,903 of record NC_000007.14, on the reverse strand, counting down.
AAACCCTCACAGGTGCAGAGGAGCTTGGGCAACAAGCCACGTGCCCCTGGGCCTGAGAGAAAGTTGAGAGGCTGAGTTAATGCCAATCAGAGAGTTTCAAGGACTTCTGGGGCCACTGGTAGAAACACTAGTCAACTGCAGAACTGAAGAGGCCGAGTAATGAGAGGGGTGGGCCAGGACTAAAGGTCCAGATCCCTCCTCCATATTCTTGGATCTACTTTGTTTTGTTTCAAGGTTCTTCTTCCATCTAAAAACCAGGAGAAGACCCCAACTGGCAGATAATGTACTTTTTTTTGCCATCCATGGAAAGCCGGCATTAAATGTAGAAATTAAGAGGTGATATTTCCATGCTGTTAATGAGCATCTCATCCCTTCTGCAATTATAACAGTTTTTGTGATTCATAACACTCAATAGTGGTAGCATCCAAGGTATTTTATTTCAAAAGGTAATGTATTTGGAAAAACAGAAAAATACCACTCTTTCTCTCTTTCTTTCCTTCCTTCCTTCTTTGTTTCTTTCTTTTCTTTCTTTCTTTCATCAAAATCAAACCTTAGATGGGACTTCTGACATTAAACAGGCACTGTGTGCCACACAAACATTAGAAATGTGTTACAATATATAAGTTGTCTTAAAAAGTGAATACAACATGCGTGAGCTGAAAGCAACTACAACCAAAATATAAATCTAAAATTTTTTTACAAGACTGAGAAACATTACTTACGTATAGAGAGGAATATATTTACTTCTAGAACTTGAACTCACACTTCAAAAAAGAGAAGAGAGGCAACTGGGTTATTTATATTAAGTTAATAAACATCAAATTATTACAGTATTTCTCTAATTAAGACAAAAGCCTTCACAGATATCTCATAGGAATTGTCCTTTAAAGGTTTGTGATTTTAAACAGAGACTATTTAAGGATGTAGTTTGCTTTCTCCAGAATGTCAAATAAATGGAATCATATAATAAATTTTTGGGTCTGGCTGCTTTCAAAATGTATTTCAGATTCATTTATATTGTTGTGTGTTGTGTTTGTTCTTTTTCATTGCTGAGTAGTATTCCATTGTATGGGCATACTCTAGTATCTTTATCTATTTACCTGCTGAAGGGCATCTTGGTTGTTTCTGGGTTTTGGAGATCATGAATAAAGCTGTTATAAACGTTCACATATAGGTCTTTGTGTGAGCTCTTGGAAGGAACATTTACGTACAGGAGGCTTCCACTGTGAATAGTATGCTGAAGAATTCTGAGATGTGGCAGTGCTGACTAACCCACATAGCTTTTCATTTGCCAGCTGACTTATAATCAACAAATTAAGTGGATCTATGTAAACTGGAATAAAAAAATTATCATCTCCCTGAGCTATTTGCCATTTTACCACATGATATGTAAATTAAAAATACCAATATACCAATAAAGTTTTAGAACTAACATTCACATGTTAAGAATTAGTAGAAAAAAATTACATTTTAAAAAATGTATTCAAATGGAATTATCATCAACTTCAGCTTGCTATATGAACAAGAATCTTTTTTTTTCTTTTTTTTTTTTTTGAGATGGTGCCTCGCTCTAGTCACCTAGGCTGGAGTACAGTGGTGCAATCTTGGCTCACTGTAACCTCCGTCTCCCGGGTTCAAGTGATTCTCCTGCCTCAGCCTCTCGAGTAGCAGTGATTACAGGCACGTGCCACCACACCCAGCTAATTTTTGCAGTTTTAGTAGAGACGGGGTTTCACCACGTTGGCCAGGATGGTCTCAATCTCCTGACCTCGTGATCTGCCTGCCTCGGCCTCCCAAAATGCTGGGATTACAGGTGTGAGCCCCCACACCTGGTCAATAATGTTAAATTTTTAAATATTTCAATCTTTTATTTAAACGATTACCATTCAATTTACACGTTGGAGTCTATAGTGGGGTATTTTACACATTTGGCAAAACCATACTTTAAATAAATTTTATCAAAAATCTTGCACATCATTTTTAGATATGGTTCAATAAAATGGTAGTTTTCTGACAAGACTCAATATTCTTCTCCGTACTGTCACTATTTGCATTTCTAGATCCAGTAGTCAGACTTGAGTACAGCGTTGTGTATTTCCATTTCATTCCTTTTTCTACCAATTACCAAAAAAAAAAAAATCCCATTTAAAGGTCACTTTATACTGCTTTTATTGAAGTGGTGCAATTGTTAAAGATTTTAAAAATGGTATCCTTGATATTGATTTTCGATCATTAAAATTTAGCAAAAACTCTCATTAATTTTGCTGTGGACTAATATCTCCTACATTTTGCTTTAAATTTAATTTGGATTAGGTAAATATAAAGTTAAATATATAAGGTTAACCATTCCACTGAGGCGATGATCAAATTGATCTTCTAAAAACCAGAAAATCAGATGAAATTCCAGAGAGCAAAAGATGGAATGAATAATTTTTTCTGGAGTGGCATGTGTTTTTCGTATGTGATGTCTGTCTGTCTCATGCTATTCTTCATAATTGCCCATGGTAGTTATTGAAAAATACATAGTTACATTTTAAAATTCCATGTGATTCACTTTTATATTTCCTATTCAACTTCATTTTTGCAAATGCTCATTGTGACTCAGCACTCACAGGCTTTAGCCAACAGGCCTACAAATCACTCATTAAACTATTTAGTAAGATCCTGTCATTAAACTGAGCTAGCATAATTGCCTATTTATGTTGGGAAAATGGATCCCCAGCTCTTATCATAAGTAATAATCAAATGCTTTAAAAATAATAAATGTGAAAAGCAAAATTTTGAAAATTTTAGAAAAAAGTTATAAAAGGAGGATATCTTTATTATTTCAAGGCAGAGAAACACTCATTAAAATCTTCACAAAAACAACAAAACCTGAAGAAAAATATTGATGAATTTAGTTACAGTAAAATTCAAAACTTCAGATAAGCAAAAATAGAAAAGTCTTAAAATAAAAAAGTCACAGACTAGAAGGGGATACTTTGATTCATATTACCAAGAAAGGATTTTTACCCAGAATATTGAACAGAAAAGTTGTGACAATCAGTAAGTAAAAACCCAACAGCAAAAGGGACAAAATATATAAGCAGGCAAGTTACAGATGTGAAAATTCAAACAGGTCATAAACTTGCAAAAACTGATCGTTAGTAATCAGGTAGATGTAAACTAAAATTATAATGGAGCACAATTTGTTATTGATAAGACTGGATTTTTTTTTATCTGAAAATTCTAAACACTGGCTGTGATGTGCAGTAATGGGAGCCCAAGCACTTATAATGGGAGATTCCATTGTTGAAACTCATTTGGAGAAGAACATAGCAATATTTAAAAAGCAGAGAAGTACACATCACATGACCCAACAATTCTAGACATAAATATGAGTATATAAAACTCAGAAATATTTTTACACTTAGGTATGTGAAGGTATGTGGGCACTGTACCAACTGTAATAAAAATCAGAAAATAATTATGAGAATGGATGAATAATTTTTGGCACATCCATTTAAAGGAAGACTCTACAACAGTGAAAACAAACTCCTAGAAACACAGATGTCAACAGGTATGAATCTTACAAACAGAAATATAAATTTTGTGTAAATTAAATAATGTGAAATTAAATAATGTAAATTATTTTCTATCAATTTTTGTATTATATAGTTACTTTGTGTTCTATTAATGTTAGAAACTATGACTTTATTAGTATTACTTCCTCATATGTAATTTTTCATATGAACAAAAATATAAAGTTGCATAAATATATGTATGATACCACTAATACTGGGTTTATAGACAAAGAACACAATTCCATATATAGGTTAACAATAACACATGTGTTTTAAAAAATTATAAGAATGCATGAAAATGTGAAATGTCAAATCCGGAATACTAGTCATGCTCCACGAGGAAGATAGATATGCTTAGAAAAAAAAATACAGAAATTTTCCATTGTGTAAGTAATATTTTATTTCTAAAGTTGGGGAGCATACACACAGACTATGTCATATTCTTATACATTTTTGTGTACATAAAATATTCAAAAATGAATACAAAATAAAAACAAAGATGATAACCTGTGTTGTGGGTTGTGTTACGAGCAAAAATGAACAGACAATATTGTGATGTTTTCAAAGGCAGAAACACCTAGTTTTTTAGACTAAATGTGAAAATTACATGTGAGGAAGTAGTAGTAATGAAACCATAGTTTCTAACATTAATAGAACACAAAGTAACTATATAATACAAAAATTGATTGAAAATAATGTATAATCTATTTTATATAAAGTCCATGGATTTTAGCAATATTGTAATTGTTTATATCAAACTGTTTATAAAGCCCTCCCTATTTTATATTATTGTATTTATTTATTTGTTTATTTGAGATGAGTCTCGCTCATCACCCAGGCTGGAGTGCAGTGGCGTGATCTCAGCTCACTGCATCTCTGCCTCCTGGATCCAAGCGGTTCTCCTGCCTCAGCCTCCCAAGTAGCTGGGATTACAGGCAGGGTTTCACCATGTTAGGGTTAGGGTAAAGAGAAAGTAAAGGAAGCAGGCACACTGAGCAACTGTCCTGGGATTTCCCAGCCCTAAGGATGTGAGTCAGGGAGTCCCTGGGATGCTCTCCATCAGAGAACATATCCCTCACCCACACCTCTAAGCCAAGGGCTACAGCATCAGCTTCTTAATTACAAAACATGATAGTGAGAAACCTAGTGTGAGAACTTTAGGAGATAAAACTTACAAATTAATTGGTTTGACTGGTGCCAAGAAAGATCTTGTTTGAAATCTGTCCCAGAGCTCACCAACCATCTAAAAATAATCGTCAAAATCAATGACAGTTAATGAGCACGTTATAATTTCTGGTGGATAAACTCCTGTCCCCTTGACAGTCCTTTCTACGTCATAGCTATGCCCCAGGCTCCCTAGGAAACGCACTCTCCAAGCTTTGCTAGCACTTCATGGATTCGGTCTGGAGCCACTCATGGTCTTTGATCTGATCTCAGACTTCCAATTTCCATTTGTTTTCTCATAGCTGGAATCTGTCTCATTATCCACCTGTTTCATACCGAAACCCATGTGGAAAGTCTGATTTTAGTTTTCATCCTTAGCTACTGTTCTGACTTGGATCCACTGTAGTCTACCCTCTGCAAACCCAGGCCAGTTTCCCACTTCCAAACGAGCCTAGATCCTAAGCTTTGAATATCATCTGGCCCAAGAAGGACTTTGGATGCTAGTAGAATTTAACGGCAAGGAATGTGTAATGAAAGGACCAACTTTCACAGGTATAAAAATATTTTAAAGTAGTTTAGAGATCCTTTAAAATTAGCTAGATGAAATCATATATATTTTTATTTTAATTCACTTTTTCTATGTGAAAAATCTCAGGTTTGAGTCTTTATATTAAAGACATGTTTTTCCTCTTTTATTATCATTTTTCTCTGTAAAAGCTGAATAAATTTTACAAGAAAATATAGGCATCTTAACCTACCATCAGGGGACCTCTTGGGATCTATATTAAGAGCTGTATTTCAATATAATTGATTTACTTTTTAATCCTATGGATTTTGTGTACTCAAAAACTTCATTATGGGAAAAGCCCAAGGGCTTAACCAGACTCCTACGCGTGAGAAGTGGCACAAAAAGATAAAGGAATCAATGGAAGTAGAAGGTACTTCGCAAGCACAGAGCTGAGACATCTAATCCAGTGTTGGGAGGTCAAAAGTGAGGGTTACAATAAGACCTGAAGAATTCTTGAGATTCACCTAGCATAAATAGGGAGAGTGATGAAGGCAGTGGAAGACTCTTTGCAAAGCACACAACCTGGAAACGAGCATGGGAGACTTGAGGACTTGAGAGAAGCTCAGCAGAGAAAGGACAGAGTACACTGTGGGGTGATGTTTGGGCAATAAAGAGGAACAGTAAGAAGACGAGAACGGGGCAGGGATGAAGCTAAGGAGGGAACCATGGGCAAATAATGGAGAATTGGGTCTGTGTCACGTCAAGGAGTGTGGATTTTATTTTTAAATAAAAAAGGATGGGTTTAATCAGTGGAGTAATACAAACAGATTCACACATTACGAAAAGTTATCTGGCTATGGCATAGATATGATAATTCCTGTGATAAATTCTTCTTGACACTCGGAAATAAAAAGAATGAGTGTCACTACTGAAAAGTTGGTATGCTTTGTTTTATCACATAATAAGTGACAACATCAGATAGCAATCTATGGATCTTCTCTTTTTGCCATGAAAAGTACAGAGCTAAGATCTAGATCCTGTGTGAAGAACCATCTTCAGCATAGGTTATCTGGTAAAATTATTTCTGTCTTCTTCATTATTTACTCATTCTCTTGCAATTCCAAAAATAAACACAGTCATTGCAAATAACTTTTGAGAAAGAGGTAGTCTTTACATAATCAATAAAAGTTTTGAATATTGAAAACATCAAAGTATTTGCAGTCATCAATAACTTGCACGATTACGGAAATTTCAACTCCATACGTGTGTGTGTGTGTGTGTGTATATATATTTACTTATCTTACATAAATTTACTTCCTTAGGTATTGTTAACAATAAAATAAGTATTATTTTGACTTAAAGTTTTAGAACTCATTTCAATAACAATGAGAAATACATTATTGTTCAGAGAAGTCTGCTGACCTGAGTTATTGCTGGCACCCCTTTATATCTTTTCAGAGTAAAACACTGTGAGATGGGGTCAGCGGTTTTTTCCAATGTTGTTTCTTCTGGAACAAGTTTTGGTGGTAGCATCTTATCCCAAGGAACATCTTCATAAGCTCTATGAAGTTATTAAATAGGAACATCTTATGAAAAGCATATTCAATTGGTAAAGTTTATAACAATATGATACTATGATAAGAGAATCCGAAGATGACCCTGAGGATCCCTGCCCCTTGGTGTGTATACCATATATAATCACCTCCCCTGGACAGTAGGCAGAGCAAGTGATTATGATGAGGTAGTACTCCTGTGTTATGTGATTTTATATGCCCCAAGAGATTGGCACATGTAGTAAAGGTCCCTAATTGGTTGAATTTGAGTTAATCAGAAGGTGGGATTTTCCTGAATAGGCCCAACCTAAGCAAGCAAGCTCTAAAAAAGAGACACAAAACAACAACACATGCTCTTTGTCTGCCCTTGAAGAAACAAATGTCAGTCCTATAGCCACAATAAATGGAATTCTGTCAACAACCTGAATGATCCCGGAAGATGAGAACCAAGTCTCATCTGACACCTTGATTCCAGCTTTAGGGAACCCTAAACAGTAAACCCAGTTGGGACATACCTAGACTTCTGACCTACAGGACTGCTAGATAACAGAAGCTGCTAAATTCCTGCAGTCTGTCACACAGAAGTAGAAAACTTACATACATCTTACAGTTTCCAAAAAAATGCTCATTTGACCTTCAGAGGATACCATTAATTTACAAATCAACTATGGCTTAGAAAACTGATTTCCTTTGCTTAAGGTCAGCTATTGGTCAAAGTCAGGACTCTCCCCTGCAAAAATAATCTGCCTCCTAAGATTCAGCAACAGTCCCACTATTCCACACTAATGCAGCCAAATTGTACAAGTTTTTTGGCATGGTTGAAGGGCTTCAGCCGTCCTATGACATGCAATTATTTTAAACACACACACACACACACACAAACACACACACACAAATATGGGGATCTTTGGAGTTTTGAAAGTTGTTCTTTCACAGGCATATATGACAGACACAGTGAAATCAATTCCAGTTGGATCCTGAGTGAAAACCATACAACCCTCATTCTAAAGACTATATTCTGACAAGATAGATGGATCCCCAGACCTTCTCCTGCCCTATTCACACTTAGTGTGAAACTTGATCTTTCCATTCTATGGACAAGGCATATCTTTCCAAAAAAATCCCACTGTGAGTCAAAGTCATTTTTAAAAGAATTACCAGTGATTCTCACTTCCTCCACATATATTTGTTCAGAGATAACTATATTTCAAGACTTGTGCTAGGTGTTTACGATACAAGAATGAAAAAGGACCATTACAAAAATTATCTCTACCACATAGGAATGCTGTGAAAATTTAAAAACATAATATTGGAAAAGTTAAGTAGATCAGTGATGAGTCCATAGTGTTCTTGTTGTGTGTGAATACATTTAGAACTTACTTATCTTAAAATTAGTGTCATAGAAGCACTAAATATAATAAGATATTTTAAATCATGGCAAAGTCTTAAATGTTTTCTACCATATCTGACTAGTATTGTATGTAAGAAATTAATCTGTGAGTTCAATGAAAGCTTAAAAGATACCTCACTGTTTGAGCCTCTGATAAATTTCATAAATATTTTATGGAATTTTCCATGAAGGTAATAAACTTTTCCCTAAGGATACTTTATATGTTTAAAGAGAAACTACTTAATACTATGATTTGATACTTTGTCATATAATAAAACTTTTCCATTCTGAGTGAAGTATCACAACCTTAATAAAATATTAACTGTTTCTGAGATGATCACTGGAATTTTTAAAATTAAAATCAAGATAAGAATACAATGGGAAATAAACCCAAAAGTCAGAGAGGAATTTATGAGCCATTTGGTTATCATCCTTCATTTTTAAGATGAGAAAATTGAGGTGAAAAAGAATGGAGGATGCCAAGTTCAGCAAGTTCAGCAAGTTCAACAAGGATCCCATGTTCAGCAAGCAGGTATGTTTTAAGCCTTAGAGTTGGATTCTAAGATGGCTGATGAACAAGACTTTTTCCTCATGTTGTTCTAATACTTTGAGATCCAACTTCATATCATGTTTTTAAGTGTTTTCATAACACCCCTGGGATAGTAGGCGTTCATACATGTGTTTCATGACACTATGTTTGGTCATGGGTATACTTTTAATTTGAATGAAAAAAAATGAAGTTGAAATGTGAAGCCTGTCTGAAGTGTTCAAAATATGTGAAGAAAAAAGAGTGGGCAGATATGGAGTGCTTTGAGGTCCACACGTGTTGTCATTTCTTTATTCTCTTTGTTGCCTCTCTTTCCCTCTTCATCCATTTCTCTGTGTCATGCCATGTGTTTTGGCATTCACTCTATCACTCTGCTGAATTCTAAATCCACTAGTCAGCCCCATTATCCATTCTTGGGCCTCATCCCACTTGACCTATTTGCATGATGTGAATAGGCAATCACTACTCTTCCCTGAACACATCCTCAATCTGCCTTCCAGGACCTAGACTCTTCATCTTCCTCCTACCTTACTGGTTGCTCCGTTTCAGTCTCGATTGCTGGCTTCTCCTCTTTTTTTCTCTTTTTTAACGAGATGCCAGGACTCAGTGCCCTTTGCCTGTATGACTATACTTCACCTTTAGTGTTCTCATTCAGTTCCATGGCTTTACATACCTTTCTACAAGCCATGACACCCCGGTTGATTTCTCTGGCCCAGGCCTCTGCCTCAAACTTCAAATCCATATTTCACACTGCCTGCTTGACATATCCACTTGGATGTCTAATGAACATCTTTATATTCAATGTATGTAAAACTGACTTCTCCACTGCCTTCACCTTGTTATGAAATGGCAACCTCAGTACATCCAGCTGCATAGGCCAAAGCCTTAGAATCATTTTTGAGTCGTCTTTTCTCCAGATTCATCACAATCAGAAAATTGTGTTGGCTCTACATTCGACATACATCCAGAACTCAACCGTTGCTTACAAATTTTTCTGCCAGCACTCTCCCCCAAGCTACCATTATCTCTGTCCTAAATGACAACAATAACCTCCTAACTGGTGTTCCATCTTCTCTCCCCTGTAAAAATCTACTTTGATCACAGCAGCCACCATGATTATTACCTTCTTGTATAAGTCTGATCTTTCCACTTCTCTGCTAAAGCCTCATGTCACTCAGAATGACAGTCCTGGTAAAATTACAATTGCTTAAAGTGTCCCACAAGATCTGGTTCCTAGCACTTCTCTGACCTCTCCTTTTGCTACTCCCTCCTCTTACCCTACTGTTACCCTACTCCAGGCACCCTGGCCTTTTGTTCTTCCTTAACATCTTAAGCATACTTCTGACCTGGGCTTTTGCTCTATATTCCCTCTTCAGGGTATAGAGTCACTCCAAATCTCTGCATGGCTGCTCTCTCAACTCCTCCAAATTTCTGCACACCCCTCAGCACCTGGGGAGGCCTCCCCACACCTCCTACTTATTACTGAAGCCTGCTACCCTGTACATGTGGGACTCCTGATCTTGTCCTGTTCTACCTTTTCTTAATAGACTTATCTGTCACTTTTTAAGATATGATCTATTTACTTTCTAAGTGTGTTTGTTTATTATTGTCTGTTTCCCTTTTGATATGGTTTGGCTGTGTCCCCACCCAAATCTGACCTTGAATTGTAATAATCCTTACCTGTGTAGGGTGGGGCCAGGTGGAGATAATTGAATCATGGGGGCAGTTTCCCCCATACCGTTCTCGTGGTAGTGAATAAGTCTCACGAGATCTGATGGTTTTATAAATGGGAGCTGCCCTGCACAGGCTCTCTTGATTGCCACCATATAAGACGTAACTTTGCTCCTCCTTGCCTTCTGCCATGATTGTGAGGCCTCCCCAGCCATGTGGAACTGTGTCAATTAAACCTCTTTCCTTTATAAATTGCCTAGTCTCTGGTATGTCTTTATTAGCAGAGTGAAAAGAGATCAATACACCTTTATAATGAGAGATTTGAGAGCAGAGATCTTTGCCTACTCACTGATGTAGCTCATAGTCTAAAACATAGATTCGTAATAGGTACCCAATATATTTGTTGACTGAGTCAATGAATTCTCCCATTTAAACTTTCTCTGTCTTGGCTTTCTAGGATGCTGTACTCTTATCCCCCCACTCCCTCTTTGACCATTTACTTTCTGTTATGGTTTTATTCTTCCATCAAGCATAGGTGTGCCTTAAGACTCTTCCTTCAATGTTTATTTTAGCAATCAATATCAGTAAATGTCTGCGTTTGATGTCCTCTGTGTCACTCATAAGATCCAGGATATTATAGACATAAAGAGGATGTGTCATAAAGGAAAAAGAAATATATTCCAAAATCAAAATTCCACTGGGAAAACTGCTTACTTTTGTGTAGAGGACTTGTAAAATGAGTCCTTTGCATTACATTTCTTGTTTGTTTGAACAAGTGGTTCACCTTCATCCTAGAAGGCATGAAAAATAAGTTAAAAGAGACCAAATATAAATGGAAATTGTTATTGTTTTCTAGTCATCATGTTTTCTTTTGGATTCCTTTTTCTTCATATTTCTTCTTTCACGCACCTCTTGGATTGACCAGATTTAATGCTTCCCTACTTTTCCTCTCCTGTTTAAGGAATTTGCATTGTTTTATTGTCATAATCATTAAATTCACAAAATGTATATTAAAGTTAATGGAAAGTGAGAACTTAAGAGAAAGCTCTTGAATTGGAAACATCAGCAAATACTTAGTTTTAGCACAATGTAATTAAAAAAATTTTAGAACGTATTGTCTTTTCTTCTAATAACATAAAGAGATTAGTTATGAGATACTTTATCTTCCAGTTATTTTATCAAAATTAATTAACTAATTATTGTTATAATCATTATTATCTTTAATGGTTACTATTTATTTCAATTTTCAATGATATTTTACCAATTTGTTGCCTCCTTTTGCTTTTTTATTGTACTTGTTTTTTCTCCCCTAGGTACTTGGTTCCATTTTCTTTCTGCTGAAGTTCAATTTTTGTTAATTCTTTCACAAATGTAAACTTTTTCTAGTTCTATGTTTTAATTCACCCTCAGTTTTGAAAAGTGTTCTAACTTGGGTTCAGAGTTCTAGTTCAATTCTAGTGATGATTTTTTTAGTAACAAATTTACCTCATTGACTTCGAGGATGTATTGTTGCTTTTAAAATACACTGAGTTTAATTGTTTGCAGGTATTCTGTTTTCCTCCCCTCTGCTTATATTTAGGACATTATCATTGTCTTGAGATTTTTTACAGATTCAATGTAATTTGTTTAGGAGAGGCTATATTTTTGTTTATCTGGCTCAGGACTTGTTATACTTCTTCGATTTAACAATTCATAACTTTCATCAAATAGTTCTCTATCTTTATCTATTTACTGTCCATGAATTATAATTATTCTCTTCTTTTAGAATTACTATCAGACAAATACTGGACTTTTCATTCTGTGGTTCATGTCTCTTAATTTTTGCATTGCTTTATCTCTAACTTCCGCATGTACCTTCTATTCTACCACTATCGGCTTTCATAGTTTTAAAATGTATTTGTATTGATACATAATAGATATACAAATTTTGGGGGTAAATGTGATAATTTGATACATTCATATAATCTGTAAAAATCAAATCAGAGTAATTGGAATATCCATCACCTTAAATATCTATCTTTTCTTTGTGCTAGAAACATATGAATTTTTCTCCTCTATTTATTTTGAAATGTGCAACAGATTATTGTTAACTATAGTCACCCCACTGATATATCAAACATGGTCTTAATTATTGAATCTAACTGTATATTTGTACCCATTAATCAGCCTCTCCTTATCCTCCCTCCACACTCCCTTTCTTGGCCTCTGGTAACCACCAATCTACTCTCTATCTTCATGAGATCCACCATTTTAGCTTTCGTATATCAGTGTGAACAAGCAATATTTGTCTTATGTAGTTGGCTTATTTTATTTAACATAATGACCTCCAGTTCCATCCACGTTGGTACAAATGACAGAATTTTATTCTCTTTTATGGCTTAATAATATTCCATTGTGTATATATACCACATTTTCTCTACCCATTCATCCACTGATGGACACTTATGTTGATTCCACATTTTGCCTAATGCGAATAGGGCTGCAATAAACATGGGAATGCAGATATCTTTTCGATATATTGTTTTCCTTTCTTTTGGATATATACTCAGTAGTGGAATCACTGAATCATATAGTATTTCTAGTTTTAGGTTTTTGAGGAACCTCCATACTGTTTTCCATAGTGACTGTACTAATTTACATTTCTACCAACAGTGAATGAAAGTTTTCCTTCCTCCATATCCTCACCAGCATTTGTTATTCCCTGACTTTTTGATAAAAGACATTTTAACTGGTGTGAGATGATATCTCACTGTGGTTTTGATGTGCATTTCTCTGATTGGTGATATTGAGCATTTTTTCATATACCTGTTGACTATTTTTATGTCTTATTCTGAAAAATGTCTACTCATATCTTTTGCCCATTTTTAATCAGTATATATATATATATATAGAAAAAGATATGAATAGACGTTTTTCAGAATAACACATAAAAATAAGACATACATATATATACATAGCTATAGAGTTGTTTGAGGTCTTTATATACATTCTGGTTATTAATCCTTTGTCAGATGGGTAGTTTGCAAATATTTTCCCCATTCTGTGAGTAGTCTCTTCACTTTTTTTTTCTGTACAGAGCTTTTTAGCTTGATGTAGTCCCATTTTTTCTATTTTTACTTTTGTTGACTGTGCTTTTGAGGTCTTACACAAAATATATTTGACCAGACCAATGTCCTAGATCATTTCCTCATGACTTTTTTCTAATAGTTTCAGAGCTTCAGATCTTAGACTTAAATCTTTAACCCATTTTGACTTGATTTTTGTGTATGGTGAGAGGTAGGGGTCTAGTTTCATTCTTGTGCTGGTGGCTATACAGTTTCCCCAGCACCATTTATGGAAAAGACTGTCCTTTTCCCATTGTGTATTCCTGGAGCCTTTGTTGAAGATGAGTTGGTTGTAATTGTGTGGATTTATATGTGGGCTCCCTAATCTGTTCCATTGGTCTCTGTGTCTGTTTTTATGCTAGTACCATGCTGGTTTGATTACTATAGTTTTGTGGAATATTTTGAAGTCAGGAAGTGTGATGTCTCTAGCTTTCTTGTTTTGCACAGCATTGCTTTGGCTATTCCAGGTCTTTTGCATTTTCATATAAATTTAGTATTTTTTCTATTCCTATGAAGAATTAACTTTTCTGCTTGTGATTTCCTTTTTCACCTTTTTCTACTCTGTGTTCAATATACGTGTTCATTATATATTTTTAAAAATTCTTCAAAGCTATATCTAGCAAAATGATTAATTTTCTCTTTTACTCCATTAGTATGTTAAATTACATTGATTAATTTTAATGGTAAGTGAATATTTGCATTCCTGAGATAAACTTTACTTGATTAGGATATATCTTTTCTATAAATTATTGTTTTTTATTTGCTTTGTAAAGATGTTTGTGTTTGTGTATGTGAGAAATATTAATCTAAGATTTCCTCTATTTTTTGTAAAATCTTTGTCTGATTTTGTTATATGAGGTAAAGTTAGACTCCTAAAATTGTTTGAGAAGTACTCCCTCTTTTATTTCTGAAATAACCTATATAAGATTGGTGGTTGTTTCCTAGAATGTTTGATAACATTTATCAGTAAAACTATCTAGGCCTGAAGTTTTCACTGTGGTAAGTCTTCTGATTAAAAAAAAAACAGATATATATGCATTTATCATATTCTATTTTACTTAGTATTAATTTTGTTAACTTTGATTTTTAAAGATTTTATTCATTTCATCTAAGTGCCAAATTAATTGGCACACAGAAGTTTGTAATATTCCTTTATCTTTTTTTAGGATCTGTAATTTTTTATATTGATGATGTGTATTCTCTTTTTCTCGATCAGTCTAACAATAGGTCTATCACTTTCATTAATTCTTTCAAAGCTAAACCTTTGGGCTTTTAAAAACATTTAATTGAAAAAGAAATGTATATATTCAAGGTGTTCAACATGATGATTCGATACATGTATACATTGTGTAATGATTACCACAGTCAAGTGAATTAACACATCTGTCATCACCCATTGTTATCATTTGTGTGTGTGTATGTGCATATGTGGTGAGGATGCCAAAAATCTTTCTCTTGTCACATTTCAAGTAAAAAATACAGTATTATTAACTACAGTCCCCATAATATATCTCCAGAACTAATTCATCTTAAAACTGAAAGTTTATATCCTTTGACCAACATCTTTCATTTTCTCCACCCCTCAGCTCCTGGAAACCACCATTCTACTCTTTGCTTCTATAAGCTTGACTTTTTAAGATTCCACATATAAGTAAAATCATGCAATATTTCTGTTTCTGTGCCTGGTTTATTTCACTTACAATGTCCTTCAGGTTCATCCATGTTGTGGTAAATGGAAGTTCTTTTTCTTTTTATGGCTGAATAATATTCTAATATATATTTATACACACACACACACACACACACACACACACACACCATATTTTCTTTATCCATTCATCTGTCTATGGACACTTAGGTAGGAAATAACTTTTGACTTTTCAAATTTTTTCTCTTGTGTATCTATCCTCCATTTCACAATTTCCATTCTTACCATTTTTAAATTTTCTTCCTTCTTATTTTTGGTTTAATTTAATCATTTTTCTAGTTTCTTTATATATATATGTATATATATATGTGTGTATATGTGTATATATATGTGTATATATATGTGTGTATATATATGTATATATATGTGTATATATGTATATATGGGTATATATATGTGTATATATATGTGTATATATGTGTATATATATGTGTGTATATATATGTGTATATATGTGTATATATATGTGTATATATGTGTATATATATGTGTATATATATGTGTATATATGTGTATATATATGTGTATATATGTGTATATATATGTGTGTATATGTGTGTGTGTGTGTGTGTGTGTGTGTATATATATATATATATATATACTTAATCTCACTCTGTCGCCTAGGCTGGAGTGCAGTGGCATGATCTCGGCTCACTGCAATCTCCGCCTCCTGGGTTCAAGTGATTTTTGTGCCTCAGCCTCCCAAGTAGCTGGGATTACAGGCACCCGCCACCATGCAGGGCTAATTTTTGTGTTTTTAGTAGAGACAGGGTTTCACCATGTTGACCAAGCTGATCTTGAGCTCCTGACCTCAAGTGATCCACCCAACTTGGCCTCCCAAAGTCCTGGGATTACAGGCGTGAGCCACCACACCCAGCCTCTAGTTTCTTAATATTGAAACATTATCATTAATTTTAGATCTTTCTTGTCTTCTAAGGTAAGCAAATAAGGCTAATTTTTCTTCTTAGCAGAGTTTTAACTGCATTATACAAAATTTGATATGTTTTATTTTGCACTAAGTTTAAATATTTTCTAATTTATCTTGTGACTTCTTCTTTGACCTGTAGGTTATTTAGAAGTGTGTTTAATTTTAAAATATTTGATATTTTCCTAGATGTCTTATGGTCATTGATTTTTAATTTGACTCTGTGTTGGCTAGAGAACATATGTGGGATGAATTCAATACTTTTAAATGTATTAAGACTTGTTTTATGTCCCCACATATCATCTATAGTAGTAAACATATCATGTGCATTTGAAAAGAATATTTAGTGTGTGTTTGGTGTAGTGTTCCATAAATATCAACTACCTGAAGGTGATTGATGTATTGTTTAGATCTATGTATTTATTAGTTGTTTTGTCTAGTTGCTTTATCAAGTAGACAAAGATGTTAAAACCCCCTAAGGTGATCAGTGGAATTGTGTATCTCTCCTTTTTGTGTCTGTTCATTTTTGCCTCAAGTATTTTGAACCTTTGTTACTAGATGCATATACATTTATGATTGTTAGGTTTTCTTGACAAATTAACTGTTTTGTAACTAAGACATGACTCTCTCTATGTCTTGTAACACCCTTTGTCATGAAATCTATTTAATCTGATCTCAAAATAGCCACTACAGCCTATTTATATTTTATTTACATTGTATGTATTTTTCATTGACTTACTTTCAATGGATTTGTATCTTTATATAACTGAAGTATGCCTCTTGTAAATAGCATATAGCTGTGTCTTGCTTTATTATCTATTCTGACAATGTCTGCCTTATAATTGGAATGTTTAGTATATTACCATTAATGTAATTAATGTAATTATGATATATTTGGATTAAGTGTAACATTTTATTACTGGCTTCTGGAAAACCCTACGTTTCTATTTCTCTGTTCCTTTTTTTTCTGTCTTTTTGGGAATTATTTAAATTTGTCTTTTTGCTTTTTTAGAATTCCAACTTAAGCCATCAATTGACTCTTTAACTATACTTCTTTACATTGCGTTTTAGTGACTCCTCTAGAAG
The DNA here is from genome assembly GCF_000001405.40 of Homo sapiens. Taxonomy (NCBI): domain Eukaryota; kingdom Metazoa; phylum Chordata; class Mammalia; order Primates; family Hominidae; genus Homo; species Homo sapiens. The sequence continues at coordinate 50,123,684 of NC_000007.14, read as the reverse complement.
AAACAATGTGCATGCTTAACTCTCCACAGTTCACTTAGAGTTAACATACCACTTCACATAACGTGTACAAACATTTCAAGCTTTTTATTTATTTATTTATTTATTTATTTATTTATTATTATACTTTAAGTTTTAGGGTACATGTGCACAATGTGCATGTTAGTTACATATGTATACATGTGACATGCTGGTGCGCTGCAACCACTAACTCGTCATCTAGCATTAGGTATATCTCCTAATGCTATCCCTCCCCCCTTCCCCCACCCCACAACAGTCCCCAGAGTGTGATGTACCCCTTCCTGTGTCCATGTGTTCTCATTGTTCAATTCCCACCTATGAGTGAGAATATGCGGTGTTTGGTTTTTTGTTCTTGCGATAGTTTACTGAGAATGATGATTTCCAATTTCATCCATGTCCCTACAAAGGACATGAACTCATCATTTTTTATGGCTGCATAGTATTCCATGGTGTATATGTGCCACATTTTCTTAATCCAGTCTATCATTGTTGGACATTTGGGTTGGTTCCAAGTCTTTGCTATTGTGAATAGTGCCGCAATAAACATACGTGTGCATGTGTCTTTATAGCAGCATGATTTATAGCCCTTTAGGTATATACCCAGTAATGGGATGGCTGGGTCAAATGGTATTTCTGGTTCTAGATCCCTGAGGAATGGCCACACTGACTTCCACAATGGTTGAACTAGTTTACAGTCCCACCAACAGTGTAAAAGTGTTCCTATTTCTCCACATCCTCTCCAGCACCTGTTGTTTCCTGACTTTTTAATGATTGCCATTCTAACTAGTGTGAAATGGTATCTCATTGTGGTTTTGATTTGCATTTGTCTGATGGCCAGTGATGATGAGCATTTTTTCATGTGTTTTTTGGCTGCATAAATGTCTTCTTTTGAGAAGTGTCTGTTCATGTCCTTTGCCCACTTTTTGATGGGGCTGTTTGTTTTTTTCTTGTAAATTTGTTTGAGTTCATTGTAGATTCTGGATATTAGCCCTTTGTCAGATGAGTAGGTTGCAAAAATTTTCTCCCATTTTGTAGGTTGCCTGTTCACTCTGATGGTAGTTTCTTTTGCTGTGCAGAAGCTCTTTAGTTTAATTAGATCCCATTTGTCAATTTTGGCTTTTGTTGCCATTGCTTTTAGTGTTTTAGACATGAAGTCCTTGCCCATGCCTATGTCCTGAATGGTAATGCCTAGGTTTTCTTCTAGGGTTTTTATGGTTTTAGGTCTAACGTTTAAGTCTTTAATCCATCTTGAATTGATTTTTGTATAAGGTGTAAGGAAGGGATCCAGTTTCAGCTTTCTACATATGGCTAGCCAGTTTTCCCAGCACCATTTATTAAATAGGGAATCCTTTCCCCATTGCTTGTTTTTCTCAGGTTTGTCAAAGATCAGATAGTTGTAGATATGCGGCGTTATTTCTGAGGGCTCTTATATTAGTTTATCACATGCTTTCATCTCTTACTCTACAGTTGTCATACATACATTCAGAGGACAATGTTATACTTTTATTTAAAACAATCATATGAACCTTAAAAGGAAAAAAGTAATATTTTATTAGGCAGGATTTCTTTTAATGTACACTTGTTGGCAATAAATTTCCCTCATTTCCTTTACTTGAATTTTTTAAATCATTTTAATATATTCATATTTAACCTCCAAATATATCCATGTTCAAATCCCTGGAACCTGTGAATGTTACTATTAAAAAGAAAAGCCAGGTGTGGTGGCTCATGCCTGTAATCCCAGCACTTTGGGAGGTCGAGGCCGGAGGATCATCTGAGGTCAGGAGTTCAAGGCCAGCCTGGTCAACATGGTGAAACTCCATCTCTACAAGAAAAAAAACAAAAATTAGCTGGGCATGATGGCAAGTGCCTGTAATCCTAGCTACTCAGGAGGCTGAGGCAGGAGAATTGCTTGAACCTGGGAGGCGGAGGTTGCAGTGAGCTGAGATCATGCCATTGCACTCCAGCCTGGGTGACACAGTGAGACGCCATCTCAAAAAAAGAAAAGAAAAAAAAAAGAACCTTTAATTAAATTGAACAGTGTTTAACTGGGCAGAAAAAAAAGATTCGTGAAAAAGGTAGCACTCAACACAAAAGCAGTTCAGAGAGTTCCACTACAAAATGTGGGCAGGGAATATTTATAGCCAGAAAACAGAAGTGACATACAAAAATAGTCTACATGGTTACAGTTCTGTGTTTGCCTTAGTTTAACATCTTTTGCTGGTTTGCAGCCTGTGATTGGCTGAAAGCTTGGCTGCTATGATTGGCTGCAACACAGCTGCATGTTCTAAGAATTTACTCACAAGTTGTTAGGTTGCAGTTGGTTCACCTATAATTTAGATTACAGTTTATTACATACGTAGGTTAGTTTCAGGCCAAATGTAATTTAATTTAACAATTATTCTCTTTTGCTCAGCCACTCAATTTTAAGAGATTGACCAAAACCTTGGCACTGATACTCCTTTCTGTCACCTTCATAATGGACTTGTTTGATCTCTATATAAATTCACAATTCATTATATGAAATTAGTTGGATGATTATGCTTTCCTCGTGTTTTTTTACTCTAACTGTAATGAGATCTTTTGATGTACAAAGGATGGCTACGTATGAGCATTTATAATTCTTAAGGGATATAACACAGGAGGGAGGCCACTATAATGGCTATTGGGAGGATAATATAAAGAAAGTGAAGTACACTATGCAACAGGAATCTCTGCGAACCAAACTCATCAGAACAAACAATTCAAAATTCAGGCAATAAAGACAATTCATCAGTATTTAAGTCTTAGTGGTCATAGTCTGTGTTTGGGGTGGAGTGGCAATTAAGAACCATAGTGTGCTGTAAAATGGTCTGATTTAAAGAGATATCTATTTTTGTAGTTAGCCTGGTAATATCAATCATAGTAATCTGTACATGATTAAATGAAACACAGAGATGAGAAAAATCTTAGACTAGCCAGCCTTGCCATCCACCATTTAGGACGCCTGCAAACCAGCTGTTAGCTACTCCCATAATCACGTCATGTGTTTCTTTCCCCTGAGAAATGTCCCTGGTGCATTCGGTGGCAGTGTTTACAGGAATTGCAGTGTTGGCTACCTTTTAAATTAAGCTTTCTGTAGTAGTAAAACCAGCGTGAAGGTAAGTGCAGCATTCAGTTCTGTTTAGCACCATGGGCAAGACCCCAACATAAGCCAAGAAGAGATCTAACACCGTACAGTGTTCCATTAAGTGTTTTTGCTGAACATGACCTTTTTTTATCCCCCTTCAGGAGAGTGGCTTCTTCCCATTTAAACCCTGGAAAATATAATTGGCTACAAATTTCAAGATTTTTTCCCAATTTATGGATTACCTTCAAGTTCCATACAACTGGCACCATCTACCAACAAGAGTGAGCATCCAGGAACCTCGTTAGAAACTTTTCTCAGTGGAAATTAACTTATCTTCATTCCACTTTAAGGTTAGTATGAATTTTGGTTATTGATCACTTTGGCCTTTGATTATGGAAGGTATTATGGAAACTTTCAGAGAAAGCTATTTGGAAGACAGGAGTGAGCCAGGCCCATTAGCAAGATATGAACCAGCAAGCAGAACACAGTAAACAAATTCTCCTCAGACCCAATGTGTCTGCAGGCCCCCAGGAGCTGGAAAAGAGGGCCACCTGGTGGCATGTGAGCAGAGGCCAGTTACACTTTTTCACCCATAGGCCTACATAGCGCGTGAGCCAGGTTCAGCGAGTAATTTATTTTCTGTGTGTGGTCCCTTTATAGCATGCTGGAAGGATGCATAACAGTATTCAGTGGAACGAGACCTTACTGGATTTAGTCCAGCGACATCATACAAGCAATTACTTGTACCCTCATAAGTGATCCCCAAATCTTGAGTATTCAATGCTCGGAAGCACAACATACCTTTTGTAGGCATCACTTTGATAGGTTTTTTATATTTAGTAGCCATTCTGTTATTAACTGGAAAGGTCAGAGTATTGTTTTCAATAAGCATAGGAAAGCAAGTAGCAGTCATGTCTAGAATATCAATTTCTACTCCTCCTTTGAGGTTTTAGCATGACTGTCACTGGTAACACAGACAGGCAGTGGCATTAGTGGAATCGTTTCCTGATTTGGGGGCATTAGCTACAAATTTAACAATTGTTTTGGTTTCTTACTGGAGCATAAGCCTTTGCTAAAGCCATCCACAAATTACAGTCCATGGCTTTTCCTGTAAAGAAAGGGAACGATTAGGATGGCAGAAATAGGAAAAAGAGGAAAAAGGATAAGGTTTTCAGTTTTCATGATGTCAGAAAAGTCTTGATCTATGGCGTTAGGATAGCTGTTAATGTCTAGGATGGCATCTGCTTCTGGGGAAAAGTTTTCCTGGTCAGGTTTACCTTCAATTCTCAAACAGGTATACATTTCCAGGAGCTTGGAGGGGCCCTTTTGAGCTTTAACATGTGAACCCAAGGTTTAAGCCTTTGATATTTTACTGCAGCGTGGGTGGCAAGTAGAACTTGGTATGGTCTCTTCCAATAGGGAGAGGACCATGGGTTCAATGAGGTCTCTGATGTCATTTTCAGAAGATCCAATCTCCAGGTTCTGGGTTTTGAAAGGTCTGGTTGTTCTCAGTCTGTGGGTCATGGAAGATCTCCTTCACCTGGTGAAAATACACTATGACATAATGCATTAAAGCCTGCAGTATTTAGTCATATCAGAGTTTAGGATAATGGAAGATACACGAGGTTCTATTATTAAGGGCATATGCCTTCCAGGAACTATTCCATAAGGAGTCAATCGATGTTTTCCACTGGGGGTGGATTTGATTACCATTAAAGCCGAGGTAATATTACCTCAGTAATGATTACCATTAAAGCCAGCGCAATCAAATTGATTCAGTTAACTTTGCCAATTTCAGCTGTAAAATGCCATTTGTCTTTTGACCTTTCCAGAAGACTAAGGGTAATAGGGACAATGGTGATGCCATTGGGTGCATAAGCTTATTCGACTGTTTCTAAATTGTCCAGTGAAATAGGTTCCTCTGTTGCTGGAGATTTCTCCAGGGATGCTCCATAAAGGAAATACTTTTTAAATAACTTCTTAGCTACCATCATAAGATCAGCTTTCTCAGATGGGAAAGCTTCTATCCAGCCAGATAACATGTAAATATACAGATATCCCACTGAAAATGACAATTGAATAAAGTCCGGTAGTGAAAATACACCACCTGAAGTTTTTATTGTTTTCACAGGATTATGAGTTTGACAAACCAAACATTGGTTATGAACCATTTTATCAATTTGATAACAGTTACCCCACCAGTATTTGTTCATAATTTGGATCATGCTGTCTGTTACATGATGAGTTGTAGAGTGAAGAGCTTTGTGGAGTGCAAAACTTTTAACAGTGGAAGCTTCAAGGACTCAGGAAGTACCAGAAGGAAGTATTAGGCACCCATCTGAGAGCTCTTTGAGTTCAGGTTTAACACTGAATTTACAGGCATTCGGATACCAATTTTGTTTTTCCAAATCAGGCACATTTCACAGTTTGTTAAATAGGTCAACATAGGGGAGTTGACTTGGATCAATCTTACAGAGTTTATTCAAATTGTGTATCCTAACAGTTTCAGCACTAGTTGATTTAGCATAGAAATCTGCCAGGGAATTCCTTTGATACTCAGGTTTAGTTTTACAGCTATGATCTTCAATCTTAATAATGGCAGTTCGTGATGATAAGAGGCTAGCAGAAAGGAGTGCATTTGCTTGGAGACTGTTTTTAATGGGGGGTCCCCCTCTTTGTTTCTATAACACGCCAAAATCACGGACTACTCCAAAAGCATGTAACTATCTGTATAAATATTTACTGACATGTCTTTAGCTATATGTACAAGCTCAGGAGAAACTGACTTATATTAGGTGAGAGTTCTCTTCTGTATTAACTCATTTCAGGTGATAAGATCATACCCTGCCTGGTATTTTCCTTCTGAGTTTTATAATAAGACCAAAAAACAAAAAGTATCAACTCAGGATTATCAAAGGGATTATCTCACATATGAACATGAGGAGCCACTATTTCTAACACTACACTCACAATTGTGGTCTTCACCTGCATGAGGCAGGGGTAGTAGAGTAGCAGGGTTAAGTAAGTTGCAACATTTCAGATAGAAATTAGGAGACAAGAGAAGAATTCCAGAAGGTGTTAATCTATTTGCTGACAAATACAGAGTTTGTCTGGAATTTAATATATTTTTTTTTGCAGTGTGCAAGACTTGCAAATAAAGGTCGTGTCTTAAAAGCGGCTCAGATGAAACTACCAATTTGGCTGCTGCTGCTACCGCTTTTAAACAATTAAAATATGGCTTAGCTACTGAGTCCAATCACAGGCTATAATATGTGATTGGCCTCTATTTTCCTTCATGTTTTTGGGTAAGTACTCCTAATGCCTGAATGTTATTTTCATGAATGAACAGCGTGAAAGGTTTAGCATAATTTGGAAGTCATAAAACTGAAGGCTGTTGTAAGGCTATTTTCATTTGCAGAAAAGCCTCCTCATGGCTGTCTTCTCAAGGTAAAGGCTCTGATACTGAGTTTCTAGTAAGCTAACCCAATGGTGAGGCCATTAGGGAAAATGTGGGACCCAGAATCTGTATTATCCTGCAAGCTTGAGAACGCCTCTTATTGTTTCTTTTAATTGTAGGTCAGGAAAAGCTTTGAGTAGTTTTTATTCTCTCAGGCAAGAGGAGAATTGCTTCAACACTCAGGTTACATCCTAGCGAGTGAACATTTTTTTCTTGAAAACAGAAGTTTTTCCATTAAAACATTGTGACCCTTATGAGGCCAGCAAGTTGCTATAAAAGGATATTGAATTTTTCCCCTCTACTTAAGAATAGTCTTAGTTATTTCTGATTCTTTGTTTTTATGTATCCATTTTTTTAAAGAACTTTTCAAAATCCCACAAAAATATAGTTAGAATATTGATTTAGATGGCACTGAAACTATAAATCAACTTAGGAAGCTCTAAACTTTTTAAACATTTTAAGTTTCCATTCCAGATAATAGCATATTGCCCTGTCTATTTAGGTTTTAGATTTTCTCTCAATACATTTACTAGTTTTGCCATAGGATTCTTGAATACAGTTTCATAAATTTATTACTCAACAGTGAATAGTTTTTGATACAATGGTTAAATGTTTTAAAACTTTCTGTTTCTTGCTGATATTTAGAATACAATAAATGCATTTCCAATAATGTTCATTTCTAAAAACCTTATTCAGTTTCTTTTTATCATAGTAGTTTAACTGTATAGGCTGGAGTCAGTGGCAGACTGCCTAAGCTCAGGAGTTCCAGACCAGCTTGGGCAACATGGGGAGACCCTGTCTCCACAAAAATACAAAAATTAGCTGGGCATGGTGGTGCATGCCTGTAGTCCCAGATACCTGGGGGGCTGAGGCAGGATGATGGCTTGAGCTTGGGAGGTTGAGGCTGCAGTGAGCTGTGATCACGCCACTACACTCCAGCCTGGGTGACAAAGCAGGACTCTGTCTTAAAAATAAAATAAGGTAAAATAAAATGAAAAGTAATTTAATTGCATATTTATTTGGATGTTTACATACATAATCATATTGACAAGAATATTAGGGTTGTTTAGTCACCTCCAATTTGTATACCATTTTTATGTTTGCTTAACTGGGCTGGCTAAGAACTTCAGTGCTTAGGTGAAAGGAGGAGGAGAAAAGAGAACGTGAAAGAGGACATACTTGCTTGAGATTGCTTACACAGGGGATGCTTTCAACATTTCACTATTTAATATTAAGTTTGATTTACCTTTTCACAGACATCCATTATTAATTTAAGGATAATGTCAATCCTTTTTGTCAATTTTTTTTCATATCTTGAGATGAGTAGATGACTTGTATTTTAATCAGTTAACACAATGAATCACATTTATCAATTTTCTAAAGTTAAGCAAAACTTACATACCTGAATAAACCTAACTTTATAATGATGTATTAACCATTTGTATATCACTATATTCTAAATGTGCACATATGTTTTTATTTTTTACCAGGCATCTTTTATTATTGAGTTCTAGTTTAATTTTGTTGCAATCCGAGAACATCTTTCTATAATTTCAATTTTTTGATTTCATTTGATGTGTTTGATATTCCAGAATATAATTTATCTCAGTGAATGTTCTGTGTGCCATTGGTATTTATATCAATTAGGTCAAGTTAGTTCATAATAGTTTTCATATGTTCCATATCCCCCTTTTTTTCTGTCTACCTTTCCTATAAACTACTGAGGACAGAGTTTTGAGATATCTACTAACGGTAAATCTGCCTTTCAGTCCTATAAGTTTGTGCTTCATGTATTTTGAGTTCTGTTATTAGGTGATATACATTTTAAATACATTTTATGTACATTTTATGGATTGATCCCTTTCCTATTGTAAAATATCTGAGTCCTTAGTAAAATTTCTTGTTCTGAAATTCACTTTGTCTGATGTTATTACAGCTAATTCTGCATTAATTTGACTAGTTTTTGAATGATATATATTTTCACATCTTACCTTAAACTTCTATTTATATTTCACATGGTTTTCTTGTGGTCAGCGTATAAGTAGGGTACTAATTTTTTTTTTTTTTTTTGGAGACAGAATCTCACTCTGTTGCCCAGGCTGTAGCACAATGGTGTGATCTCGGCTCACTGCAACCTCTGCCTCCCAGGTTCAAGTGTCTCTACTGCCTCAGCCTCCCAAGTAGCTGGGATTACAGGCGCCCGCCACTACATCCGGCTAATTTTTGTATTTTTAATAGAGACAGGGTTTTACCATGTTAGTCAGGTTGGTCTTGAACTCCTGACCTCAGGTGGTCCACTCTCCTCAGCGTCCCAAAGTGCTGGAATTACAGGCGTGAGCCACCTCACCCGGCTGGGTCTTAATTTTTTATCCAACTAACAATTTGTGACTTTTAAGTTCATTATATTAAATTCTATTTAACAGTGGACATAATTTAGTTTAAATCTGTTTTTGTTTTCTATTTGTTTTATCTTCTCTATTTTTCTTTTGTGTTACTTTCTTTTGAGTTAGTTAAGAATTTTTTTAATTTTAAAATTTCATTTTATCTCCTATTAACTTACTACATATGCTTTAAAAATTTTTTTCTTTTCTGTTGTTGCTGTCTCTCTAGGATTTATAGTATACATATTTTACAATATACATCTTTAACTCCAGGGTTTACAGGATAATAATATATCATTTCAAAAATAGTGTAAAAAAATTTAAACAGCATATGCTCATTTTCTTTGCTGTCCCTTATACTACTGTCACACAATTTACTTTTTTATATGCTATAAACCTGAAACACATTACTATTATTGTTGCTTTAAACAGTGATACTGTAAAGAACTCCAAGATGAAAAATAGTATTTTATATTTACCCATATGTTTACCATTTCTGTTCACCTCAATTTATTTCATTGTGTGAACTTGAATTTTCATATACATTATTTTCTTCTGTCTAAAGAAATTCCTTCAGGTCTACTGGCAGTGCATTCTTTCAGCTTTGTTTTTACAAAAAATGTTTCTATTTTGCCTCTAATTTTAAATATTTTTATTGTTAGTTAATATCTTCTTAGTTTATTGTTATTTGTTTTTGTTACTTAAAATATGTGCATTTATTTTCTTCTGGCTTGCAGAAACTGACAAAAAGCCAGAAGTCATTCTTACATGTGTTTCTTTGTAAATATCTTTTCTCTAGCTGTTTTTAAGATTTTATCTTTATCACTGTTTTTCAGCAATGTCATTGATGTGTTTTGGGCATAATTTTAAAAAAAATTTATACAGATTGAAATTTGTTGAACATCTTGTGTCTTCAGATTTATAATTTTGATCAGTTAGGAACAATTTGTGTCATTGTGTCACCAATCTTTTTTCTCAGCTCACTTTTATTCTGAGACCCCAATGCATGTATGTTAGACTTCTTACTAGATACCGTTCCGCAGTAACTGATGCTTTATTTTGAAGCTTTATTTTCTCTCTTTTCGTTTTGAATAGTTTATGTTGCTATGTCTTTATTTTCACTGATCTTTCATCATGCAAGATCTGCTCTGTTCTTAAAACTACCAACTTATCTTTTACTTCAGATGTATTTTTCATGTCTAGAAGTCCGTTTGTATCTTCATATCATCCCTTGTTCTCATCATGGTTGTGGCTGTCTCTATGATCTGAACATATGAAACAGATTTGTAATAGCTGTTTGAATACAATAGCTGCTTGGTCTTCTATGTCTGTCACTCATAGATCTGTTATTATTGACAGATTTTTCCCCTGGGTGATATTTTTCTGCTTCTTTGCATGAAAAGTAGTTTCATTTTATTTTTTAAACTGAGAACTTATTTTGGACTTTAAGTTGTTGGTTGGTTGCTGGAAGTTGTTTTATTCTTAAGTTTTGGATTTTTTTTCCAGCAAATAAAGTAATTGGAATCAGTCGGATGCTTTTAAAATTTGAGAAAGTCCAGAGGAATCTTTAAAGTTGGACTAGTTAAGCCTGACTACAAAGGTAATATCCCTTTGAAGATCTGACCTGATGTACCTATGTACTATAAAGTTTTTTATTCTAGTTTGTGGGGACATAAAACGTTCCCTGTCCTGTTTGAGTTTCAGGGAAAGCTTATGCCCACTTCTTTACAGTGGGTTTTTCCTTAGCTTTAGTAGTTCCTTTTATGTTTACATAGATCAGTACCCAAAGACCTGAGCGATCTCTTTTGCATATCTCCAAAGCCCCACTGCTCCTCCACATCCGGATAACTCCCTCTTCTCTGCTATCTTACCCTGCAAATTCTACATTCCTTGGCTTCCCAGAACTCTAATCTCTCTCCTCAATCCAACAAGAATGTAAAGCTATGTTTGGGTTTCACTTTCCTGGGCTGTGGCTTAAAAACTGCCCCCAGGAAGCAAGCTGGTGTAATTGCAGGGCTCACATCGTTAGTTTCCCTTCTTTAGAGATCCCAGTCCTTCAGTGCCTTTGGCCAGTGTCTGGAAATGATTATTTTTTATAATTTGTCCAGTTTTCTATTTGGCTAAAGCAGAAAAGTAGCTTGAGTGCCCGTTACTTCATCTTCTCTAATTTATTCATTACTTTGCTTATCATTTTTTTATTTTTCTTTTCGTGCTTTCTTTTGATTTACTTTGCTGTTCATTTTGTAGCTTTTCACCTGGGAAGGGTGCTACTGGCATCTAGTGGGTGAGGTCAGGGGTGTTGCTAATCATCCTACATTGCACAGGATAGTCTCCTTCAGCAAAGATTTATGAAGCCCAAAATTCTGACCATGCCAAGGTCCAGAAACCATGGTTTAACACATTCTGTTCCACTGCTTGGTTTTTGCTCTTCAGGACCTCCAATTATATGTATATTGTTTCTTCTTTGTTTATCTTCCACTTCAACCATCTTCTCTTTAACACTTTTAAATATTCTTTATCTCATGTTCATTCTCTTGAATATTTTTTCATTTTTTATTCAACGTCCTTTGTTAAATTTTGGTTTTCTCTGTTTTTCCTTTGCACCATTTAATTATTATTCCAAGATAATTTTGTATTATTTTTTGTCACTGATTTGTATTTAATTTTTGGATTTCTGTATGAAGGCAGACCTTTATAATCTCAAAGGCTTATTTGAAAATATGTAATTCAATTTGTAGTGGTGTAGTACAATGTTTCATTTACTGCTAAATAGTTGACGTGGGAGTAATTGTCTTCACTAGATTGTTTTGATTCTTGTATTTTGTTTTATTACGGTTGGTTGAATTTTGAATAGATTTATTTTATTTTCTTCTATTCATTTTGTGGATTTTGTGTGGTTTGCAATATTTTTAATTTAATGGTGGTCTCTCTGTCAGTGTAGCAAAATACACTGTCATGTTGATACAGGAGCTAGAAACAAATTATTTAAGTAGATAGTAAGTGCAACAGAATCCTTGACAGGGTTTCCCTTTTAACAAAAAGCAGCACCCAAATCATTTCTTTTCTAACAAAGATCAGCCTGAAAAATCTAGCTGTAAACATAGATAAGTATGCTCGAAGTTTGCATGTGTGAATGCTGACAGCTGTGCCAATAGGGAAGGGCTACCAGGAAGCCAGGTATATTCAACATGGAGGCTCCATCTTCCCTTTTCTTTGTCACCACGTGTACAGTAAAAAGTAAGCAACATGGTGCCAGCCAGGTAGAGAACCCATCTACATAATAAGATTAGGGTGGCATTGGCCAGATTCTCATGTGCTATGCAAATGGAACATCTGGTTCAGTCAATCTTGTGTGCCCTATGTAAATTAGACACCACCTCCTCAGTCTCATCTACAAAACCTGCATTTCACTGCAGAAGCAGGAACCCATTTTCTCCAGGAAGCCTCTCTGTGCAGAGAGCTCTTTTCTTTCTTTTGCCTGTTAAACAACCACTCTTATCCACAGTCTGATGTGTCTTAGTTTTCCATGGCCAAGGGACAACAAATCTCGGGTATTACCCCAGACAATGACACCATTTCAATACATATATAACATAATATAATATATATATATAACATATACACATATAATATAATAGAACATTTTATCATATATATGATAATATAACATCATATATAATAAATATATAATATACATTTTATATATAATAAAGATATTACATATATATTTATTATATATATTAGCTGATGGTTTACATATTATAAATATATATTTATATTTTACATATTATATATTAGCTTATGCTTTTTATATATAATCATATATTATGTAATAATATATAGTAATATAGTATAATATCTAATTATATATTATAATATATAATATATAATATGATTATATATTATATTATATATGTTAGATATCATATTAGTTATAATTATACATTATAATCTATATCATATAACATAACATATTTATATATAATATTTAATATAATATATGCAATATATTATATAATAATATGTATATATAATGTATTATATGATATATGTGATGTACACACATTATATAATATATTTATATAATATGTAGTATATATTATACATAAATATTAGTATATACTATGTCAAATGTAAATGTAGTAAATATTATATATAAATATAAGCATATAATATATATCAAATATATAAATATAATGTATCAAATATATAAATATAATGTATAGCACATAATATAATATATAAAAATATATATCACATATACAATATATAATATATAAACTATATACAACATATTAAATATGAATATATTATATGTTAAATATGTAATAAATAAATATATATAAGAACTCCTGTTGTAATCTATCATTGCTATGTAGAAAAGATCTGTCAAGCCTTTGAAGGTAATCTGTGTTTTTTTCCCCCACCTCTGGCCGCTTTTAAGATATTATCATTGATTTTGGTTTTATGCAGTTTTTCTCTGGTTGATTAGGTCTTTACTTTTTAAATTCTTCTGTATTTTGTTGCTTTCAAATAATATTAAATGAAGAAATTTTACATTTAAAAAATTTATTAACTATTTTCATTTTACCACATAATTAAATACAAGCTTTATTTATTCAGATATGGAATTACAAAATATTCAAATTGACTACAGCAGAATTGATCCTCAATTCCCAGAATTTTATGAATGATTGTGTACCAAAAAATCCAGTAAAACTTACTTTATTTATTTATCAGTTCTTTTACTCCTAAGCTTCTTATAAAAGTATTGTTTTATGAAAGTAATAGTGTTCTAAATTTGAGAATATAAATGAACATTATTCAAATTAATGTCAATGTTGTATCAACAATATCAGTGCTGTATCTATCAGTAATATTGCATCAGAAAAATTACAGCTTATTTTACCAGCTTATTATTTTGGGTTATTCTACATATGCAGAAATTATTAGATTGCAATTTGAGGTAGATATAATAAAAATATATAATCTCTTTGATTTTGACCCTAGTAACCAAAACAATTACCTTATTTTAAAATAGTGTTGGCCTGGCATGGTGGCTCACACCTGTAAACCCAGCACTTTGGGAGGCCGAGGCGGGTGGATCACTTGAGGTCAGGAGTTCGAGAACAACCAGGCCAACATGGTGAAACCTGTCTCTGCTAAAAATACAAAACATAGCCAGGCGTGGTGGCACATGCCTGTAATCCCAGCTACTCGGGAGGATGAAGCATGAGAATTGCTTGAACCCAGGAGGTAGAGGTTGCAGTGAGCTAAGATCATGCCGCTGCACTCCGCTGGGGTGACAGAGCAAGACTCTGTCTTAAATAAATAAATAAATAAATAAATAAATAAATTAAACTGTGTTAACTTGATCAAATGCTGCCTCTGACACTTAAAGGAAAACATTTCTTATTATTCTTTAGGCTAATATTTATTTCATGAATGAAGTTGTGTTTATCTCCTTTTCTAAAATATAAATATTTTCAACATAAAACTATTTCTGAGCCATAAATAGGTAAATTCCAGTGAAAATGGTTTATTCTTTGTAAACAAGTAGGCCATGAGAACATTTTATATATCATAAATCAATCTTAATGGGGAGGCTTTATTCACTTTTATTTCAAAAACATAGTGCAATACTAAAGCAACTGGTATGAAAGTGCTTAATTAGCCAGAGGCAAAACAAGCCTGAAATTAAGTGCTAGTAATTTATGTAAGTTTCCTAAAATTTAAACAGGTGTCTAATAACAGCAGCTATGATATGACCTGTCTAAGGTGCTAAGACGTGTTTTGTACTATACATCAATTCATATATTTTGCTTGTGTCCTAAGAGGCATTTTACAACCCAATCCCCTGTACTTTGATAACTGAAATAACTACATTATGGTCATTTCAAACTTCTATTGAAATGTCATTAACTTTTTTCTAATTAATTATGTACATGTTTCAAATAGATAAAAATTTATTTCTTAAGTAGTATGTTTGAAACTAATATAGTAATTTCTGACAAAAATATCAGGGTAGGTACAATCAATGTAAGTATCACTGTTGATAATAACTCCCATCAGCTGGAGTCATCATAGTCTGAAATACACCAGTTTTTATTGCCCTTTATCAAAGAGACAACTACTTTTTCTAAACCTGTGTTTAATTCTTCTCTAGCAGTATCTGAAATTTATGTCATATTTTCTATAGTTGACATGCTTGTTGACTATTATCTTGGTGTGCTATATCATGATAGTATGGCATAATCTTTCAGGGGAATCTAGATTTTTCTCTAATATAGCATCTCTTCCACTTTCTGATTATATTCCTACAAACTCACTTGTGTATGTTATGTATCTTCAGTTTATTTATAAAATGTTTTCATTTCCAGATACTCAAATTTATCATCTACCTAATTTCCTTGCTGTCTGTCTTCACTTTCTAGTGGCTATTTTCTTGCTGGTGCATCTTCTCTCTATTGCTGTCTTCTACATGTTGTGTGTCTACTATTTCATAGAGAAGGGACTAAATTTGCTCTTTGATATCTTTACTATTCTTGTAATCTGATTCAGTGGGAATCTCTACTTCTAACTCTAAATGTTCCTTAGTTTCTTCTAATAAAAGTAATCACATTGAAGTAGAACTTCCTTTATGTCCTAATAAAACTTTAGCACCATCAGCATCATTAAATGCCTCAATTTCCAGAATTGCTTCATATTTAACAAGACCTGACAAAATATGGCACTGACGTCCAGATTCCAAATAATGCAATTACCATAAACTATGTTGAAAAATGAACTTTCAGATTTTTCCTTTTTCCATTCTTATGTTCTTCCTGCTTTGCCTCCTTTAACTTGAGACTTTTTCTGCCACTACTCTTGGTGCTGGGGCTGAGACTGCCAGAATGCTTCTGTTGCTGTCACCTTTGGCTTGTTTGTTTGGAACCATAACTCATCCTCAATGTGCAGCAGAGAATGTAAGGGGATGCCTCAGGGAGATATCAGAAATAAACACGCAGTGGATATAAAAATCGTATCTTAGCTTGTGTTCTATTTCTTCTCTCTTACGCTTTTGGGATTCCAAATAAGCATGTGTTATTTTTTCTGCCTATATTTCCTAGTTTTGTGACTTTCACTTCTGTATTTTTCATATTTTTGTATATTTGTGCTTCACCATAGTTTCTTCTGATTTATCTACCAGTTCTCCAATTCTCCAATTACCTCTCTAACTGTATCTAATCTATTACTGAACCCATCTATAAAGTTCTTTGTTTATTGTATTTTTCAGTTCTGGAATTGCTTTTACCCCCAATTTTCTTTTTTTTTTTTCTTTTTCTTTTCTTTTCTTTTTTTTTTTTTTTTTTTTTTTGAGACAGAGTCTCATTCTGTCATCCAGATTGGAGCGTGGAGTGCAGTGGTGCTATCTCGGCTCACTGCAACCTCCGCCTCCTGGGTTCAAGCAATTCTCCTGCCTTAGCCTCCCAAGTAGCTGGGACTACAGACACGTGCCACCACACCTGGATAACTTTTGTATTTTTAATAGAAATGGGGTTTTGCCATGTTGGCCAGACTGGTTTCAAACTCCTGACCTCAGGTGATCCACCTGCCTTGACCTCCCAGACATGTGCCACCCCACCTGGATAATTTTTGTATTTTTAATAGAGATGGGGTTTTGCCATGTTGGCCAGACTGGTCTCAAACTCCTGACCTCAGGTGATCCGCCCACCTTGGACTCCCAAAGTGCTGGGATTACAGGTGTGAGCCACCGTGCCTGGCCTAATATTTGTATTTTTAGTACAGATGGGGTTTTGCTATGTTGGCCAGACTGGTCTCAAACTCCTGGCCTCAAGTGATCCTGCCTTGGCCTCCCAAAGTGCTAAGATTACAGGTGTGAGACACCATGCCTGGCCCCTTCCCCAGTCTTCTAATTTCCATTTGGTAATTTATAATTTTTTTACAAAAATTGTGAGCTCATTTTTTTCTCCTTCAACATTTTACGCATATTTGCAACATATGGACTCAGTGTGTATCTGTTTCTGTTTTCTTTCATTTCTGCTGATTCTCACTCATAGTGTACTTTCTCCTTATGTATTTGGATATGTTAATTATGTGATGAACATTACACTTTAAAAGTGTTTAATGAAAATACTTTGAGGTTTAATAAGATAATATCTTCCTTCAAAGAAAAATGTTATTTACTTCTGCCTGATTTCTGGAAATGAGAGCAGTCTAGGATCACCTTCATCCTAGTTCAGGACTTGAAGTTTTCTTATTTACTTGGATTAAGCTAGGCTGCAGTCTGTTCAAGTGCTTTTTACTATTGACCTATCCTTACTTGGAGGGTTCAGGCCTCCAGGTATTCAGCCCACAGTCATAGGTGGCTTGTATGGATCAACTCCAACTTCTGATCTTTTACTTCTATGAGACCACCAAAAGTTCAAATCAAACTTTTGGTTGCCTCTTCAAAAATTGCAAATTCTTTCAGTGTCACAGTGGCCCTAAGTGCTAGGCTTAAATTTTAGAGAGTCTATCCTCTTGTTGGCCCAGTAATTTCTCTCTACCTTATTAGAAAAAAGGAACATTAATCCAGTTGTTTTGCCATTGGAAATATTGGTCCATATTACTTAGCTTCCACTACTGGAAATAATATCTAGATTTATTCACTGCTATAAAAAGTCTAAACTTATTTTAGATTTAAATAAATATGCTAATAAGCCTTTCCATGACAAGTTCCTACTTCAGAATTCTAGTTTTAAAATAGTTAAAGCATGGAATCTTGCCATAAATTTGTAGCATAGGTTTTTTAAAAAGGCAACAAGGTCTTCAGTTTCTTATAAGGTTCACTTTGATTTGCTCTCACAGGATTTACCTGCAGGACCAATGGATCTCTTGTTAAGGATTTCAAGATAGAATAAATAAAATTAATAAATAAAAATTTTCATTACCCTTGCAATCACATTATGCATTTTGTCTAAATTCAGAATAGCCTAGAACAGGCAAAATTGCCACTATTTCTAATACCATAATTTTCTTATAAAAGAAAAATGCACAGGACAAAGAAAAACATAAAGTCCTACCATGTGTGTGACATCTTGAGTAAAGGAGGCATTGAGGACATATACTTTAAATGACCTTTCTGTTTCATGCCCTTTGTTTCATGGCCAGGTACCATAGTACAGCTGTTAATATGTGAGAGGTATGCCCCATTTCCCTTTGTAGTAAACTAGAAAGAGTTATTGTGAAGGAAAAGGTGAGAAAAAAAGAAATCAACATGGCACTATACAGGTAAATTCTCAGGCAGATCAACTTTAGAAGAAATATATATAGGAGTTACAGAAATGAAAATTGATTCTTTACAATGTATTCATACCTTTACTGCTAATGAATATGGGTTTTCTTGAGGTAATAAAAATCTAAAATTAGATTGTGGTGATGGTTGCACAACTCTGTGAATATTCGAAGAACATTGAATTGCACTCTTTAAGGGGTTGAATTTTATCATGCATGACATATATCTCAATAAAGCTGTTTTTTAAAAATGTTTTTATATCTGTGTATGTCTTAGGATTCTTTAAGTATCTCAATTTAAATGTCAAGGATTTAGAGACTATAAAATCTACACAGGAAGATGATTAAGAACATAATCCTCAAATTCTGAAAAATATTTAGGTTTAAATTTTGGTTTTATATTTATTATCTGTCTTATCAAAAGTCAGTTACTTAACAACATTGGGCTTCTGTTTTCTCAAATAATATGACAATAACAACACTACTTGTTAAGGAGCAGGGATTCAGAGAGGATTGTTGTTCCAGTGATATATTGTGGGAATGCTCTCAGGCCAAGGGGAGGGAAGACAGAAGAATAGGAGAAGGAAAAGAAGCTAGTGAGAATGCAGCTGGAGAGTAGCATTAATCCGTTGCTCTAAGAAGTCAGTCAGTCACTGGCCAAAATCTGAAAGAGACAGCATGAGAAGGTGCAGTCCTCCAGTCTGGTGGCTGTTAGCCTTTCAGTGGTCATCACTCATTGCTACTGGGAATAGACACACTTGCCAGTGAAGGAAGTCTGTGATGGGCACCAGCTGCATCTACTACTCACTCCTCCCCCATGGTATTGTGGGAATGGTGCAAGGTAATGCATAATAGACATTGATTGCAAGGGTCTGCACAGTACCTGGAACATAAGAAGAACTATATACATAGTAGCTGTTCATCTAAGGCATACAATATCAAATAACTAAACAATAAAATAAACTAATTATATATATATAATACAATGAAATAAACTAATTATATATAACACCACCCAGAAGAAAATCTTACTGTACATGTTGCCTCCTCATCAAATGTAAATATGTGACTTAATGAGCGTCCTTCATGATGAGGTTGTAAGGGAGTAACTTTCAGAGGGCTTGTCCAACCTGAAAACACAAAAAAAGCGAATGGGATTTTGGTTAAAAACACAATAAAAGTTCTTTTTCAACAGAAATATTTACTATTAGAAGCTAGACTGTGTGATCGTAATTCATTTTTTAATGGATTATTTAATAACTTTTCTGGATCTTTTAGCTGTGAGAACAGAATAGCTCTGGAATTTCTATGTGAGCCGAATTACAATAGTGCAGAATCACTTGTTATTTCTTACTTATTATTAGAAGATACCTATTTGGTACTATACATCTATGTATGTGCACACAGACATGTTGGGGATGGTGATGACACAAGAGGGGTCTGGTTATTATGCAGATAATTCATATAATGATAGATTAGAAGTCCTAAAAAACTAGCAAATTATAAAAAGCAGCCTTCAAAAATATTTAGTACACTGTAATTGGAAGCTTTTATATAAAGATGAAAAACAGGGCCCCTGGTTTTGAGGTGTCCATAAGCAAATGGAAAGTACAAACATATAAGTAGATAATCTCAATATGGTGTGGCAATACAGCAATAGCTGAGCTCAGAGTGCTGTGGGGGTGCATAGGAAGGATACCTAAGAATACCTAGTCTAACCAGGTTGTCAGGGCTTAGGGACATCTCCCCAAAGATAACACTTGTTATAATCTTGACAATTAAAGTAGAACTTGGATGAAAAAGGAGAAGTAGAGGAAGGGTAGTTGTTCCAGGAATGGAAACAGTATGTGCAATGGTAGTCCTGCTCTGTGAGAGCCTCTTAATGTTAGGTATAGCCTCTTAAAAAATGTTAGGTATAGCAGATTGTAAAATGGTAGATAGGAAATGGTAGAAGATAAGCAAAAGAAATAGTCCAAGGTCAGGGCATGAAAACCTCAGACTCAACCTGCAGATGGATTGCCGTTGAAGGGTTTTAATAAGAGAGATAGATTACTTTGGTTTGGGCAGGTGACTAGCATAGGTGAAGATAATTGGGGTGCCTCTGGTAGTTTCCATAGAGATCGATTCTCCTATCCCATGGGGGCTTCAGATTTGGTCCCCTACTTCATAGCTTTGTTCCACGAATTAATCCAACTTGGCAAAATGTAAAATTAAAAGTTAAAATTTGAGATCAGGATGGACAGCATAGAGATGTTGAAGCATGAGAGAGATGCATTGTGAGAGGTGCTTAGGGAAGGATAGGAGCTCCATGGTCATCTGTGGATGCCACCCTGGTGCAGCTCTATCACAGATGCCACCTATCTAATATTATATATATTATATATATATATAAAATATATGATCTTATATACTTACAAGTATATACATTATATATTACATATAATATATACTTACAAGTATATACATTTTATATATATATAAGTAATGTATATACTTATTGCTGGGGTTCCAGAGTGACCTTCATGAGTTATTCGACCCATCTGAGCTTCATTTTCCTAACCTTTAATGACTATTGTCAGAGTTATAAAAACTATAATTAATGAACACAAAGAAATAAGCAAACTATGGCATGTAGTTTAAGTGCTCAACATTTTTATTAGTTAACAATTAGTGGTTGTAATATCATTAGTATTTTTAGTACTAATGTAGTAATACTATTTTCATGATGATGATAATGATGATGATTGATGATAATTCAGTCAATATTTGACTGAGAAACTCAGGACAGAATCTGAAATGGGGATTTTCAAAGGAGGAATAGAGAACAAGTGTATGCTGGATAGTCTGTGGCTTTAGAAGGGCCAGTTAGAGAACAGAGTGTCAGCGGACCTCAGTGCACTATTGTTGACTTTGAAGCTTGAGGTGATCATATGAGTAGGATATGGGTAGCCTCTAGGAGCAGACAGAGTCCCTGGCTGACAGTGCATGAGGAAATAAACAGTTTAGATGGAAGAAACTGGATTCTGCAACAATCTGAATGCGCTTGGAAGTTGATTTTTCCCCAGACCCTCTAGATAAGAATCAAGATAACACCTTGATTTTGGCTTTATTTATTTATTTGAGACACAGTCTCACCCTGTTGCCCAGGCTGGAGTGCAGTGGCATGATCTCTGTTCACTGCAACCTCCGCCTCCTGGGTTCAAACAATTCTGCCACCTCAGCTTCCTGAGTAGCTGGGATTACGGGCACGCGCCAGCACAACCAGGTCATTTTTGTACTTTTAGTAGAGACGGGGTTTCACCATGTTGGCTAGGCTGGTCTTGAAGTCCCGACCTCAGATAATCCGCCTGCCTCGGCCTCCCAAACTGCTGGGATTACAGGCGTGAGCCACGGCTGCGCCCGGCAAATTTTGGCATTATTATTATCATAGATTCTAAACAGAAGACCGAGATGACGTTCCCCAGACTTCTGATCCACAAAGCTGTGATTAACGGGTTTCACTTTAAGCTGGAAAGTTTGTGTCAATTTATTAAAGCAGCAAGAGAAAACTAATACAGACACAGAGGTGAGAGGCCAAAGCAAAGGGAGGAAAGGAATGCTGAATCCCATGGTCATTTCAGTTTTAAGAACCATGAGGATGATTCTGTCTGTGACAAGCTGGACCAAGGAAACTCTCTAGAAGTCTATTGTGCCACAAGCAACAGGATGGCATTTTGTGGTATCTATCTTATTTGGAGCCATTCAAACAACTGCTTTGAAAAAGTAGGAAATTAGGAAAACAATAAAACTTGAATTCTAATATTAAGCCAGATTAGAAGAAAGGACTCTGGACGATGAATTACACCGCAGAGTCATCAAATTTAAGACTAAGTTTGAGGTTATCCTTTCCTCCACTCCGTTTCAGTATCTACTATTTGAAAAACAAACAATTCTAAAACCTAATGGCTTAAGTCAACCATTTATTCTCTCCCAGGATTCAGAAGATAGTTGGGGGTGGTTCTTTCACATGGTGTCAGTTTCAATAGCTGCAAAGGTTCAAAAAAGGCCTCACTTACATGGCTGGCAAGTTGGTGTTGACCATTAGCTGGGGGCTTAGGTGGGCACACTGGCAAGTGTCTTGTATTTGTTTCTGTGGGCATAGGTTGGTCTTTCACAGGATAGTGACTGAGATCCCAGATAAGACTCTGAAGAGGACTAATCCCAACGTGCAAGTGCTTATCAAGTCTCCATTTGCATGATGCTTACTAACATATAATTGGCCCAAGCCAGTCAAATGTCCAGGCCCAATGTCAACATGGGAAGTAAACAGAGTTTATCAGTAAGAGTGGCAGGCACACACAGGAACAGGGTGAATTGCTGAGGATCACTTTTGGACCAGCTACCATTCATCACTTCTTCATAAATTTAAAAAGGTTAAAATCATACAGTGTCTTTTCCAGTAAAAATGAAAAGAAACTAAAAATCAACAAAAGAAGGGACACTGGAAAATAAACAGATATATAGAAATTAAACATGATGCCACAAAACAAAGGATCAGATAAGAAATCATAAAGGAAATGGGAAATTATCTTGAGAAAAACGATTTTATTTTATTTTCATATTTATTTATTTATTTATTTATTTATTTATTTTTGGACGGCATCTCACTCTGTCGCCAAGGCTGGAGTGCAGTGGCACGATCTCGGCTCACTGCAAGCTCTGCCTACCAGGTTCACGCCATTCTCCTGCCTCAGCCTCCCGAGTAGCTGGGACTACTGGTGCTCACCACCACGCCTGGCTAATTTTTTGTATTTTTAGTAGAGACGGGGTTTCACTATATTAGCCTGAATGGTCTCGATCTCCTGACCTCATGATCCACCTGCCTTGGCTTCCCAAAGTGCTGGGATTACAGGCGTGAGCCACCGTGCCTGACTGAAAAATGAAAATTTAAACAACAAAATTTATGGGGAATGACCTTAGCAAGATGGCAGAGTAGGAAACTCTGAACTTCCTCTCCCCAATTAATAAACTGATTCAGCAACAATTCATGAACAAGTTACCTTTGTGAGAAATACAGAAACTGAGTGAAAGGCTCCTGCACCTTGACAGAATGCAAAACAGACGCACTGAAGCTGATATGGAGATTTGAGTTAGTCACCCTCTTGCAGATTCCCTGCCCCTGGTGCAGTACCAGACAATCAGGAAGAGATTTCCTAGCTCCCAGATTCATTCAGGTTGTTCTCCCCTCAGTTGGTTCCCATGTTTAGCACCCCAACTTTTCCAAGGGAGCTCCCCAGAGGACTGGCTTCTGTCTTGCCAGTCTGGGAGCCCTGAGGGGTCTGGTACAATCTAATGATCCAAGAGTGAACAGAGATTGCATTCTGGACTGGTGGATAGCACAGACTCTCCCATATGCTCAGCACAGAGTAAGCAGATTTTAAATAATCTTCTCTCTCAGCCCCCTAGAAAAAGTTGATTCATTCGTGTCCAGCACCCCAACTTCTCGGTAGTTGCCTAAAGAACTATGATTTATCTCACCAGTTCTGGAACTCTGATGAATCCAACATAGTTTAACCCCCTGGGGGAAGATGGAGAAGGTAGCCTGGGCTTGTAGATGCCACAGATCTAGATCTAGAGATAGTCGCCATAGATCCAAGAGTTGATCCAGGACCCCAGCTTCTCTGGGGCTGCTCCAAAAACAGCATCTGTCTTATCAGTCATGAAACTCTGATGAATCTGGCACAGTCTAGTTGCCTATGGGATAATGGAAATGGGAGTTTGGGCTAGTAGACACCATAGCTCACCCTCTCCTCAGCACAGAGCAAGTGAACAAAAATCCCATCTCTCAGATTCACTTGGGAAGGAAAACAGTTGGCAGAGGTTCCCAAATCTCTGGCCAGGCTGAAGGGTGAAGGTCTTCTTCTTTACAAGACCAGGTCATGAAGAATGAAAGAAGTGCCTGCTTTGCCTAATGTGGAAACACCTACACAGAGAGTCAAGGAAAATGAAGAATCAGGCAAAGATCCTCCAAACAAAGGAATAAGATACATTTTCAGAAACCAATCCTAATAAAATAGAGTTAAATAACATACCCCACAGAAAACCGTCACGAAAATGCTCACCAAGGTCAAGAGAATCATAAATGCAGGAAGAGATAGACAACAATACAATAATAGTAGGATATTTTAGTACCGCACTTTTAATGATGAATAGGACATCCAGACAGGAGATCGATAAGGACATAGAGGACTTGAATAACACATAGACCAAATAGACCTAATACACACAGAAGTTTTGGACATATACTACAACAGGAGTGAACCTGAAGGACATTACGGTAAGTGAAATAAGCCAATCACAAAAGACAAATAATATGTGATTTCGCTTAAGTGAGGAACCTAAAGTAGTCAAAATCATAGATAACAGAAGATATAACGGTTGTTGCCAGGAGTTCATAACCCCTGGCAGGGAGGGAAATAGGGGGTTGTTTAATGGGTAAAGAGTTTCAGTTTTGCAAGATGAAGTGAATCCCAGAGATGGATGGTGGTGATATTTGCACAGTATGAATATACTACTTAATGTTAATTAACTATAAAGATGGTTGTGGTGAATGTCTGTATCCCCCCAGATTCGTGTGTTGAAGCCTAACTCCCAATGTGATGTTATTTGGAGGTGAAGACTTCGGGAGGTAATTAGCTTTAGATGAGGCAAATAAGGTAAGACCTCCATGATGGCATTAGTGTTAAGTAGAGGAAGGGAGACTAGAGCTCTCTCTCTCTCTCTCTGAGGATGCAAGGAAAAAGATGCCTTCTATAAACTAGAAAGAAGGTCTTTACCAGCAATCAAATATACCAATTCCATGATTCTTGGCTTCCCAGCCTCTAGAACTATGAGAAACAATTATCTGTTGTTTCAGCCACCCAGCCTTTAGTATTTTGTCATGCAAAGTGACTTAATACAATGGTTTAAAAAAAGATAGAAAGACATACAAAGTGGTATCAATATTGATATCAGGAGGCCAAAGTGGAGGACAATCAAGGAAGTGACAATAGATGAGGTCTATCTCTTCTGTGATAACAAAGACTGGATCATCTACTGCAATGAGAGGCAGAGTACTATAAAGGATCTGAATGTAATTAGAATAAGTTTAGAATTGTTAATTGGTAGATGATAAAGAGAGACAACTGGATCAAGAAAGGAAGTACTAAACTCAGTAAAAGGTCTACACAGGTTTGGAATGGGGCAAGTAGAAATCAGCAATATAATATTTTATGATTTTTCTTTGATATTTGTGAAAGTCCACTGAAGAGCATACCAGTGTGTATGTAATTAATTCTGAAATGACCGTCTTTATGAGAATGTATTAGAAATAACGTGTATTTAGGTTTGTTACATCCTGAAAGTACTTATCATTTACAATTAATTGTTTCCAGGATGTACAAAGTCATTGAAAGCCTAGGACAAATTATATTGAACTCTGTCCCCAAATTGCAGGTATTACTTTTTGAAACTCTTAATAGTTAATAATAAGAGCTACTATTAATGAAATGTTTTATCAGGTTTCAGGGATTCTGCTAAGCACTTTACAAGTGTTAATTCATTTGATTCTTACAAATGTATAAAAGAAGTAAGATTATTCCTAATTTATGTATGAAGAAACTGAAAATTTTGGACTTCTTACAATCTGACATTTATTCTTTATTTTAGGTATTTTTACATAAAATGGCCCTTACTTATTATCTTACGAAGTTTCACTCTTAGGTGAGTTTTTTTTTTTTTTTAACATAAAATGACCCTTACTTATTATCTTATGAAGTTTTACTCTTAGGTGAGTTTTACAAGTAAGGATACACAGGCATAAAGAGAATAGTAACTAGCCCTGGGTCGTACAGCAACTGAGTTTTTGCCAGAGCTCAAGGCCAGACAGTCTGAGTCTAAAGCCTGTTCTCTAAACTCCTCTGTTTCACTGATTCAGGCAGTGAAATACATGGGACAGATGAGCTCTATACTTGGTTCTGACTTGGTGGTACAAAGTCTGTTAACACCATTTTAGCCCTATGTTAGCTTTGCTAAGCCATTTCTTCAACCTATAATTTCTTAGAATAATGTTTAAAAGTATTCTTCCTATAGCATTTGGCCCTTTCCTTTTCCGATGCTAAAAATGTTGATCTTTTTACATTCCTGCCTGCCAGACAGCTTTTATACAGAAAATAGTACCTGTGGCTTTCCTTTGGAGGTGTTTCTCATCATTTAGAGGAACTCCATTTACAGGAGTTCTTACAGAGAAACCACATGGTGCAGATGTCAGTAAGAGGTCATCAAACCTGCCTCCATGGCTGTGGAGCTATTTATGCAGAGTTTGCTTCATTTCAGCTTCTGTTCTTATTGGAGCCAAAAAATGTACGTTCAAGTACTTAAATTTTTCCCATTTTATTTCAATCCTTAAAACTAACTCTTTCATAATATCAGTGAATTCATTCTTTCAAAGGAGAGAGACAGATAAGGAGGATTTCTATACAATTATCAAAGTGATACATAAATTCCCCTGTGGTAAAACAAGCTTATCCATATATCTAGAATAAATAATGTTATATACTTTGTGTTAATCACTAATGAATGTTCTTTTCTTAAAGAATAAATTTTCTTTTACAAATAAGTTTATAAGGTTTATCATTCCTTTGTTTCTTATAATCTGTAATTTAAAAATAAAACCTTTTTCAGATCATTGTAATTTTGTTAATTTAACTGCCTAAATATTGAATCTTATGTCCATACTCTCTTCCCTTGAGCATTTAAAAAATAGAAAGTTCATGTCACTTCATTTACCTCCAAGTCTTGCTCTGATAGAAATGTCTGGTACTTCCCTGGAATTCCATCTCCTGTTCTGTTGCAGTTCTTCTGATAGAATTTTTTGCCTTTTTATTGTTGTTTGAAATCCTGTGTCTGGTCTGGGAACTCGATGTTGAGGTTTCACATCACTAAAATCCACTAGGGTTGGTATGGTTCTGCCAATGCCAGGATTTAAATCAGCATCACCACCAGGACTCATAAACCCTGAACAGGAATCACCTAAGGTCACATCATCCCGAAGTGGAAATAATGGATAATGTGGCCCATATGGTGGGGGATAAGGATCATGTAAATGATAGTCTGGCAAAACTGAAGGGGGATAAGGGTGAAATTTAAGAAAAGCAGGGTTGCATTTCTTTTCAAACCTGCCATAGTTATGTCTGTTCTCAAGACCTTTCACAAAAGGCATGTTCATTTTTCTTAAGAGATCACAATAGTGTGGGTAATCTATATTCTCAACAGTTCCTGAAAGGATGGACCTTTTAGAGATACTTATCTTTCCAGGTGTGTCCTGAATTTCTACATCCATGGCCTTTTTCTTTAGAATTTTTGATAACTATAAAGTATTTCTGATAATTCCTTTATATTTAACTATATAAACTCTATTGCCAATAACTAAAGATCTGTGTTAAACTAGTATAAAATTGACACAGCTTTCTAAATGTTGGCAGATAATTTTGTTTTTCTTTTTAAGGCAAATATTTTCCTCCACCAAAGGAAGAATAGGGCAATGAAGGAACATGACATAAGGAGAATAAAGCAGAGCCCTTGTTGCCTGGCAACGGCTAGAATTCTTAACACATTGAACCATTTATTATGTACATCACAATTCTTAAGAAAAACAAAAATAGCCTTGGTACTAATATTTCCATGATACTTTTCTCCCCAGTGCTCAGGAAAGCTGTGTTCATTTACTTATTTTAAAATTTTTCCATAAGTTGGTATTTTATGGGTATAAAATATATTTAAGGAGTGTAAATAAAGCAGTTAATTCAGTGACAATACATTTCTCAAAAGTATATATGTGACTACAATTAAGTATTTATATATATAACACTTGCTATCTAATTAAATGTAAATCTAAATGCACTACAAAATATAAACATTACTAAAGTTAAATTGGTACATCTAATTTTTTTTTTTTGGTGGAGTCTCACTCTGTCGCCTAGGCTGGAGTGCAGTGGTGTGATCTTGGCTCACTGCAAGCTCCGCCTCCCAGGTTCACGCCATTCTCCTGCCTCAGCCTCCCAAGCAGCTGGGACTGCAGGCGCCCGCCACCATGCCCGGCTAATTTTTTGTATTTTTAGTAGAGATGGGGTTTCACTGTGTTAGCCAGGATGGTCTCGATCTCCTGACCTTGTGATCTGCCCGCCTCGGCCTCCCAAAGTGCTGGGATTACAGGTGTGAGCCACTGTGCCCAGCCCTAGTATATCTAATTTTTAAGAAAAACAGAAAATTATAATGAAAGTACAGGTACATCTTTACATGCCCTAAATTATCTTTACTTCCCTTAAATTTGCCATGGTGTCCAGAGTAAGAACAGTAAGAGTTTTAAGTTCATTTTAGGAAACCACAATGGGTATCAGTTAACTGTCTACACACAAAATATCATTTAAATCACTAATGTATTGGTTCACTTAAAAGCTCTTTCACCTGGATAATTTCATCTTGCATGAACTACTATAAGAGGAAATGCAAATATTAGAATTTGGGGTAAAAGTTCACATCATCCTTACTGCAGCAAAAATGTTAAAACAGGCAAGATTCTAGCTTTGAAGAGTCAGGCACATAATCGTTAATCAGGCCAACTGTCAAGGGTGATATGTTTGGTACAATCAGAATGCCTATGCCCCATTGAAAGTCTTTACAATTTTGAGATATACTATTAAACAAGTGAGATTAAATTAGGTGGTTAGGCTGTCAGTTTTAAATCCTTCATCCAGATCATAGCATATCAAGTGACAGTTTTTAGTCCACCCATGATCACTCATTTCTTCATATCAAAAGTGATAACTCACTTGTAATTAGGCATTCTACATTTAGTTGCTCAAACTTCATTCTTCAATGTATTTAAACCAACTGCTTAAGATTTATTTCTATCACAGCTCTGCTCCCATTAAGTAAATCCTTCCAGCAGCAGAAAAGTAGAGGCATGAGTCTCTTTCAATTTCTCTAAAACAAGTTCTAGCTATAAATGGCCTCTTAGGCTGTGTATGGGAAAATAATAACCCCCATAACTTTGTACTTAGAATGGATCCTTTACAAGAGACAGATTAACAAGAGAAAAACAGATGTTTATTAATATATTTCATTTATATATGAGGAACACCCAGAGAATGAGTAGTTCTCAAAGAAGCGTCTTTGAATTCCAGCTTGTATAGCATCTTCAACAAAGACTAGGAAATTTTTAGAGATGTGACAAAGGAAAAGGACTCTGAGTCTCTACAGGCAGTAACTTGGGCTAAGCAAACAAATAGCAGACAAAAGATGGTTTAAAAAAAGCTAATATTAATTCCTCTGATATCATTTCAAGGCTAATGAGGGTCTGACGCTGTCTTCAGTGGTTAACCTTTGTTCTCCCTGGTAAAGGAGTGGGGCAGGATACCTTTTCTCTTTCTAATCTATGTCTTGCTTCTGGGTAAAAAGAGGGCAGGTGGACAGCTCTCCTGCATCTGCTGGTTCTTGTCTTCAGGGCAGCAATCCTTCATATTTGAGAAGGTATATTCTGGTCTCCCACACAGGATAGATGGTTTTGTATGTTTTGCTGAATTTAGGTGACACTATAAGATGATCTTCCGGTCTATTTTAGAAAGTAAATTTCATCTATGGTTATTTCCTCTGTCCTTCCATCAAGCTTCTTTCTGAGGCTAAAGGCCTTACTTACCTTTAATTCCCACTAAGTGTGTATTGCATTTATCTCCCAATTAAGTTCCACACATCCATAAAATACTATCTGCTGACATTACTAGATCAAAGCAGTCCACTGAGGGCTTTACACGTCTTAACTCATGCATTCTCACTATCTGTTGTTCGAAACTGGGCCCCACATCTACCACCTGGCTCATAAAAAGGGCTTTTCGATCATAAACGCTATGCAAAGGTAAAAGCACGGGATTTGGGGCCCAACGATTCTCTCTCAGCTCTAGGATCTTGGACAAATCACTGATGTTCTTGAGGATGCCCTGCGTGGCTGTGTTGTCCTGAAGGCCCGGGGGCTGCACAGCACAGTTGGCGCGTGTAGGCCCCACCAGCTATGTGGAGACACAGGCTGACCCCTAGTCTACCACCCCGGCGGAAGTGGGAGCACGTCCATCAGGTCCGTTGTTCCGGTCCTCCGCCCGCCAACTTCCGGCTGCAGGTGGGCGCGCGTTGCCTAACGACCTTCCGCGCGGACGGTGGGCAGGCGACGGCGGCGTGTGGATGGAGGCCTTCGCCCTTGGCCCAGCGCGGCGGGGCAGGCGGCGGACCCGGGCCGCCGGCTCCCTGCTCTCTCGGGCCGCCATCCTCCTCTTTATCTCCGCCTTCCTGGTGCGGGTGCCCTCATCAGGTGAGGGTCCGCGCCGCCCTGCCGGCTCCGCAGGGACAACCGCAGCTTCCCCCACTCTTCGAATTGCCTTTTCTTGTGTCACGTGCATCCGTTTTATATAGAGACACCTTGCTCACTAATACGTGACAAGAAAGGCTTATTTTTTATGGAAGTCGTACAAAGTCACTCTGCATTTGCATAGAGGAGTGAATGACAGGAAATTAAGGTATAGATGGATCACTACGTCACCCACAGTTGAAGTTTTACAATTAAATTGCTTTGTTGATAAACTCCCCAATTCAGTCCATGGGTCATCTGCCAGGTTTGCATTTCAGTGTGTGAACTCTGTAATGATGAGATCAGTGTCTTTCAAATAGGCAACCTGCTGCTTTCAAATTATCCGTGATGGTGGAGCGCCATCTATTGGTTTTAGCTGTGAAATACAGGAAATAATGCGATTTTAAAGTTTTGACCTCTAAAGAATTGAAGTACTTTTCTATACTGTTTTAAAAATACATGTAAGATACTGATGAACAAACACTGACGAAGGATGTGAAAGTTTAATTGAACTGTTATTTAACTAGAAAGGTTTTGGCTGCATTCTAGACTCAAAATTCTAGACCCAAAATTGATAAAATCACAGAGATTTGCTTCAAATGAAAAAAGTTGTTCAAATAAGGAATAATGAAAAAAAGAAGTCCTCCAAGAATATAAATGTAAAAGGTTTGTGGAGGTAGGTAGGGGATAGGGGAGGAGAAAGGAAACAAATGGAGTGAATAGAGATTTAAAAATCAAAGTCCAGGCATCAGGAATCCAAAGATTATTCTTCTATAAGTATATGAATAGCCGATAGCCATCAATTGCCATGTAGGAGAAAGATGCTTCTTGGATATGGGTCGTGGTCGTGTATTAGGTGTGAAAGGGTTTTTATTTTAAATTTTTACCTGGTGATCTTTTGATGAAATAATAAGATTAGACCTATGAGATATAAGAAATAGAATAAGCAGTTAGTATCTTGTAAGTGATGAATAGTGAAGGCCTCTTATATAGCATTTTACAATTTATACAGTATTCTCATTTTCTACAGTAACTGTAAGGATGGAATTATTATTAGTCCCATTTTACATATAAGAAAACTGAAGCTCCTAGAGTTTAAAGTGATTTTCCTAAAACCAGTAAGTGGCAGAATTAGGATTTAAACTCAAGTCCTCTGGCTTTGATACCACATCCTTTTCTTTGCACTTTGCTATTCCTGTCTGCTAAAGGCTATTTGGGTATAATGCTTTATTGCATTTTTATACTGCCCCTCACACTATTATGCCCATCACATTTGCTCATTTAACAATGAAGACTATCAGAATATGTTTCACAATTATTATTTAATATTTACAATGTGCAAGGTATAGTGTTTGATACTGATTCTTGATAAGTTAACATAAACATTGATCCCACTATCAATGGAGCTTATAATCTAATAAGGAAAATGGTATGTGTGTATCAAGAACTATAGTATAAGCCGATGTCTACAAGGGTTTTTCTGATATTATCTTCTAGAATTTTTATAGTTTCAGGTCCTAGATTTAAGTCCTTAATTCATCTTGAGTTGATTTTTATGTAAGGTGAGAGATGAGGATCCAGTTTCATTCTTCTGCATGTGGCTTTCCAATTATCCCAGCACCATTTAGGCAAAGATTTCATGTCCAAGAACCCAAAAGCAAATGCAACAAAAACAAGGACAAATATGTCGGACTTAATTAAACTAAAGAGCTTTTGCACAGCAAACGGAACAGTCAGCAGAGTAAACAGACAACCCACAGAATGGGAGAAAACCTTCACAATATATACATCTGGCAAAGGACTAATATCTGGAATCTATATCTAGAATCTACAAGGAACTCAAACAAATTAGCATGAAAAAAAACCCCAACAGTCCCATCAAAAAGTGGGCTAAGGACATGAATAGGCAGTTCTCAAAAGAAGATATACAAATGGCCAACAAACATATGAAAAAATGCTCAACATCACTAGTTATCAGAGAAATGCAAATCAAAACCACAATGTGATATCACCTTACTCTCGCAAGAATGGCCATAATCAAAAAATAAAAAAAAAAATAGATGTTGGTGTGGATGCAGTGAAAAGGGAACACTTCTACACTGCTGGTGGGAATGTAAACTAGTACAACCACTATGGAAAATTGTGGAGATTCCCTAAAGAACTGAAAGTAGAACTACCACTGGATCCAGCAGTCCAACTACTGGTGTCTACCCGGAGGAAAATAAGTCATTATATGAAAAAGGTACTTGCACACACACGTTGATAGCAGCACAATTCACAGTTGCAAAAACATGGAACCAGCCCAAATGCCCATCAGTCAATGAGTGGATAAAGAAACTGTGGTGTATGGTATATGTGTATATATATATGTGTGTGTGTGTGTGCATGTGTGTGTGTATATATATACACATATATACACATATATACGCATATATACGCATATATATACACAAATATATACACATATATATGCATATATATGCACACATATATACACACATATATATACACATATATACACATATATATACACTCATATACACACACACACACACAAACATAAATATATATATGGAATACTACTCAACTATAAAAAGGAATGGATTAATGGCACTTGCAGCAACCTGGATGGGATTGGAGACTATTATTCTAAGTGAAGTAACTCAGGAATGCA
Organism: Homo sapiens; assembly: GCF_000001405.40. Classification (NCBI taxonomy): domain Eukaryota; kingdom Metazoa; phylum Chordata; class Mammalia; order Primates; family Hominidae; genus Homo; species Homo sapiens. The sequence continues at coordinate 50,090,357 of NC_000007.14, read as the reverse complement.
AAACCAAACATTATATGTTCTCATTTATAAGTGGGAGCTAAGCTATGAGGATGCAAAGGCATGAGAATGATACAATGGTCTTTGGGGACTCGGGGGTGGGAGAAACGGTGGGATGGGGGTGAGGGATAAAAGACTACAAATTGGGTTTAGTGTTTATTATGTGATGGGTATACCAAAATCTCAAAAATCCTTACTAAAGAATTTATGTAACCGAATACCACCTGTTCCTCCAAAACTTAAGGAAATTAAAAACAAAGAACTATAGTACAATGTAGAATGAGTGTTATTAAAAAGGTGCTGGTGATGTACTGTGGCAGATAAGAAGTGCTAAGGACAAACGAGGTTTGAAGGAGAAGGGACTTGTGATTTGGGTCTTGAATGGTGGGAGATTTGAACTTCTAATAATGAAGAGATTATTCTAAATGGCTTTAGAAAAAATCAGAGGTGAGATATAATATGGAGAAGCAGTACGTAGATTAAATTTATCAGATCATCTGAGGGGGAATAGAGTTGGAACAGTGATATCAACTGTCAGAGGAGATTGAATTATGGCTCTCCCCTTCAACCAATACCAAAGATACTGTAATAGTATATTTGAATATTTTAGAATATCTAATGAGACAAATTGTTGATCTTTTTTTTTGATAGTTGGACACTTGGTTCGATTACCAAGAGCTTTTCGCTTGACCAAAGATTCAGTGAAAATAGTGGGATCAACAAGTTTTCCAGGTATTCATAAATATATTTTCACTAATTTTTAAAAGTTATTAGCATTTGTTTAAATTTATCAGTCTTCTCCAAAAGGCTAATGCTCTTCATTTATCCTAGTCTCCTAAGGCCCTTTTCTTTCTACAGAAGTGGATTAAAGTTGTTTGCATATGGTTAGACTCATCCAGTTCTAATACTATATGCTATAACTACATAAGTATACAAAGAATAATTATTTCTAAAAGTTATCTAAAGTTGCCTGTGTGGATTTTTATTATATAATAATTAGCTATAATATTAAATGTATATAGTGCAAATATGGTAATACAAATCATACATATTTTGGATTCAAAGATTTGCAGTAGTCACATGAAGTATGGCAACTACAACTTGTTTTGGTGGTTTTTAAGTTGTGGCAAATTCACATGCCATAAAATTCTTCCTTTAAAGTGCACAATTCAATTGTTTTTAGTATATTGACAAGATTAGGCAACCATTGCCCCTATGTAATTTTACAACATTTTCATCACCCCAAAAAGAAAGACCTAATCCATTATGCAATCATTCTTCAGCCCTGAAAACTACTTATCTACTTTCTGTCTCTATAGGTTTGCCTGTTCTGGAAATTTCATATAAATGGAGTCATACACTATGTGCCCTTTTGTGTCTGTCTTTCACTTAGTATGACGTTTTTGAGGTTCAGCCATGTTATAGAGTGCATCAATACTTCATTCCTTTTTAGGGTGGGATAATACTCACTTCTCTACCTATGAGTAACTCTATGTTTAATATTTTGAGGAGCTGCCAAACTATTTTTTAAAGAGCCTAAGCTATTTTACTTTCACACCAGCAATGTATGAGGGTTCAGATTTTCCAATATCCTAAACATTGTTATTATCCATCTTCTTTTTTTATAGCTATCCTAGTATGTGTAAACTGGTATCATTGTGGTTTTGATTTGCATTTCCCTAATGACTAATGATGTTGTAACTCTTCATGTGCTTTGTGGCTGTATGGATATGTCATTTGTAGAAATGCCTATTCAAGTCCTTTGCCCGTTTTTAAATTTGGTGGTTTTCTTTTTGTTGTTGAATTATAGAGTTCTTTATATATTCTATATATTGGATACATGATTTGCAAATATTTTTCCCATTCAGTGGATTGTGTTTTCACTTTCTTAATGTGTTCTTTGAAGCATATGTTTTAAACTTTGATAAAGAAGTCTAATTTCTATTTTTTATTTGGTGCTGGTGCTTCAGGTATCATATCTAAGAAATTATTGCCTAATCACTGGTCACAAAGTGTTATTCCTATGTTTCTTTATAAGAATGTTGTAGTTTTAACTCTGACATTTAGGCCTCTGATCTATTTTGAATTAATTTTTGCATATGGTGCAAGGTAGAGGTCATGCTCATTCTTTAGCACATGGCTATCGAGTTGTTTTATCACCATTTGTTGAAGCGATTATTCTTTTTCTTTGCAATTGGCTTGGCACTCGTATTGAAAAGCAGTTGGCCCCAGATGTATGGGTTTATTTTTGGACTTTAAATTCTATACCATTGATTTATATGTCTGTTCTTATGCTGATACTTTGCTATCTTGATTATTGTTGCTTATAATAAGTTTTGAAATCATTAAGTGTGAGTCCTTCAAATTTGTTCTTTTCAAGATTGCTTTGTCTTCCCTGGGTCCCTTGCAATTCCATATTAATTCTAGAATCAGCTTGTCAATTTCTGCAAAAAAGTCTATTGAGATTTTAACAGGGATTTCATTGAATCTGTAGATCAATTTTAGGAGTATTGTCGCCTTAACAATATTAAGTCTTTCAATCTATGAACTTGGGGGGTCTTTCCATTATTTCAATTTATTTAGATCTTTAATTTCCCTCAATTATATTTTATAGTTTTCAGTATGCAAGTGTTACATTTCTTCTGTTAAATTTACTCCTAAATATTTTATTACTTTCAATGCTATTGTAAATGAATGGTTTTATTTAGTTAGTTTTTGGATTGTTCATTGCTAGCATAAAGAAACACAATTGATATTTTCATACTGATGTTGTGTAAAACCGATATAAGTTTTCACCCTTAAGTATGATGTTATCTGTGAGTTTTTTGTAGATGCCCTTTATCAGGTTTAGGGAGTTCCCCTCAATTCCTAGTTTGTTGAGTTCTTTTATTGTGAAAGGGGTTGAATTTTGCTAAATGCTTTTTCTCCATGTATGGCGACGATAATGTGTTTTTTGTTCTTTATCTTGTTAATATGATGCATCACATTGATTTTTGTATTTTGAACTTGCTTTGCATTCCTGGGATAAATTCCAGTTGATTATGATGTATAATCCTTTCTTATGTTGCTAGATTTGGTTGCTAGTGTTTTTAGGATTTTTATGGCTATGTTCATAAGGAAAATTGGTCTGTAAATTTCTTGTGATGCCTTTGATTTTGGCTTCATAGAACAAGTTGGTATGTAATGACCTCCTCTTCTATCTTTTGGAAGAGTTTGTGAAGGATTGTTGTTAATTCTGTTAATTGTTTGGTAAAATTCACCAGTGAATTCATTTGGTGCTGGACTTTTCCTTTTGGGAGGTTTTTTGATTACCAGTTTAATCACTCATTTAAGGCCTATTCAGACTTTCTATTTCATTATGACTTTTTATGAGAAACTATTAATCAAAGGTTACTTGTGTGGGATAAGTTGCTTCTCTCTTGCTACTGTCAAGATTATCTCCTTGTTTATGGATTTTGTCAGTTTGATTATGATGTGTCTGGCTATGGATTTCCTTTAAGTTTATCATAATTGGAGTTAATTGAATTCTTGGATACGTGGATTCATGTTTTCAATCAAATTTGGGATTTTTTGCGATTATTAAAAAAATTCTTTTTCTCTCTCTCCCCTCCTTCAGGACTCTGATTATGCATACATTGATATGCTTAATGGTTTTTCACAGGTCTCTGAGTTATTGATCTTTATTCTTTTTTTCTTTTTCTCAGACTGGGTAATCCCATGTTGACCTATCTTCAAGTTTGCAGATTCTTCTGCCTTCTCAGTTTGCTATTGATTCCTTCTAGTTAATTTCCCATTTCAGTTATTGTACTGTTTAATCTGCAGTTTATTAAAAATAATTTTTGTATCTTTATTGATATCTTCTACTTGGAATATCACACATTCTTTATTACATTTAGACATGGTTTTCTTTGATCATATATAAAATATCTAACTTAAAATATTTATCCAGTAAGTTCAACCTAATGATCTTTCTCCAATATTTGGCCTTCCTTGGAGTCTGTTTCAGTGGGCTACCTTTTTATGCATATGGCCATATTTTCTTGGGTTTCTGCATGTCTCATATTTTTAGTTGAAAACTTGACATTTATAATAGTATAACATAGCAACACTGGAAATAAGATTCTTTCTACTTCCCAGAGTGTGATGTTGTTGCTGTTTGCTGATATCGTGTATTTGTTCAGTGAGTTTCTGAACTAACTGTGTAAGTTATGTATTCTTTATCCCATAACCACTGAAATCTCTGCTTAATTAGCTTAGTTAGGCTAATGATTGGACAGAGTTTTCATTAAACATCTTGAACTAGTTAGTCTCCTAGTCTTTGCTGAGGGTGTCTTTGTGCACGTTGTGACGTACCTTTCAGATAGTTGGCAACTCTACCTTATCATTCACTTTATGCCGTGCAGAACCTCAATTTCAGCCAAAAGAGAGAACTTAAGGCCTCTTCATCTTTACTGAGAATACAGATTGTTCTGGGCATGTACACAGTCTTTTGCATGCATGTGTCCTGCTAACTTTTTCAGGAATGTTCAGAACAAGTCAAAGTTCCTGTGGATATGACATTCCCCAGCTTTTCCTCTTAAGGTTTTTGGTTAACCTATTGTTTTCCCCAATTGTTGCTCAGTGTATCAGGCAGTCACAAAGTTAAATGAGGGCCTCTAATTGTTTTTAACGAATTCTTTTGGGGAAAAGGCTTTGTGCAGTAGGCAAAGTCCAAATCAGGTCAAGTACGGGCAGCCTTTAATACGAGGTCTTCCAGGATGTTGACTGACAGTTCGCATACTGATAGTACTCTGGGAGGGAGGCTTTGAAGGCATTCTTACCATGCCTGCCCCCTTCATTGGCTGCCAGGCTGCTGGTTCTCACTGTGATTGTAAACTGTTGGTTGTCATGGCTCCTTATTGCAGAGCTGGAGAAGGAGGCATGGGAATCAGGCACGTTAAAATACTACAAGCTCACTGTTCCTACTGATTTTAATTAGTTCCTTAGGGATGCTGGAACAAAAGAACCACAGACAGGGTGGCTTAAACAACAGAAATTACTGTCTTACAGTTATAGAGGCTAGAAATCAAAAATCAAAGTATTGGCAGAGTTGGTTTCTTCTGAAGACTTTGAAGAAAGAATCTGTTCCAGATATTTGTCTTTGGCTTTTAGATTGCCATCTTTTCCCTATCACTCTGTATCCTCTTCCCTCTGTATTTGTCTGTGTTTCCAAATTTCCCCTTTTTATAAGGAGATCAGTCATATTGGATTTGTACTCAGCCTGATGACTTCATTTTAACCTGACTTCCTCAGTAAAGACTATTTCTAAATAAGTTTATATCCTGAAGTACTGGAGATTAGGACTTCAACATATTAATAAGAGAGGGAGGACACAATCAACCCATAAATCAGATCCAGTTGTTTTTCTAGAATAAATGTTTTCTGGATTGCTGTATTTGATTAATTTTGAGTTTGAGTTCTGGAAATGTTTTTTCTGATAATTTCTACACTTTTCCTCATGACTTTTATGAAGGAGGTAATTTTTGGAGTTCCTTATTCTGCCATTTGTATTGATCTCCCCAATGACAACTTTTAAAGCTGAATTATAAAACGTTATCTGGGTAACTAATTTCCCTTTCATTTTCTTTTATTGTATAATATTAAATTTATTCTTAAAATAGATTACCATTCCAATTGACTAGGTAGTTCTTATATCACTGAGTAGATTATTATATGATATTTCATTGGTTTTGGCCCATAATATACTGACTGCATGATTTTTTGTGCCCACCATTTCTTCTGTCATGTAAGGTCTTGGCATCTGTCTGTGTTGGCCACTTTTCAGATTTGTGACCCTCTTTTTAACTCGTTCGCCTTTTACATATTCTTTTCAGTTCAGTTAGTTTTCCATTTTCATTAATTCATGTATTAATTAATTCACTGAGCCTTTATTTACATTTTGTTGAACTTTTAGTTTATTCTGTTTTTTTGGTGTATGTAATAAATACCATTTTGTATTTTTTTTTTTTTTGGTACATGTTCAGAAGTTTTCTGGGACTGTATTATCCAGGAGAAGAGGTTTTAGCATCATAGGACCTGAGCATTCTCATTCTCACTAACTTTGCTCTTCAAAAAGGCTGCACCAGTTCACACTTCCTTCAGTGGTGCTTGAGGGGGTCCCATTTTCCCACATCCTTATCAGCACAAAATTTTACCCAACTTTTTCCATTTTTGGTAAGCTGAAGATTAAGTTGCCTCTACCCATTCTTTTCTTTGTTGTTTTCAAAGGAGTTCTTTTTCATATTGTTTATATTCCAGTTATAAATGCATTATTAACTTTGTTGCAAATATCCTCTCCCTACAGTCAAATTTGTTAACTTTGCCTATGTTATACAGGATCAAACAGAAAGTGTTACCATTTAAGAAGTTGAGTTCAGTATTTTTATATTTGTGCTTTTTGCATTGAGATAATTTTCTATAACTGGTTCAGACATAAAGGTATTATTTTCTTTAAATAATTACTTGCCTTCAGTTATTCAGTGTACCTGGAATTTATTTTTATATACGGTAAGAGGTATAAATCTAAGTTTACATTTGCATGTATTTTGAGATAACTTTTAACTATAATTTATTGATAATCTATATTTTCTCCAGTGATTTTAGGTACCTTGTCTACCACATATATATCAGTTATTTATGCCAATTTGATTTTTTCCCTAGACCCATTATTTGTTCCTACACCAGGCCTCTCTTTTTTTATTTAGTGTAAATGTTAATATATCTCAGTAACTCTTATTGCTAGTCCCTCCTCTTTGCTTTTCTGTTATAGAATTCTTTCAGATATTTATGAAGCTTTAATCTTCCAAATGGATTTTAGAATCAGTATTGAAGAGCTTCTTAAATAATTTCTTCTGGGATTTTGCTTATGTGTTGATAAATAAATTTGGGAATAAATTGACATCTTTAAAGTTATGTGTATGCAGTCATGATTATGGCATTTTGGTCTAATTTTATGTCTTTTGTTAGAGCCTGAAGATGTTTCCCACAGAGGTCTTACTTGATTATAGAGTGACTTTTGTTTATTGTACTCTAAATATTATCTTCCTTCCTATAAAATGGTTTAATGCATTATTGTTGATGTAGAGGAATATTATTTGTTTTTGTATGTTGATCTTGCATTGGGAAACTCTTCTGGATTCATTTATATTTGCTGTGAAATAGGTACAGGGGTTAGTGGGGGCGAGAGGAAGGGTACAGTCATGGTATGAGGTACTGTCAAGCCAAAGCACAAAGGATATACTTATGCTGAGTCTCCAAAGATGAGGAGGAATTTATATCAATAAAATCACAAAAGAATGATGCTGTGTGCTGCTGTGGCGTGGTTAGGGCAGAGGGTGTGAAAAGAGGTATAGTGAGATATATGCAAAAGATCATGGAGAGTAGGGCCAGTAAATCATGCTGAGGAGTGAAAATTTATGGGGTAAGCATTTATTAAAGAAGTTAGGCAATCTATTAATGCAAGCATTTCATTAAAGTACTCAAAAAGAAAAAAATCACCTCAATCAATATAGAACAAACATTTCTTAAAATTCAGTGCTGATTTATGTTTATGATAAAAACAAATAACCAAGAACAGAGGGGATCTTTCTTAACCTGTGGAAGGGTATGTACCTAAAAGTACATTCAATAAACATCATGCTTTATGGTAAAACTTTAGAGGAAGTCTCTTAAAAGTCAAAGAGAATTTTGATTCTCTTTATTTTACTCGATCACAGAAATCTTTGTATACAGTGTATCAGTGAAGAGTTGGCATGCAGAGTCTAAAGGGTTGTTGCAACCTTTCCTAAAAGTTTACTTATGAGTAAACTTAAAATAATGGAATCTTTACCGGGTTCCTTTTGTATCTCCTAAAGGATACTATTTTTGCTTACTTATCAGGATTTAAATTTCAAAGCAAATGGAACAAAATGCTTTAATATTTAAAATCAATAAAAGCATAAATTTGCTAACTTTTTAATCACTTTATCATTTTTATTCAGTACATCATGCTACATCATTGTGAATAATGCATTATTCTGCTAATCTAAACAATTTTTAAGCTCTAATCATGTTTGGTGTCTTTACAAAACAGATAAAGTGTAGATATAGTATTATCTTAATACTTTGTTATTGAAATAATATTCTGAGAATAAAACAGGTTAGTGTATATGAGCTCTGAATGAAAAGTACTAACACATTATGCTAAGGTTGGGGATACATGTACACACACATACATGCATACACATATATACATACAAATACATAATATATTTTTAATGTTAATTGCATAGAATGCAATGAAATTTAGTTTTTATCAAGTAATAGGAGCAATAATTCAAAGTACTCTTATTATTGCATGTAACCCAAACTACAAAAGTGTACATTATAGAGAAAGAAAAGAAGATAAAATACTATTGGAACATTTTAAATATTGTATTTTCAGTGAAAGCGTATGTCATGCTCCATCAAAAGAGTCCACACGTGTTATGTGTAACGCAACAACTGCGAAATGCTGAACTGATAGACCCATCATTCCAATGGTATGGGCCTAAAGGAAAAGTTGTTTCAGGTAGGATTTTGTTTCAATTATTGTAATTAAATAAATGTATCTGAATTGTGTGCAACACAAAAAGAATGTTTGTATCTCATACATATTTATGTTATTTCCTCAATTCTTTTTCTTGTGATTTCCTTTTGGAGTTAGAGCTAACAATGTAGATAGTGTTCCCATTTTTACATATTTTATTTTGATACAGGGACATACTCTAAGAATGAACTGTTTGGGGGGTTCTCAAAGCATCTATAATCCCCCAAAGTTACTTTTTCTCACTTAAAAAATACTGTTTGTATGACTGATTTGATCAGTATTTCCTCTAGTCAACTTCTTGTTTTTTAATCCTGAAATACAGATTTTACTTTTTACTTTTATTCTAATTTTTTGATTGGATAAAAGCTGATTTTTAACACTGTAGTTTTAAAAAACTACAGTTAACTTAGCTGGCTTTGTTTCTTGCCTTGCAAAAAATATAGATTAATGAATTTTCATTTTGAAGATCTGTTCAGTCATTTTTGCATACCCTCAGAGAAAGTTTTCCTTTATTGCTCTATTTACCATGTTTTCTTTCCTTTCTTTTTAAAAATCTTATTGCTATTTTGAGATCGTGCCTGTGGATAGAAACTTACAGGCTTATTTTATTTTCTTGGATGAAGGAGAGCAATATATTTATACAAAGACTTGCTAAAGAAACATAGGAAATACTAATTTTTAATATGTTTTAATTCATATTTATATAGCTAAGAGATCTCAGCTGTATGTTTCTGTGGTATTTATGTTGATACAAAAATAGGTAATTTTAAAGAATTAATCTCCTCTTTGGGTCAGTCTGTGTTTTTCTTAGGACAAATTATTCATCATTCATTTAGTGAATGACTACTTGGTGGAAGCCGCTGTGCTAGGTTTTATGGGGGATAGAAAGATCAGACATAACCTCTGCCTCACTACACTAGCAAAGTAGGAACGATTGTGCAATTTGTTCATGGGATCAGCAGGGCTCAACAACAGAAATTCTAATAAGTTTTGCAGCTTATATAATCAGAGAAGTGATCCAGGCGTAAAAGCACCCAGTAGTGGAAATACAATCAAATTTTATTTTTATCACTCTCTAATAGTAGCACATAATGTAATAGAAACATGTGTTTTAAATATGTTTTACATTTTATATTGAAACTCTGCAAGTTGAAATATAGAAACATTTAAGCATTGAATTTTTTATTGTCATTTTTTGCTCGTTTGATTTGGAAATTGAAATTTGAAATTTTTTCTTCTCCGAGGTGCAACGCCAGGTCTTGCAGTTTATATTGCAAAATATAGTATGAAATTCAATTTATCCTTTAAGTAGGAGCAATATTTATTTTACTCACTCTTATAATAGAAAAGTAGGTATTGATAAATGTAGTTATTTCCAGGTAAAGATATAATCCTGTTACTACATTGGTTTTTATCTTTATAAAAACTGTTCTCAGGGAATTCTGGTATTTTAACTTTATGATTATATTATGGTTTTCAATACAGTATTTTATCATAGGTCACTCTCTACCAGTTGTAAAACTTATTAAGAACACTATACTTTTTATTTCAGAAAGGACTGGAAGAGGTCTAATGTCTTAAAGTTTGAAGAACAGAGAAGCTTTTTGGACTGTAGTTTAAACTGCACTGTACTTATCATTTTATGGATATCTCAAAGATAGTTTCCCTTGATTTGAGCCAAATAAATCATGTAATTATGTGATTACTTGTACATTCCTTTGGAGAAAATACTCAAGTTGTTTAGATGTGTTATGAAACATAGGGAGCAAGTCTTATATTTGGTGTCTCTCTTTTTCTCTGTTTCTTGAAAATTTAGTATTGTTTATTTACAAAGGTAATTGCATTTATTGCAACAAGTTCTGTACCTCCCACTCTGACCCTAATACTGTTCTGATGAATTAACTCTTTTTGGTGTGGGGACTTTTCCTGCTTTTCTAAATATTCACACAAACATGTATAAGTACTCACACATGTGTTCAGCTTTCCTACATCAAGCTATTAACATATCATTTACCTTACATAGTTGCCATTTTGTGTGTGTGTGGTGAGAACATTTGAGATTTACTCTCATAAAATTTCAAGTATACAATACATTATTGTTAACTGTATTTACCATTCTATACATTAGGTCTCCTGAACTTATTCATCTTATAACTGAAATTTTATACTCTTGGACCAAGAACCACATGTCTCCAACCCCCCAGTCCCTGGTAACCACCATTCTACCCTATATTTGTGGTAGGGTGGAGTGTGAATGTGACTTTTGTATGAGTATTAGTGTGACTTTTTTAGATTCCACATATTTCAGTTTCTGCCTTATTTTACTTAGCACAGTGAATTTTATAAAAATAATAAATACATAAGATTACTATGTGTCAGATATTATTCTAACAATTTACACATATTAATTTTAACAATGACCTTTTGCAGTAATTACAGCCACTTTCTCCATTTTATAAATGGGAAAACAAAAGCATTAAGAGAATAAGGTACTTTCCTAAAGTCATTATGTCTGAAGTCTTTTATCAGAGTTCATAGATATAATCTCAATGAGGTAGGAACACACCATTTTATGAATTTTGGTAGATTGTATCTTTCAAGGAATTTGTCCAACATTGGATTTTTAAATGTGTTGTATTTATATGCATAAAGTAGTTTGTAATATTTTGTGTTATCTCTTTATAGATAACAGATTTCTGGTTTTCAGAATCTATAGGGATGTGTCCTCATTCACTCCTGATGTTGGTTGTGTCTTCTCTCTCTTTTTTTTTGTTCTCTCTTACTAGTTATGTTGAGTATCTTTTCGTATGCTTGTTGTCCACATGTTTCACTTCTTTTGAGAAGTGTCTATTCATGTCTTTTGCCCATTTTTTAGTGGAGTTGCTTGATTTTTGTTTGTTTTGTTAAGTTCCTTATAGATTCTGGTTATTAGACTTCATGGGAGGCATAGTTTGCAAACATTTTCTCCCATTCTGTAGGTTGTTTGTTTACTTTGTTGATAGTTTCTTTTACTATGCAGAGCTCCTTAGTTTAATTAGTTTCCACTTGTCTGTTTTTGTTTGTCTTGCAATTGCTTTTGGAGTCTTGTTCATGAAAGCTTTGCCAGTGCCTATGTTCAGAGTGGTGTTTCCTAGATTTTCTTTTAGTATTTTTATTGTTTTAGGTCTTACACTTAAGTCTTTTAAAAATTTTTCTTAAGAATATTATTTTTTTTTAATTTTAGGTACATAGTAGGTGTATATATGTATGGGGTGGATAAGATGTTTTGATACAGGCAGTTAATGTGAAATAAGCACATCATGGAGAATGGGGTATCCATCCCCTAAAGCATTTATTCCTTAGGTTATAAATATTCCAATTACATTCTTTAAGTTATTTTAATATATGCAATTAAGTTATTATTGACTATAGTCATCCTGTTGTGCTATCAAATAGTAGGTCTTATTCATTTTTTCTATTTTTTGGTACCCATTAATCATCCCCACTTCCCCCTAAAACTCCCCACTACACTTCCCAGCCTCTGGTAACCATCCTTCTACTGTCTATGTCCATGAGTTCAATTGATTTGATTTTTAGATCCTACAGACAAGTGAGAACATGCAATGTTTGTCTTCTTATGACTGCTTATTTCGCTTAACATAATGATCTCCAGTTCCAGCCATGTTGTTGCAAATGTCTGGATCTCATTCCTTTTTATGGCTGAACAGTACTCCATTGTGTATATGTACCACATTTTCTTTATCCATTCATCTGCTGATGGACATGTAGTTTGCTTCTAAATCTTAGCTATTGTAAGCAGTGCTGCAACACACAGGAATGCAGATACCTCTTCAATATATTGATTTCCTTTCTTGTGGGTATGTACCAAGAAGGGAGATTGCTGGATCATATGTTAGCTCTGTTTTTAGTTTTTTGAGAAGCCTCCAAACTGTTCACCATAATGGTTGTACTAGTTTACATTCCCATCAACAGTGTACAAGGGTTCCCCTTTGTCCACATCCTCACCAGCACTTGTTATTTCCTGTGTTTTGGATATAAGCCATTTTAACTGGTGAGATGATACCTCTTGTAGTTTTGATTTGCATTTCTTTGACGATTAGTGATGTTGAGCACCATTTCATAGGCCTGTTTGCCATTTGAATGTCTTCTTGAGAAATGTCTATTCACATCTTTTGCCAATTTTCTTTGTCAGATTATTAGTTTTTTTTCCTATAGTTGTTTGAACTGCTTGTATATTCTGGATATTAATCCTTGTCAAAGGGGGTAGTTTGCATATATTTTCTCCCATTTTGTGGATTGTCTCTTCACTTCATTGATTGTATCCTTTGCTATGCAAAACCTTTTTAACTTGATGCAATCCCATTTGTCTGTATTTTCTTTGGTTGCCTGTGCTTGTGGGTTATTGCTCAAGAAGTCTTTTCCCAGACCAGTGTCCTGGAGATTTTCCCCAATGTTTATAATAGTTTCAGAGTTTGAGGTATTAGATTTAACTCTTTAATCTATTTTGATTTGATCTTTGTATATGGCAAGAGATAGGGATCTGGTTTCATTCTTCTGCATATGGATATCCAGTTTTCCCAGAACCACTTATTGAAGAGACTGTCTCTTCTCCAGAGTATGTCCTTGGCACTGTTGTCAAAAATGAATTCACCGTAGATGTGTGGATTTGTTTCTGGGTTCTCCATTCTATTTCATTGGTCTATGTGTCTGTTTTTATGCTAGTACCATGTTGTTTTGGTTAGTATAGCTCTATAGTATAATTTGAAGTCAGATAATGTGATTCCTCCAGTTTTGCTCTTTTTGCTCAGGATAGCTTTGGCTATTCCTGGGTCTTCTGTGGTTCCATATAATTTTTAGGGTTGTTTTTTCTATTTCTGTGAAGAATGTTGTTGGCATTTTGATAGGGATTGCATTGAATCTCCAGATTGCTTTGTATAGTTTGGACATTCTAATAATATTGATTCTTTCAATTCATGACACAGAATTTTTTTTTTCATCTTTGGATGTCCTCTTCAGTTTCCTTCATCAGGTGTTTTATAGTTTTCATTATAGAGATCTTTCACTTTTTTGGTTAATTCCTAGATGTTTAATTTTATGTGTGGCTGTTGTAAATGGGATTACTTTTTTATTTCTTTTTACATTTTTCACTGTTGGTATATAGAAATGCTACTGATTTTTGTATGTTGATCCTGAAATTTTACTTGCTTATTGGTTATAATAGTTTTTTCTTGAAGTCTTTAGGTTTTTCCAAATATAAGATCATATCACCAGCAAACAAGGATAATTTAACTTCTTTCTTTCCAATTTGGATGCCTTTGTATCTATCTTGTCTGATTGCTCTAGCCAGGACTTCCAGCACTATGTTGAGTAACAGCGGTGAGTGGGTATCCTTGTTGTGTTCCAGATCTTAGAGGAAAGGCTTTCAGTTTTTCTCCATTCAGTATGATACTGGCTGTGGTCTGTTGTATAAGTCTTTTATTATTTTGAGGTGTGTTCCTTCTATACTCAGTTTTTTTTGGGTTCTTATCATGAAGGGATGTTGAATTTTATCAAATGCTTTTTCAGCATCAATTTTGAAGTTTAATCAAAACATGATCGTTCATGTTTTTATCCTTCATTCTGTTAACATGATATATCACGCTGATTGATTTGGTATATTGGAACCATCCTCGCATCACAGGAATAAGTCCCACTTGGTAATGATAAATGATCTTTCTAACCTTTTGTTGAATTCAGTTTGCTAGTATTTTGTTGAGGATTTTTGCATCAATATTCATCAGAGATATTGACTTGTAGTTTTCTTTTTATGATGTGTTTTTGTCTGGTTTTGGTATAATGGTAATACTGGCCTTGTAAAATAAGTTTGGAAATATTCCCTCTTCTTCTATTTTTCAGAATTGTTTGAGTAGGATTGGTATTATTTCTTCTTCAAATGTTTCGTTTAATTCAGCAGCAAAGCCATTGAGTCCTGGGCTTTTCTTTACTTGGAGAGTTTTTATTAAGGCTTCTATCTTGTTACTTGTTATTGGTCTGTTCAGCTTTTGAATGTCTTCCTGATTCAATCTTGGTAGGTTGTATGTATCTAGGAATTTGTCCATTTCTTCTGGATTTTCCAATGTATTGGCATATAGTTGCTCATAGTAATCACTAATGATCCTTTGAATTTCTGCAGTATCAGTCATAATGTCTCCTTTTTCATTTCTGACTTTATTTGGATCTTCTCTCTTTCTTAGTCTGGCTAAAGGTTTGTCAATTTTGTTTAACTCTTCAAAAAACCAACTTTTTGTTTTATTGATCTTTTGTATTTTTTATCATTTCAAATTCATTTATTTCTCCTCTGATCTTTATTATTTCTTCTACTAATTTTGGGTTTGGTTTGCTCTTGCTTTTCTAGTTCTGCAAGATGCAATGTTAGATTATTTGAAGTTTTTCCCCTTTTTTCAATGTAGGCACTTAAATAGCTATAAATTTCTCTCTTAGTACTGATTTTGCTGTATCCCATAGGTTTTGGTATGTTGTGTTTCCATTAACATTTATTTCATGAAAATTTTCAATTTCATCCTTAATTTCTTTAACAACCCACTGGTCATTCAGGAGCATATTGTTTAATTTCTATGTATTTGTGTAGTTTCTAAAATTTCTCTTATTATTTATTTCTAGTTTTATTCCATTGTGGTCAGAGAAGATGCTTAATATTATTTCAGTTTTTAAAAAGTGTTTTAAGGCTTGTTTTGTGACCTAATATATGGTCTATCCTTGAGAATGATCTCTGTACTGAGGAAAATAATGTGTATTCTGCAGCTCTTAGATGAAATGGTCTATAAATGTCTACTAGATGCATTTGGTCTGTAGTATAGATTAAGTCTGATGTTTCCTTGTTGATCTTTCTGTCTGGAGGATCTGTCTAATGCTGAAAGTGGGGTGTTGAAGTCTCCCACTATTATTGTATTGAGGCCTCTCTCTCTCTTTAGCTCTAATAATATTTTCTTTATATATCTGAGTGCTCCCATGTTGGGTGTATACGTATTTATAATTGTCATATTCTCTTGCTGAATTGACCCCTTTATTATTATATAGTGACCATTTTTTTTCTCTGATAGTTTTTGTCTTGCAACCTATTTTGTCTGATGTAAGTATAGCAATTGCCACTCTTTTTTGCTCTCCATTGGCATGAAGTATCTTTTTATATCCCTTTATTTTCAGCCTATGTGTATCTTTATAGGTGAAGTGTGTTTCTTATAGGCAGTAGATCAGAGGGTCTTGTTTTTTCATCTACTCTGTCTATTTTTTATTAGAGAATTTAGTCAATTTACACTTAATGTTATTATTTATAAGTAAGGACTTCCTCCTGCCATTTTATTATTTGTTTTCTGGTTTTCTCTTCCTTCTTTCTCTCCTTTCTGTCTTCCAGTAGTGAAGGCGATTTTCTCTGATGATATGATTTAGCTTCTTGCTTTTTATTTTTTGTGTATCCATTGTATGCTTTTCGGTTTTAGGTTACCATGAGGCTTGCAATTGCTATCTTATAATCCAATATTTTTACCTGATAAAAACTTAACATTGTTTGCATAAACAAACAAAAAGAAAACTAATAAAAACTCTATGCCTTAATTTAATCCCCCTGCTTTTTAACTTCTGTTTTTTCTATTTATATCTTATTGTATTGACTATGTCTTGAAACGTTGCTGTAGTTACTATTTTTGATTCGTTCATCAAAGACTAGTTTACACATCACAGTTACAGTGTTGTAATATTCTGTGTTTTTCTGTGTACTATTACCTGCGAGTTTTGTACCTTCAGGTGATTATTTATTACTCATTAATTTTCTTTTCTTTCTAACTGAAGTACTCCCTTTAGCATTTCTTGTATGAAAGTTGAGGTATTGGTGAAATCCCTCAGCTTTTGTGTGTCTGGGAAAGTCTATTTCTCCTTCATGTTTGAAGGATATTTTTGCCAGATATACTATTCTAGGATAAATTTTATTTTTCCTTCAGCACTTTAAATATGTCATGCCACTCTCTCCTGGCCTGTAAGGTTTCCACTGAAAAGTCTGCTGCCAGATGTATTGGAACTCCATTGTATGTTATTTGTTTTTTCTTTCTGCTTTTTGGATCCATTCTTTAACCTTTACCTTAGGGAGTTTGATTATTAAATGCCTTGAAGTAGTCTACATTGGGTTAAATCTGCTTGGTGTTCTGTAACCTTCTTGTACTTGGATATTATGACTTTGTCTAGGTTTGGGAAATTCTCTGTTATTATCCTTTTGAATAAACTTTCTACCCTTATCTTTTCCTCTGTCTCCTCATTAAGGCCAATTAACTGTTAGATTTGCTGTTTTGAGGCTATTTTCTAGATCTTCTGGAATGCTTCACTGTTTTTTACTCCTTTTTCTTTTGTCTCCTTCATGTATTTTTAAGTAGTGTGTTTTCAAGCTCACTAATTCTTTCTTCTGCTTGATTCATTCTGCTGTTAAAGGACTCTGATGCATTCTTCAGCATGCCATTGCATTTTCAGCTCCAGGATTTCTGCTTGATTCTTTTTATTTCAATTTCTTTGTTAAATATATCTAATTATGAATTGCTTCTCTGTACTATCTTGAATTTCTTTGAGTTTCTTCAACATAGCTATTTTAAATTGCCTTTCTAAAAGGTCACATATCTCTGTTTTTCCAGGATTGGTCCCTGGTATTTAGTTTATTTGTTGAGGTCATGTTTTCCTGAATAGTGTTGATACTAGTAGATGTTCTTTGGTGTCTGGCCATTGAAGAGCTAAGTATTCATTGTAGTCTTCACTGTCTGCGCTTATTTGTAGCCATTCTTCTTGGAAAGGCTTTTCCGATATTTGAAAGCCCTTGGGTGTTGTGATCTAAGTTGTATCTGTTTTAGGAGGCTCCATTCTTCTTGGAAAGGCTTTTCAGATATTTGAAAGGACTTGGATGTTATGATGTAAATTGTGTCTGTTTTAGGAGACACCTCAAGCTCAGTAATGCTTTGGTTCTTGCAGATTCACAGAGGTATTACCTTGATGGTCTTGTACCAGATCCAGGAAAATTTTCTGGATTACCAGGCAGGGATTCTTGTTTTCTTCCCTTACTTTCTCCCAAAACATACAGAGTCTCTGTCTCTGTTTTGAGTCACCTAAAGTTGGAGGTTGAGTGACAATAGCATCCCTGTGGCTACCACTACTGTGACTACACTGGGTCAGACCTGAAGCCAGGCCTGCTGTAACCACTCCATGGCTCCAGCCTGTGTTTGCTCAAGGCCCTGGGGCTCTCCAATCAGCAGGAAGTAAAGCCAGCCAGGCCTTTGTCCTTCCCTTCAGTGCTGCAAGGTCCCCCAATCCCTTGGTGGGTTCAGAAGTGCTGTCTGGGATTCAGGGACTAGAGTAAAAAACCTTAGAAGTCTGCCTGGTGTTCTATTATATTGCAGCTGAGCTGGCACTCAAAGCAAAAGACACACTCCTTCCCATTCTACCCTGCTACTCTTTCCAAAGGGAGAGGAGCCTCACCTGATAGCCACCACCACCCCCAGGCCAGTGGGATTATTGCCAACTACCACCAATGTTCCCTTAAGGCCCATGCTTCCTGGCCTGGGACTTACCCTTCAGGGCAGTGGACTGTTGTCTGGCCCCAGGGCAAGTTCAGAAATGCCATCCAAACATCAAGCCCTGTTCACTGGAGATCCTGAGAGTCCACTTGTTGCTCTCCCCGTCTGTGTCCATGCTGGTAGTTAAGGTATAAGACAAAGTGCCCTTTAGTTTTCCTTCTGCATTTCTCAAGCAGAAGGAGTTTTTCCCCATAGCCACCACAGCTGGTCATGTGCTGAGTCTCACCTGAAGTGAGCAAGTCTCAGAGGCCCACCCAAGGCCCTTGATGTTGTACCTGGGTATCGCTGCTGGTTATTCAGGGCCCAAGGGCTCTTCAGTTAGCAGATGATGAATGCTGCCAGGACTGGGTCTTTTTTTTTAAGGCAGCAGGTTCCCTTCTGGCCCAGGGTATGTCTAGAAATGCCCTCTTGGAACTAGGGCCTGGAATGGGGACATCACAACTCTGACCAGTGCTCTATCCTACTGTGCTTGGGCTGGTATCTTAGATGCAAGACAGCGTCCTCCCCACTCTTTCCTTTCCTCTCCTCAGGTGGAAAGAAGGGGTGCCTTTTGGAGCTGCAAACTGTGGAGCCTATGGTTAGAGGAGGGGTGATGCCAGCCCTCCCTTGGCTTCCCCAGCTGGTGTCTCAGTTCACCAGGTGTGTGCCCCCTCAGTTCACTGTCTTTGGGCCTAGTTCAGCACTAGGACTCACCTATGTTTTGTAGCCCTATGGCCTAGATTGCCTTTCAAGTTTACTTGGAGAGTAAACAGAGTGCTGTAGACCTTGGTGGCAAGGTTTGCAGGCACTCAAGTTCATATTGCTGGGATCGATGATTCTCTTCTGGTTTGGGCTGGTTTAAATGCTCACTCCATGGGCAGGTATCAGCTGAATTTGGTCTGCTTTTCCTTTCTGCTCTAACAGGACAGCTCTGAGCTCAATACCTCACAATTGCTGTGTTCTCCCTCCCCCAGTATCCAGAGACACTATTTGCACCAGGCCACCACTGTGGGGCATGGGGTTGGTGGTGGGGTAGGGGTGGCATTGGTGATTTTGGATTTTTAAAAAGTCTTTTCAGTGCCTACTTTAGTGATATTGGAACAGGAATTAAAAGAAATTAAAAAATTTGTAATCAGAAACTTAGTTGTGTGTAAGAAAACCCAGTTCCCCCTGAGAAAAAGAAAGAGCTGGAGTCCTTTAGAATTAACTGCCTGTTTTTCTGTGGCTAGTGAGCCTTATCTCTCCCCCTTTCCCAGGCATTGTGAAGACCCTGTTTTTCTAGCTGTGCAGCTTCAAGGTCACTAGACAGATAAACTCAAGTCGTAAAACATGTTTTTCCTTGAAAAGTAAAAAACAATATAATACATGTCTCAATTAATTGAATAGCTGTCTTTGTTTATCACTTCTGTAATATGCTTCCCCCTGCACAGATCTCCCCCACCCCACAAAATGCTTAAAAGGTAACTTGACTCTTTGTTCAGGGCTCAGTCCTTTGGATGTTAATCCAACTGGGCTGGTGCACCTAAATAATAAATATCCTCCTGAACCCCATCAGTCTCTCTGATTCCTTATCAATTCCACTACATTTCTGGGGGCTTGTCCGGGGTTGAAGATGACAGATTTACTGTCTCCTTTGCCTGTGGGACTAGAGCCCCAGGGCTGGGTGAGACCCAGCATCCAAGGCGCACCACGGGAGAGCTTCACCCGGATGAAAACTGGCTCTCCTGCGTCCCGGCACCCTGCCTGGCAGTGCAGCAGAACCAGGTACGGGGCTGTAGGACAATACCAGCACTTCAGGAACTGAAGTAAGGAGTAAGGGCCCAAGACAGGAAAGCCCTTCCCATAGGGATGAAGGGGAGTTTGATCACCTCCAGGGTACCAACCACTAATCCAACCCAGAGTGGCTGGGGGCGGCAGAAGTGGCCTGCCAATTTGGATGAACCTTGTGTCCCCACTAACAAAGTGAAAGTGGTTCACTGGATCTGGAGACAGGAACTGGGAGTGGGTGGGTGTGTGTGAACCTACCCAGGATGAGAGACACTCGTTTAGTCTGATGAGGAGTCCTGGGGTAGGAGTGTTGTGTGTATGTGTGTGAATGTGGGAGCCTAACTAGGCTCACCTGGGACATGAGAGAGGCTTGTTTTGTCCAATTAGGAGTCCTGGGGCAAGGGAGATGTGTGAAATGGCATGAAAGAGATGGTCTTGGGAGAGGCCAATGCAGGGAGTGACGTGGGGAGGCATAGATCCCTAGCATGGTCTGTGTGCTCCAAGGCGAGTGTTGGGGAAATCAGACTGAGGACGTTGCATAAGGCTGATAGGACCAGCTTCGTAGCCGCAGCAGGCTATGACAGGGGAAGGCACGTTCCTGGCTGAGCAGTGTCTGAAACTCCTGTAATAGGACCCCGTCTGGTGGATCTGAGAGTGAAAGTGAGAGTGAAAGTGCGTTGCAAGGGAGGAAATAGGAGGGAAAGCATCAAAACCAACCCTTTTGGAGTGCATGATAAAGAATTTAAAAAAAAAGATTTAGTGGTGATTATGGGATAAAACTGGATGTTCAAAAGTTGAGGACATACTGTGAATTAGAGTAGCCCTCTTTGTGTTAGATGGCTGGCCGAAGGCACTATAGAGAAATTGGTCGTGTGTTTTAAGGTGGTGACTAGGGTTGGAGGACATCCAAGGCATTCAGACCTAGTCTTTGTATTGACTCATGACTAAATGAATGCAGCCCTGCCTAGCAGTTTATTGTAAAATGCTTGCAGCTCACGCCAAGAGAAACTAGCTGTGCTGGCAGCTACAGAGTTAAAGGGAAAGTCACAGAGGCTTGTAGCACCGCCAAGCCAATAGTGAAAGTAAAAATCAGCTGCCCCAGAAGCTGAGACAAAAAAAAAGTCTCTGGAAAGGCAGAAAAACCAGTTTTGCAAGAACCACAGTAGGGAATAGAGACCCCTCCTCCCTACATTCCAATCTACCCATTTACCAGGCTAACTGCCTCTAAGGAGTTAAGTTAAAAGGAATACAGGCTGTCAATCTCACATGAGAAGGAGAAATCAGGGCTCAGGGAAATTAAAGTGAAAGGCTCAAAAAGTCAGGCAGGCCGTCTCAGATCTGGCCGTGCCCAAGTTATGCTTATGCCTCTTAAGAGGACAAGAGGACCCCTGCTAAGAGCCAGATGATGCAGTCGAGCTTTAGCACCTACAAAGGTGCTGAGAAGCAGTTCTGCAAAGGCTAAAGGATGGTAAAAGAAAGGCAACCAATATAAAAATCTCAGAGGTGCTCCAGGGTGCAGATAAAAGCACCAGCCAATTTTATAAAAGACTGTGAGGCATTTCGGTTGTATACTCCGTTTAACTCTGAGGCTGCTGAAAATCAGCACATTGTGAATATGGTGTTTGTAAGGCAGGACCAAGGAGATACCAGGCATAAATTGCAGAAGTTAGAAGCTCCATAGGTGTGAATGCTACTCAGCTTATTAAAGTGGCTACCAAGATGTAAATTAACCGAGATCAGAAGGCTGATCGGAGGCTTTAAAAAGGCTAATTTACTAGCAGCAACCCTTACGGAAAGAGAAGCTGGCTTTGCAAGGAGGCATGAACGCAGGTGTGAACGCAGTCGTGGAAAAAGCTAGTCTGGACAGGAGTTTGAAAGCCGGCTGAGGCTAGAGAAAGATTAATGTGCTTGATGTAAAAGAAAAGCACACTAGAAGGATAAATGTCAGGGCCATAGTATGAAAAAAAAAAAAAACACTGGCCAAGGGCTACTGCACCCAGAAAAACCCAAGACCCCCTGCACCTGCTGTGAAAGACAGGCTATAAAGTGTCAGGAGAAAGCTCAGATGTGCTTTAAAAGTGTCCAGTAGTTGGGCTTTCATATAAGCCAAGAAGAACGATGCCTTGGAGTGAACAAAAGCAGGCTGTTTGTGCACTTCCTACTCCAACCACCTGGCGTCCAATAAGAGAGTCCCTAAGGGCAGCAAGGTTCTGCCACATTTAGATGCCAAATGTCTTGTTCATGGCTAAGCCATTATACAAAGCCACAAAGAGGAGAAAAAAAGGAGTCTCTCCTCTAAGAGGCCAACCAGGAGAAGGCTTTAAAAAAAAATCAAAGAAGCCTTGACTCAGGCTCCAGCTTTAGGACTACCAGATCTAACTAACTAAGCTTTTCTTCTTGTATGTCCACAAGTGAAAGGGAGGCCATAGAGGTTCTAACTCTAAGTTAGAACTTAGAAGGACAACTACTAAATTAGAAGTCCTTAGAAGGACAACTGCCCTGCTCTGACCACACCAGTTCTAACTCTAACTCAAGTCATAAAGTCATGGCATCACCCAGTGACATACTTATCCAGGCAATTAGATTCTGTGGCACTTGGATGGCTTCCTTATTTTAAAACACTAGCTGCCACTGCCCTACTGGTGCAGGAAGCTAATAAACTGACTTTAGAGACTGTGAATACTCTAAACCCGGCTATGTTGCTCCTCATCGAGTCAGTGACAGGAGGCCCTTTTCATTGCTGGGTGGACATGGTAGATGAAATGTTCTCAAGCCGAAGAGATTTGACAGATCAGCTCCTCAAGGACCCAGACATTGAATATTTTACTGATAGAAGCAGTTTCATATTAAAGGGAGTCTGCTGAGCTAGGTATACAGTGGTGACTTTGGACTCAGTAGTGCAGTCTTTGCCTATAGAAACTTCTGCTTAGAAAGCAGAGCTAATATCTCTGACAAGAACTCTTTGGCTAGCAAAAGACCAAAGGACAAATATTTACACAGATTCCAAATATGCTTCTGCTGCTTTGCATGTTCATGAGGCTATTTACGAAGGAAAAAAAAAGATTTTAACTGCTGGAAGTAAAAAAATAAAGTACAAGGAAGAAATTCTACAGCTCTTAAATGCTGTATGGGCCCCCAAAGAGGTGGTTGTGATGTGCTGCAAGGGGCACCAAAAAGCAAGAACACTAAAGGCTAAAAAAAAGGGAAAGGCAAACGTAAAGGCAAATGCAGGCTTTAAGTATGGCCATGCAAAAGATGCATGGTTAGGTATGAAAAAAAATGCGTGTAAGTCTAACAGACCCAGTACACCCTTTCAAACCTGAGGACTTTGTTTAGGTTAAAAAATAGGGTCTAACCACTCTAGGACCCATATAAGATAGGCCCCATATTGTGATCATGTCTACTCCCACTGCTGTTAAAGTTGCAGGTGTCACACCTTGGATTCACCATAGCTGGCTAAAATCAGCGGCAGTAGTGACTCCCGACGACGACCAGTGGATTAGCCAACAAGACCCAGATCGCCCGACCCGAATAGTCCTACAGTGAAACCCAGCCACTGGTAAGGACAACTGCCCTGCTCTGACCACACTGGAGGCTGGTCAGTCTATGCATGGCTGAAGCTTGAGGATCCTGCAAGCTCTGCTCTAATCACATCCCGAAAGCTGACTAGTCTATGCACAGCTGAAGCTAAGAGGACCATCTCTGGATAAGTAAATGTGAATACAATGTATAAGCCTAGTTATAATTCTATCAGTACTGATTGTTCTGTTGTTATGTTATTACTGCAAATGCTGCAAATGTCTATGCCCAGAGGAATGTTTGCCATGCCTATGTGTAGTGTAAGCATAGTTCTATTACCTACGCTAATGTTTTTACCATTTCTGCCTATACTAAAAGGGAAGAAATCTCTAGAAAAATGCCCACACTGTGTAGACACTACCTGGGTAAGGAATACCATAGTTACAACTCTACCATACCTACTATAAATATACAGGAACCAGGTTAGGAACCTGCACATACAACCAGACCACCTATTCAGTCTGTGACCCAGGAAATAATCAGCTATATGTATGTTATGACCCTAAGCTCTTAACCTATAAATTCTGGTTTAAAACACATATTAAATCAGAGAAAAAAAAAAAAGAAAGAGAGCTTATAGCTCAAACCAAAGAAGACCCTCTCTCCTATAAAAGGCCTATTTCCTTGTACTTTGATGCCTGCCATGCTGCATATGTTCATAATCCTAAAACAATCAGAAGCAGTCTGCAATGGTTTAACACAAGAGAGGCTTAAGCAGCAGCAGCCCTAAACATCTGTACAGAAAACCACAAATTGGATGCCCAGACTGTAACATTCAGTGGAATACGCTAACACAGCTCCAACACTTATATTCAGGAAAGACTGCTCTACTAAGTAGTATGTCAACCAAATGAAATTGTAAGACAAGGACATGCAGTTCTTTAAATTTTACTGTCTTAAAGCCAGAGCTACCTTTTTGGTCTACAGGACAGACAGCACTGTTACAAGTTAAAAGGAACAGGCCTTGGAGTTCCACTACTAATTGTCAAAAAGACTAGAAGGACTCAAATGCATCCAACCCTGCAATTCCAGGTCCATAAGTCATTCTAAAAGCATTTTAATCAGTCAGTGCCTGAGCTTCTCCCATCAACCAAAACGATATTTGCTCAACTAGCTGAAAACATAGCTGGCAGCTTAAGAATTTCCTCATACTATGTATGTGGAGAAACAAAAATGGGAGACCAGTGGCCATGGGAGGCAAAAAAATTAATGCCACAAGATCACTTCACTTCACCTAACCCAGTCAGTGAACCAACAGCCTCAGCCAGTGTTTAGTTGTTAAAAACCTCCATAATTGAAAAGTACTGTATCGCCTGATAAGAAAAGGCTTTCACAGAAGCAGTAGGAAAAACAACCTGCCCAAGGCAACAATATTATAATAAGACTAATAACAAAACTCTACGGAGAAACGCCCAGAATGACTCCTACTTACCAGATCCAAACCCTTTCTCTTGATTCTCTACTCTAAGCCACTCTTGAGATCAACTAGAGGCTCCAAATGCTTGGAAGGCACCCTCTGGCCTGTATTAGATCTGTTGAACATGGGCATATTGGCAACTGCTGGCTAAATGGATGAGGGCATGTGTGTTAAAAACAATCAAGCCTTCCTCTTTCTAATTCCTCTAAAGCAAGAGGAACTCTTAAGATATCCAGTTTATGATAAAAATTAAAAAATAGGAGCATACTCACAAAAATAGACACAAATATCAAAGAAATGTGGACATAAGTGTTGTGGGAAGTCAGGGACTACAAACGGAGGGACCGGCTGAAGCCATGGCAGAAGAACGTGGATTGTGAAGATTTTATGGACATTTATTAGTTCCCCAAATTAATACTTTTATAATTTCTTATTCCTGTCTTTACTGCAATCTCTAAACATAAAATTGTAAAGATTTCATGGATACTTATCACTTTCCCAATCAATACCCTTGTGATTTCCTATGCCTGTCTTTACTTTAATCTCTTAATCCTGTCAGCCGAGGAGGATGTATGTCACCTCAGGACCCTGTAATAATTGCATTAACTGCACAAATTGTACAGCATGTGTGTTTGAGCAATATGAAATGTGGGCACCTTGAAAAAAGAACAGGATAACAGCAATTGTTCAGGGAATAAGAGAGATAACCTTAAACTCTGACCGCTGGCGAGCTGGGCGGAACAGAGCCATATTTCTCTTCTTTCAAAAGCAAATGGGAGAAATATCACTGAATTCTAATTCTTTTTCTCAGCATGGAACATCCCTGAGAAAGAGAATGTGTGCCTGCGGGTAGGTCTCTGAACTGGCCCCCTGGGCGTAGCTGTCTCTTATGGTCGAGGCTACAGAGATGAAATAAACTCCAGTCTCCCATAGTGCTCCCAGGCTTATTAGGAAGAGGAAATTCCTGCCTAAGAAATTTTGGTCAGACCGGTTGATCTCAAAACCCTGCTTCCTGATAAGATGTTATCAATGACAATGGTGCCTGAAACTTCATTAGCAATTTTGATTTCACCTCGGTCCTGTGGTCCTGTGATCTCCCCCTGCCTCCACTTGCCTTGTGATATTCTATTACTGTGTTAAGTACTTGATGTCTGTCACCCACACCTATTCACACACTCCCTCCCCTTTTGAAAATCCCTAATAAAAACTTGCTGGTTTTTGTGGCTTGTGGGGCATCACGGATCCTACCAACGTGTGATGTCTCCCCCGGATGCCCAGCTTTAAAATTTCTCTCTTTTGTACTCTGTTCCTTTATTTCTCAAGCTGGCTGACACTTAGGAAAAATAGAAAAGAACATACGTAATTATCGGGGCAGGTCCCCCGATACATAAGAGACTGGAAAGATAATGAATGGCCTCCTGAAAAAATCATTAAATATTATAGGCCAGCTATGTGGGTGCAAGATGGGTCATGGGGGTACCACACCCCAATCTATGTGTTCAACTGCATCATAAGGTTGCAGGCAGTCCTTGAAATTATAACCAATGAAACATCAAGGGCACTAGATTTATTGGCAATACAAGCAACACAAATAAAAAATGCTGTATATCAAAATAGATTAGCTTTAGATTACCTCTTAGCCTAAGAAGGAAGAGTATGTGAAAAATTTAATTTAACCAACTGTTGCCTAGAAATTGATGATAATGGCCGAGCTATCATGGAAATCACAGCTAGAATGTGAAAGTTGGCCTATGTTCCAGTTCAGACTTAGTCCAGGTGGTCCCCGGATTCTTTGTTTAAAAAAAAAAATGGTTCTCAAGCTTTAAAGGATTCAAAACCCTCACTGGTAGGTTCTTGCTTATTCTTGGCATCTGCCTCATCCTCCCTTGCCTTTTACCTCTGTTTATTAGGAGTATTCAGTCAACTATAGAGTTTGTATATTCTGACAAACTACTGTGCAGTTGATGGCATTAACCAAATATCAGCTGCTGCCAGTAGAAGAAAAAGCTCAGCTCCGCAAAGAGATGGCAAATAGTGGTGCTTTCTATGAACATCTTTGTGATAAAAAGCACCAAATGGGGGAATGGAACAGGAATTAAATTAAAAAATGTATAAGCAGAAACTCAGTTGTATATAAGAAAACCCAATTCCCCCTGAGAAAAAGAAAGAACTGGAGTCCTTCAAAAATTAACTGCCTGTTTTTCTGTGGCTAGTGAGCCTTATCTCTCCTCCCTTCCCAGGCATTGTGAAGACCCTGTGTCTCTAGCTGTGCAGCTGCAAGGTCACCAGACAGATAAACTCAGTCGTAAAACATGTTATTTCTTGAAAAGTAAAAAATGATGTAATGCATGTCTCAATTAATTGAATAACTGTCTTTGTTTCTCTCTTCTGTAGTATGCTTCCCCCTGCATTGATCTCCCCCCACCCCACAAAATGTTAAAAGGTAACGACTCTTTGTTTGGGACTTTGGATATTAATCCGACTGGGCTGGTGCACCTAAATAATAAATATCCTCCTGAACCCCATCAGTCTCTCTGATTCCTTATCAATCCAGCTACAATATGAAGTTAAAACCAGGCACTATGAGTGCTCATCTGATTTTTGTTATTAAGAGAAGGTATTTTTTTAATGGATAGTTGTTAACTTGGTGTCCTTGCAGGAAGAATGATCAGTAGAGCCTTCTATTCAGCCATCTTGCTTTGCCCTTTCTCCAGGAGTCTTTAAGTCATCTTGCATTGATTTTTTATATATGGTAGAAGGAAGGGCGCCAGTTTCAATCTTGTGCACGTGGCTAGGCAGTTATTCCAGAACCGTTTATTGAATAGGGACTTATTTCTCCATTGCTTGTTTTTGTCATTTTTGTTGAAGATCAGATGATTGTAGGTGTGTGGCTTTATTTGTGGGGTCTCTATTCTGTTCCATTAGTCTATGTGTCTGTTTTTATACCAGTGCTATGCTCTTTTAGTTACTATAGCCCTGTAGTGTAGTTTGAAGTCAGGTAGTGTGTTACCTCTGGCTTTGCTCTTTTTACTTAGGATTACTTTGGCTGTTCCAGCTCTTGTTTGGTTCCATATGAGTTTTACAGTAGGTTTTTTCTAATCTATGAAAAATTTCACTGGTAATTTGATAGGAAAAGCATTGAATCTGTAAGTTGTTTTGGGTAGTATGGTTATTTTAACAATATTGATTCTTTCTACCCATGAGCATGGAATGTTTTTCCATTTGTTTGTGTCATCTGTGATTTCTTTAAGCAGTACTTTGTAATTCTCATAGTAGAGATCGTTCACCTCCCTTGTTAACTGTATTCCTAGGTATTTTATTCTTTTTGTGGCCATTGTGAATGGGATTGTGTTCTTGATTTGGCTCTCAGTTTGGATATTATTGGTGAATAGAAATGCCACTGATTTTTATACATTGATTTTGTATCTTGGAAGTTTGCTGAAGTTGTTTATCAGATCTAGAAGCCTTTGAACAGAAACAGTGTTTTTTTGTTTGTTAGTTTGCTTCGCTTTTTTGAGATGGAATCTCACTCTGTCGCCCAGGCTGGAGTGCAGTGGTGTGATCTCTGCTCACTGCAACCTCTGCCTCTCAGGTTCGAGCGATTCTCATGCCTCAGCTTCCTGTCTTATCTGTGTGTTACTGTCAGCTCTTTCTGGCCGCTTGTAATTAGAAGAGAAGTGATTTCATTGAAATGCATCAGGCTAGAAAGAGAGCTGGAACTTAAAGTGGCAGTGTTTGTTCAAGATGATGGTGCTCCTGCTCTGTCAATATGGAATAGCCAGGAGAAATCATTAAAATCATTAAAATCAACCCTTTATTAGCTGGGATTACAGGCATGCACCACTATGCCTGGCTAATTTTTGTATTTTTAGTAGAGATGAGGTTTCACTATGTTGGCTAGGCTAGCCTTGAACTCATGGCCTCAAATGATCTGCCTGCCTCGACCTCCCAACATGCTGGGATTATGGATGTGAGCCACCACACCAGGCCATGATGGGGTTTTCTAGGTATAGAATCAAATAGTCTGTGAAGGCAGATAATTTGAAGTCCTCTTTTCCTGTTTGGATGACTTTTATTTCTTTCTCTTGCCTGATGCCCTGGTTTGAACTTCCAGAACTATGTTAATAGGAGCGGTGAGGGTGCGCATTCTTGTCTTGTTCTGGTTCTCAAGGGGAAATGCCTCTAGCTTTTGCCTGTTTAGTATGATGTTGGCTGTGGGTTTGTCACACATGGCTATTATTATGTTGAGGTATGTTCCTTTGATGCCCAGTTTATTGAGGGTTTTTAACATAAAGGGAGGTTGAATTTCATTGAATGGCTTTTCTGCATCTGTTGAGATGATCGTGTGATTTCTGTTTTTAGTTTTGTTTCTGTGATGAATCAAATTTATTGATTTGCGTATGTTGAACCAACCTTGCATCCCAGGGATAAACCCTACTTGATTGTGATGAATTAGCTTTTTGATGTGCTTCTGGATTTGCTATGCTAGTATTTTGTTGAGGATTTTTACATCTATGTTCATCAGGGTTATTGTCCTAAAATTTCTTTTTTCATTTTGTGTCCACCAGATTTTCATATCAGAATGATACTGGCCTCATAGAATGAGCTAGGAAAGAGTCGATCCTCCTCAATTTTTTGGGATAGTTTAGCTAGGATTGGTACCAGCCCTTCTTTATATGTCAGGTAGAATTTGGCTGTGAATCTGTCTAGTCCAGGGCTTTTTGTTGTTGGTAGGTTTTTGATTATGGTTTCAGTGTCAGAACTTACTCTGGTCTGTTCAGGGTTTCAATTTCTTCCTGGTTCAATCATGGGAGAGGGTGTATGTTTCTCGGAATGTATCCATTTCTCTAGGTTTTCTAGTTAATGGGCATGGACATATTTGTAATAGTCTCTGATGGTTTTTTATATGTCTCTAGGGTCAGTGGTAATGTCCCCTTTGTCATTTCTGATGGTGTTTATTTGGATCCTCTCTTTTTTTTGCTCTATTAGTCCAGCTAGCAGTCTACCAGCCTTATGTGTTCTTTCAGAAAACCAGCCTTTAGTTTTGTTGATCTTTTGTATGTTTTTTTGTGTCACCATTTTGTTCAGTTCAGCTCTGATTTTGACAAGCCTTGGGGGATGGTGTCCCTGGCCATGCTCCACTGCAGCAGGTCCCATGGCAAATGCTCTGGGTTCCATGCAGTGGAGTCTTGTCCCCGCCAACACTCCAAGAATCTCTCCCTTGCCAGCCCAAATGTCCATGGGTTCTCCTGTAGCTAGGATTCCAGAGTTCCATAGTGAGAGTGGGCCGCTCCATGTCTACTTCACTTATCCCTTCCCCAGAAGCCACTCAGGGCAAGGAATAAGTCCTGATGCTTGTGTACCCTGTGACGGTTCCCTAGCTTCTTGCTCCTTCAGTCCAGGATCTGTGTCCTCCCTCCGACTACTCTCAATGCCTTCCTTCTGAAGATCTGCTCAGAGTGTGCTAGTCTTCTTGATGGTCTTATCTCTTGGTGGGAGATGCTCTTGCTGGCTGGCTATCTTGGCTCTGAGCCCCCTTGTCTTTTTAGATCTACTTAAACATTTTTTAAATAAGAAGGCAGTCAGGGGGCATTTTATTACAGATTGTATACTACTACATTTTCTGGCTGTCATAATGTTTTGTGTTGTAGTAGGCATTTAGGTATATATTTTGATACACTTATTAATTGCTTTCTCTAGTGTGGGAAACATTCATTTCAAATGATTGCCAAGGAATATGTAATCTCATTGATGATGTAATATTCTATAATTTCTTTAAACTTCATGAGAACCCTTTATTACATCTCTACGAGGTGTTTCTGCTGAAATACATAGTGAACTCTTGCAAACTGTTAACTTCGTTTATAAAAGACTTGGCATGTTAGGATAAATATGTAATATTTCATTAAAACATAATCATGAAGAAATAGGCATTACAATAGACATGTATTCTAAATTCATATCACATTTTTCAGCTTCATCCAGGATATAGAAATGGAAGTTCTCAAGGCATAATGCTCTATGTAAATTATTTGAGGGTGGGTATATTCATCTGTTCATTTCTCTTTCAATACCTGAAGCAGGGCTTGCATGTACTAGACACTCAGTAAATATTTACTGAACAAATAAATAATGAAAATTTCATCCCTATGAACACTCATCATTTGTCTTGGAAAAATATATCAACTTAAAATTTATAAGCAATAAATCATTTACCTAAAATAGAAAAAGGTAGACAGTTATTTCCTGATGTAGTACTTTCAGTTCTAATGAATGGAATATCAGACTAAGCAAATTTTAATACCTAAGAATTTTTCTAATTAAAAACTGTGGTTATGAACTTTCAGAATAACAGATTTATAGCTTTTCCAAGTACTTTAGCATTCATTGTATTTGTTATACAGAGAAATCCTGTGAGATAGGCTATCATATATTATGATTTTTCATTGTACAAATGAGGGAACTGGATCTCAGAAAGATTAATTGGTTACTCATGGTTACAGTTTGTGAGAGGGAAAGGTAGGTCTCAAACCCCAAGTGTCAATGCCTCTAAAGGCAGATTTACTTTCCATTTCACAACATAGCTTTCTCCCTGCTTGACACTTAAATAATGAAGTATGTTGAAATGAAAAGGGAGCTTACATCCCATTCTAACCCCCAGCACTGCAACTGTGTGATTATGTGATGTTGGGCAAGTCAGGTGATCTCATATCCAATATTTTTTTTTCTTCTGCAAACCTCAAATTTATAAGCCAAATTTTGCTTTTCATCATGTGTAGTGATAAGAAATCTCTTGTTAGTGATTATATTCTGATAGCCTTTATTCTGGGTATATTATTTATCTGTTTCATATGCAGTTTGTAAGCTTACTGAGGGCATAATTTATCATTAAATATAAATATAATTACGTTAAAGTATATGTATATATGTATGTGTATGTATTTGTATATATGTATACTGCATTTCTGATAGTGCCCAGTTCAATGCAAGGAGCAGATTAGGAGCATATTCTGTATGTATCCTTGTTAGTCTCTTTCTACTTAGGCAGCAATGCAATTGATGAACTCTGATTAGTGAACATCTGGCAGTAAGAAGGTTATCCTGGCATCCACTGTTAGCAGATACCAGATGTAATGTCCTAGCTATGCCCCCCACTCCTTTCATTGACTGTGTTGGTAAATTATGATGGTTTTACCTTGCTGAGAAAATGTTTTGGTACTTGTCTCATGTAATTTAAGCAACTCGTAACTGTATCTTATTCCTTTAGTAGAAAACCGCACTGCACAAATAACATCCACAGGAAGCCTTGTATTCCAAAATTTTGAGGAGAGTATGAGTGGAATTTATACATGTTTCCTCGAATATAAACCTACTGTGGAAGAAATTGTTAAACGTCTTCAACTAAAATATGCTATATATGGTAAGAAGTAAAGTTAGTTGTGTTTTAACCTTTCTTAATGATTTTAAACATTTAAATATGTTTAAGTAGGCTTGTCTTAAAGGGACTTTGTTATTTTTAGTCTCATTTAATTAAAAAAGAATTACTGCCTCCCTATGTAAGTACTTTGTAAAGGGTTAGTGGTGAGGGCACAGAATGGTTAACAGATCGTAGTCTTTTTTTCTTCAGGGGAATGTTGACATGTACACACAGATAAATTTTAGGGCCAGGGATGTATAAATGTTTTCAAATTATTATGATGATATTATGGCTTGTACTATATTAAATTCTAAGTATTTTAAATTTGAGTATGATGATTTCTGGTACACTGCCATCCCCCAAAACAGGAGCGTGAAACACCACTATAAATTCCTTTTCTGGTGGATTGACCTTTTGAGGCTTACAATTGGCAGAGCTCAGTTGATATGTGTAAGAATTACAGAAAGAGGAAAGAAACATGAAAAGGTGGCTTGCCAGTCAAGACAGATTTATTTTAGAGAAAAGAAACCTGAGAGACGCCTTCTGGCCGAGTTAGGTCAGAGGCACACACTCTTACAGACTAAGAGTTTTTGAGGATTCAGGGTGGGAGAATTTATCAGAGGCTTGGACTGCTTCTGTGTCTCTTTGTTGTGCTTATCTGGGAGGGAGAGTTGTGTGTCTGTTCTCATACATCTTTTTGCAGCTGCAGGCATATCCCCCAAGTCTGCTTTTAGCTTCTCTATCTTAGTGCAACTGAAAGGAAAGGGATGTGCTTATTAAGGCTCACTTTTTTTTTTTTTTTTTTGAGATGGAGTCTCACTCTGTCACCTAGGCTGGAGTGTGCAGTGGTGCGATCTCAGCTCACTGCAACCTCCACCTCCTGGGTTCAAGCAATTCTCCTGCCTCAGCTTCCCGACTAGCTGGGACTACAGGCACGTGCCACCACGCCTGGCTAATTTTTTGTATTTTTGGTAGAGATGGGGTTTCACCGTGTTAGCCAGGATGGTCTCGATTTCCTGACCTCATGATCTGCCCACCTTGGCCTCCCAAAGTGCTGGGATTACAGGCATGAGCCACCACACCTAGCCAAGGCCTACTGTTTTACTGGGGCCCATTGTGTAAAGGTGAAGTTTGGCAGTTACCTGAGAGACTTTACCCCATCTCCCTCTGTGCCCCAGCTGTCTTATCTGTGTTTTACTGTCTGCTCTTTCTGGCTGCTTGTAATTAGAAGAGAGGTGATTTCCTCGAAATGCATGAGGCTAGAAAGGGAGCTGGAACTTAAAGTGGCGGTGTTTGTCCGAGATGACACTGCTCCTGCTCTGTCAATATGGAGTAGCCAGGAGAACAGCCTGAACTCAAGTTGCTAGTAGGTTCCATCTCACTGGTGGGACCCATGTGTGGCAGACAGAATAATGGCTCCTAAACATGTCCATATCTAGTCATATCCAGAACATGTAAGTGTGTTGCCCTACATGGCAAAAGGGATTTAGCAGATGGATTAAATTAAGGCTCTTGAGATGAGGAGATTATCCTGAATTATCTAGGTGGGTCCAGTGTAATCACAGGGTTCCTTCTAAGAGGAAGGCAAGAGGGTCAAAGGCAGAAAAAGGAAATGCGCTGACAAAAGGAGAACTTGCAGTGATTTTCTTTGAAAATCAAAGAAGAAGCCACATGCCAAATAATGAAGGCAGCCACTACAGCTAGAAATGACAAAGAATTGGATTCCCCCTAAAGCTTTCAGAATGAATACAGCTTGATTTTTGCTTAGTAAGACTCATTTTGGATTTCTGATCTCCAGAGCCATAAGGTAATAAATTTGTGTTGTTTAGAACATTAGGTTTGTGGTAATTTGTTACAGTGTCAATAAGATAACTTACACACCATTACTTTGACAGCAAGGGTGCCAAACAACTGGCAGAATTATTAGTGGTTTCTTGATGATATTTTGGTTAATCAAAAAATACTTTCCCATGTAGCCAAAGAGAAACATAATGTTTTGGTAAGATAATTAACTTTGTTAGGCAAATAATTTGTTTAAACCTTTTAATCAGTCATGTTTCATTTTTGTTACATAGTAGTTATCTCCATCTTGTTACTTCAGGTACCTAACTTATAATAAATGTACTTCAGAATCACTCATAAGTACATATTCACATATGCTAACAAATGTAAAAGTGCCTAAAATGAGTGCTGGTTTATAATAATGATAATGATAGCTAATATTTACTGAGCACTTATGAGGTACCAGGCAGTGCTTGTTTTTACATGTAATTATTACAACAACAGCAAAATCCATATTTATATAATGCTTGCTTAGTGTAAGCATTGTTCTGATTTATTTATATTAAATGTATTTCAAAACAAACTGTGATGTAGGCACTGCTATTTTTGGTCTCGTAAATGTAAGGAAACAGAGTGGTTAAGTGACTTTCTCAAGACCATAGCTATTAAGTAGGGGAGGGAAGAACTCAGATTTCAATTTAGGAATTCTGGTCCTAGAGTTAGTATTCTTATGCTTTATGATATCCTACTATGTACACCACTGTTATATGAA
Source organism: Homo sapiens (assembly GCF_000001405.40). Classification (NCBI taxonomy): domain Eukaryota; kingdom Metazoa; phylum Chordata; class Mammalia; order Primates; family Hominidae; genus Homo; species Homo sapiens. The sequence goes on along the minus strand of NC_000007.14, from coordinate 50,055,437 downwards.
TGCCAGCAGGATGAAGACCAGATTAATAAACTGACTTTGGAGACCTACTCTTTTTATGCTTAAAACAAATGCAATTGATTCTATTTTATTATACATAGCTCCTTTAATCTTTGTAATAGCTACATGGTGTTTCAGATTTTATTTGAGTGTTCTTCAGTTAATTATTATTTAGTTTGTTTCACATTTTCCCTTCCTCAGATGGTACTGTATGAAACATTTAAATATCTGTCCATCCATCCATCACTGATCTGTGTATACACACAGATACACCATACCCCCCACCATACTAACATTGCTGTATTTTGTAAGATAAGTTGTTAGTCTTTCAGAAAGATGAATTCTGTAAAGGAAAATCTGCAGGGAATTCATAGTGCTATTTTGATTGATTCTTTTGTATAGCAGTTTGCAACCTTGCTATAATAGATGAGAACCTCAGTTTCTAAAACCCCTTTAATGCTGTATTTTGAAGTGTTGCCAATATAATAAATTAATGGTATTTTGTAGTTTTAATATGCATTTTTTGGACTTTGGTGGGTTATTCAAATCTTGTTATTTGTGTGAGCTCTGTGTGTGTGTATGTTTGTGTGTCTGAATAGCTACTGAGAGATATATAGCTATGTAGATATTAATTTTATGTCAAATGCATTGCATTCTGTATTTTGTTCTTAGCTTATTAATCTCATATTCTAAGTAAAGGATAATTGCAAACTTAAAAATTTTATATAAACTACAAGTGGTATTTTCTTTTTGACTCATGTTTTTTACTGTGTTGAGCAAGATATTCACCATTACCTGGATTGTAAGAAGTAAAATCAACTTATAATTTTCTATATATATAAAACCTTTAAAAATTTTAGAAAATTAGAAAAATAAAATCAAGAATTGTTATCGGTTTTGAATATGGCAAGACACTAGGTATAAAATGGTGACTCATTGCTTTAATATACACTGCTTAATTATTAGTGAGTTAGAACATCTTTTCATATTTTTATTATTCAGTAGATTGCCTTTTCAATTCCACTGTCATCTTCCTTTCGCATAGTTTGTCTTTTTCTTACTAATTTTTAGATATTTTGCTATTCTGGATACTAGTCTTTTCTTATGCATGCTTTAAGTAATTTCTACCTTCTCTCACTTAAGATGTTTATACTAACAGAAGTTTCAATTTTTTTTTTGTAATGAGAGCTATCAATTTTAATTCTCTGAGTTGTTTTGCTTTTGTTTTGTTTTGTTTTGTTTTCTAAGAGATTGTTTCCTATCTAGAAAATAAAAATTGCCCAGAACTTTGGGAGGCCGAGGTGGGTGGATCACTTATGGCCAGGAGTTCGACGCCAGCCTGGGCAACATGGAAAAACCCCGTCTCTACTAAAAATACAAAAAAATTAGCCAGGCGTGGTGGTGCATGCCTGTAATCCCAGCTACTCAGGAGGCTGAGGCCAGAGAATCACTTGAACCTGGGAGGCGGAAGCTGCAGTGAGCCGGATCATGCCACTGTATTCCAGCCTAGGTGACAGAGTGAGACTCTGCCTTAGACAGCAAAAAAGAAGAAAAGAAAAGAAAAATTGTTTCCTATATTTTCTAGGCCTATTTTTTAAAAACAGGAATAAATTAACATCTTTTATTTGTTAGACAAAGAGCAATGTTCAATATAAATTTTCTTAAGACACTTAAAACCTGTGAATTTCTGACCAGTTCACAAAACCACCAGATGATACTTCAGCATGAAGTAAAAAACAGACTGTCAGCTCTAAAGATGTTACAGAGCAGAAATTTCCAAATGTGTTATACAAGCTTTCTAGGCAAATGAATAATCTGTCTTCTATAATATATTAACAAAAATTCAAAAGATAAGATTATGTTTTGACGTACTTAACAAGCATTCCTTCTTCGTCTCCAACAAACAAAGCTAAGGAAATAATGTAACCATTTTCACACAGAAAATTAAGGCTGTAAGTGATACACAAGAACAGAAGTGGTTGAGCATTAGAACTGTTCTGCTTCATTGTCATACTCGAATTGTTGGCTCTTAAACCATTTTCAGTTACATACAAGGAAAGGTTATTATATGTTCAGCAATTACTAAGTTTTCAATAATTTAAGGTCCAGTAGTTTAGAAAAGTAGACTGAGAATGGTCCTGAAAAGGCAAGTTAAACCTTAGGTCTGTTTTTTCAGGTTAAACTTTTTGTTTTGAGATAAATGTAGATTAACATATGGTTGCAAGAAATAGTACAGACAGATCACATGTATTCATTACCCAGCCTCCCCAAATTGTAATATCTTGTAAGCTAAGATATTGATTTTGTTACAATATGTAAAATATGATCTTATTCATATTTTTCCAGGTTTATGTGTACTTTTGTGTGTGTGTATGTAATTCTGCCATTTTTATCCCATGGGTAGGCTCAGGTATCTACAACCATAGACAAGATACAGAGCAGTCCCATCAAGACAAGGATACCTTGTGTTGACCTTTTATAATTGAACCCATTTTCCCTCCTACCTCCATCCAGAATTACTGGCAACCACCAATCTTCTCTCATTCTGTATTGTCGTTTCAAAAGTATTATACAAATACAGTGCTATAGTACATAATCTTAGGGGATTGACTTTTTTTCATTTTTCCAAATTCCTTTATAAGCTTTGTGCATCTATCACACACTCTTTCTTATTGCTGAGTTGCATGGCATAGTATGCATATACCACAGTTTGTTTAATGACTTATGCATTGAAAGATATCTAGGTTGCTTTGCGTTTTTGGCTGTTGCATGTAAAGCTTCTATGGACGTTTGTGGATTGTTTTTCTATAGACATAAGTATTTATTTCTGTGGGGTAAATACCTAAAATGCAGTTGGTTGATCATATGATAGTTGAATATTTAGTTTTATAAAAAACTGCCAAACTGTTTTTCAGAATGGCTGTACCATTTTGTATTCCCACCAGCAATATAAGGATAGTCCAGTTACTCCATGTCTCCACCAGCAATTGGTGTTATAATTATCTTTTGTTTTAGCCATTCTGATAGGTGTGAAGTAATATTTCATTGTGGTTTTAATTTGCATTTCTATAATTTCTAATGATGTATTAAATATATTTTATGAGTTTATTTGCCATCTGTACATCCTCTTAGGTAAAATTTCTGTTCATATCTTTTGACCATTTTTTCATTGGATTGTCTGATATATTAACATTGGGTTTTTTGATATTTAATACACATATACAGATAGATAGATACTCTTTCTTTGTTGGATATATATTATTTGCAAGTATTTTCTACCAGTCTGTATTTTGTCTTTTCATCCTCTTGACAGGATGTTTGCAGAGCCTGTTTTAAAATTTGGTTTATCAGATTTGCTTTTGTGAATCATGCTTTTTGTATTAAGATGAAAAATTATTTGCCTTGTTCTAGATCCCAAAGATAGTCTGTTTTTTTTCTGAAAAGTTTTGTAGGTTTCCTTTTTTTAAAAAAAAATTATTTTCATTTTAAGTTATTGGGTAACATGCAGGATGTGCAGGCTCGTTACATAAACATGTGCCATGGTGGTTTGCTATCCCTATCAGCCCATCACTTGGATATTAAGTTCAGCATGTATTAGCTATTTTTCCTAATGTTCTTCCTCCTCACACCACCGACAGGCCCCAGTGTGTGTTGTTCCCCTCCCTGTGTTGATGTGTTCTCATTGTTCAGCTCCCACTTATAAGTGAGAATATGTGGTGTTTGGTTTTCTGTTCCTGCATTAGTTTGCTGAAGATAATGGCTTCCAGCTCCATCCATGTCCCTGTAAAGGACATGATCTTGTTCCTTTTTATGGCTGCATAGTATTTCATGGTGTATGTGTATCACATTTTCTTTATCCAGTCTATCACTGATGGGCGTTTGGGTTGATTCCATGTCTTTCCTTCAATGACATGGAATCATTATTTGCTTCAATGAATAGTGCTTCAATGAACGTATCAGTGCATGTATCCTCGTAACAGAATGATTTATATTTCTTTCGGTATATACTCAGTAATGGGATTGCTGGGTGAAATGGCATTTCTGGTTGTAGATCTTTGAGGAATTGCCACACCATCTTCCACAATGGTTGAACTAATTTACACTCCCAGCAACAGTGTAAAAGTGTTCCTGTTTCTCCTCAACCTCGACAGCATCTGTTATTTCTTGACCTTTTAATAATTGCCATTCTGACTGGTGTGAGATGGTATCTTATGGTGGTTTTGATTTGCATTTCTCTAATGATCAGTGATGTTGAGCTTTTTTTCATGTTTGTTTGCCCCATGAATATCTTCTTTTGAGAAGTGTGTGTTCATGTCCTTTGCCCACTTTTTAATGGGGTTGTTTTTTTTCTTGTAAATTTGTTTAAGTTCCTTGTAGATTCTGGAATATTACACCTTTGTCAGATGAATAGAGTGCAAAAATATTCTCTCACTTTGTATATTGCCTGTTCACTGTGATGATAGTTTCTTTTACTGTGCAGAAGCTCTTTAGTTTAATTAGATCCCATTTGTCAATTTTTGCTTTTGTTGCAATTGCTTTTTGCATTTTTGTCATGAAATCTTTGCCTGTGCCTATGTCCTGAATGGTATTGCCTAGGTTTTCTTCTAGGGTTTTTATAATTTTAGGTTTTTTTTTTTTTTTTTTTTTTTTTTGAGACGGAGTCTCGCTCTGTCGTCCAGGCTGGAGTGCAGTGGCTTCAATCCATCTTGAGTTAAGTTTTTAATAAGGTATAAGGAAAGGGTCCAGGTTCAATTTTCTGCATATGGCTAGCCAGTTCTCCCAGCACAGGTTTCCTTTTTATATTTAACTATGGCATGCATTTTCAGTTAATTTTTGTGTAAAGTGTGCTGAGGCTTGGTTTAAGGTTGATTTTTATTGCTTTTATTTTTTACATATGGATGTTCAGTTGCTTCAATATTATTTCCTGAAAAGGTTATTCTTCCTCCATTGAGTTGTTTTTGCATCTTTGTCAAAAATCAGTTGAAGATATTTGTGTGGGTGCTTTTTTCCTAGGTTCTGTAATTTCTTCCATTGATTTATAGTTTTATACCTCCTCTACCAGTGCTACACTGTTGATTACTGTAAGTATATAGAAAACCTCAGCACCAAGGAGAAAGTTCTTTTCAAGATAGTTTTCAAGAATAGTCTTTGTTATTTAAATGTCTGTCCCTTTCCATATAAATTTTTGAATATTCTTATGTGCATCAACAAAATATCCTAATGTGATTTTGATGGGAATTACATTCAATTTATAGATTAATTTGGGGAAGAATTGCATCCTTCCTATACTGTGTCTTCTAGTTTATGAGCATGGTATGTCTATCCATTTAATTAGGTCTTTGATTTCTTTCATTTGCATATACATGTTTTGTTAAGTGTATACTAAGTGTGTTATTTTGATTTTTTAGAATAATTATAAATATTATATTTTAAACTTTTAATTACACATGTTTATTGCTAATATGTGTAATTTTGTGTTGATTTTGTATCCTGCCACCTTGTCAAAGTCATGTAACAATACTAGATTTTTAGATTTTGGTAGATTCTTCGTGAGACATTTATGGCATGTTGACACAGAGACAGAATCTGTGTATTTGTTATTTATTTTTGTTTTTTTTTATTGAGGAGCCTAGGACTTTAGATATATGTTGAAAAAGTATGTTGAGAGTGGGCATCATTACCTTTCTCATAATATTAGGGGGAAATAATCTAGTCTTTCACCATTGAGTATATATAATGTTAGCTGTGGGTTTCTTGTAGGTGCCCATTATCAGATGGAAGAAATTCCCTTATTCTACGTTTATATTTGAGGATTGTTTTTATTGTGAAAGGATGTTGGATTTTGTCAAATGTTTTTTCTTACATAAGTTAATATAAATGTGTTTTTTATTTCGTACTTCATTACTATGGTTTGTTACATGAATTGATTTTTTAAATATTAACCCAAACTTGCATTCTCGGTTTAAATCCCACTTGGTCATGGTGTATGATTTTTTTCAATATTTTGCTAGATTTGATTTGCCAGTATTTTATTGGGAATTTTTGCATTTGTGTTCATAAGAGATACTGGTATATAGTTTTCTTGTGATGTCTTTGGTTTAGGTATCAGGGTATTACTGGCTTCATAGAATGCGCTGGGGTGTATTCCCTTCTGTTCCAATTTTGAAAGTGTTTGTGAAGAATTGTTGCTAATATATCTTAACTGTTTGGTAGAATTCATCAGTGAAGACCTTTGGGCTTGTGTTGTTTTTCATAGGTAGTTTTTTGATTACTAATTCAACCTTTTTATTACAGGTCTAATCAGATTGTCTGTTTCTACTTGAGTCAGTTTCAGTAGTTTGTGTCTTCCTAAGAATTTATTTTATCTAAATGTGTCTAATTTGTTGGCATAGAGTTGTTTGTAGTATTCCTTTGTAATTCTTTTATTTCTTTAAGGTCAGTAGTCTCTCCCCTTTTTTCTGATTCTAGTAATTTGAGTCTTCTATCTCTTGTTTTTGTAAATCTAGCTAAAATTTGATCAATTCTGTTGATTTCTTAAAAAACTGGTCTTGGTTTCATTGATTTTCACTATTTTTTATTTATTATATCACTTATCTCTGCTGAAGTCTTTATTATTTTATTCATTCTGCGTGTTTTATATTTAGTTTTTCTATTTTCTCTTTCTTTTTCATTGTCCGAAGATAAAAGATTAGGCTACGTGAGAGCTTTCTTTTATAATATGCCATGCCTATGGCATATTATTTCCCTCTACGTGCTGTCTTACCTGCATGCCATAGGTTTTGGCATGTTTTGTCTTCATTTTCATTTATATCAAGATTATTTCTAACTTATCTTTTGATTTTTTCTTTGATCTATTGATTATTTAGGAGTCTGTTAATTTTCATTTCTGAGTTTTTCAAATTTCTTTTGTTGCTGATTTTTAATTTTACTTTATCAGAGAAAATAATTTGGATTATTTCAAAGGTTTATGGCTTAGTATATGCTTTATCCTTGAGAATGTTCCATGTGTATTTGAGAAGAATGCATATTCTGCTGCTGTTAGCCAGTTTACTGTAGATGACTCTCAGATCTATTTGGTTTATAGTGTTGTTCAGGTCTTCTATTTCTTTGTTGATCTTCTTCCTAGTTTTTTTATTCATCATTGTAAGTGGGATATTGATGTCTCCAATTAATATTGAATTATCTAATTCCTCTTTAATATCTGTATGTTTATAATTGTTCTTTCTTCCTGATATACTGACCTTTTTATCATAATAAAAGTCCCTTTTTTCTTTAGTAACTTTTCGTTGTTGTTTTAAAGTCTGTTTTTTGTTTTTTCAGTGTTCCTTGTACCTGACTCTGTAGGAGAAGCGTATTCTATTTTTCTTGAGAAAGATATCTACACTCAGTATGCCTAACTCTTCCTTTCACCCTCAGTTACCCTCCCATACTATTCTGGTACTTGCATCTGCAATTGCATGAAACTACTGAGGTTAAGGTTATCAATAGTCCCCTTGTTGTTAAATCCAACGGAAACATATTTCTCATTGTGCAGTGGTTCTGCATCCAGTGCTTCCTCGCGCACTCCACCCACTGGGCCTCTGTTCCAAATCAGATCTTCTAATGACCTATTGTGATATGGAGATATTGCCATACATTCAGGAAAGCTGTGGGGGACTTGGTTTAGTTCCTGGCTGGAAAGCAGGAACTTCGATCATTTTCTCATGAGGCACCCTGCTTGTTATGAGCCATAGCTTCAAGCAGCGGTTGTAGCCATTTGGGTTTTTTTTTTTTTTTTTGCCATTTGGGTTTTTTAGCTTCTATGAGCAGAGTGCTATACTCAGTCCCTAGTTTTATTCTGTGAGTCTAGTTTTAGTCTCCTATCTCACATAAAAATCATGTAAGGCTATTCTCCACAGAGGCCAAGTTCCTGCTGCGACTTCCCTGCTACTGTGTCCATAGACCAGCAACCCTATGGCATTTTCCCCACATTGTATATGTACTCTGTGTCTGGTCTGTAAAAATATCCATCTCCTTTTTGACCTGACCCTTGACTTTTTGGTATTGTCCTTTAATATATCATTAGCATTAGTGTATAATTTTATCAGAAAGGATCTGGAAGCATGATATATTGTGAAGACATCTCCCACCATTTCTTTTTTTTTAATTATAGTTTAAATTCTGGGATACATGTGTAGAACATGTAGGTTTGTTACATAGGTATACACATACCGTGGTGGTTTGCTGCACCCATCAATCTGTCATCTACATTAGGTATTTCTCCTAATGCTATCCCTCCCCTAGCTCCCCCACCACCCAACAGGCCCTGGTGTGTGATGTTCCACTCCCTGTGTCCATGTGTTCTCATTGTTCAGCTCCCCTTTATGAGTGAGAACATGCAGTGTTTGGTTTTCTGTTCCTGTGTTAATTTGCTGAAAATGGTGTTTTCCAGCTTCCTCCATGTCCCTGCAAAGGACATGAGCTCATCCTTTTTTATGGCTGCATACTATTCCATGGTGTGCGTATGCCACATTTTCTTTATCTAGCCTATCATTGATGGTCATTTGGGTTGGTTCTAAGTCTTTGCTATTGTGAATAATGCTGCAGTAAACATACATATACATGTGTCTTTATAGTAGAATGATTTATAATCCTTTGGGCATATACCCAGTAATGGGATTGCTGGGTCAAATGGTATTTCTGGTTCTAGATCCTTGAGGAATCACCACACTGTCTTCCACAATGGTTGAACTAATTTACACTCCCACCAACAGTGTAAAAGTGTTCCTATTTCTCCATATCCTCTCCAGCATCTGTTGTTTCCTGACTTTTTAAGGATTGCCATTCTAACTGGTGTGAGATGGTATCTTACGGTGGTTTTGATTTGCATTTCTGTAATGACCAGAGATGATGAGCTTTTTTTCATATGTTTGTTGTCCACATAAATGTCTTCTTTTGAGAAGTGTCTGTTCATGTCCTTTGCCCACTTTTTGATGGCCATTTTTTTTTTCTTGTAAATTTGTTTAAGTTCCTTGTAGATTCTGGATATTAGCCCTTTGTCAGATGGATAGATTGCAAAAATTTTCCCCCATTCTGTAGGTTGCCTGTTCACTCTGATGATAGTTTATTTTGCTGTGCAGAAGCTCTTTAGTTAAATTAAATCCCATTTGTCAATTTTGGCTTTTGTTGCCATTGCTGTTGGTGTTTTAGTCACGAAGTCTTTGGCCATGCCTATGTCCTGAATGGCATTGCCTAGATTTTCTTCTAGGATTTTTATGGTTTTAGGTCTTACCTTTAAGTCTTTAATCCATCTTGAGTTAATTTTTATACAAGGTGTAAGGAAGAGGTCCAGTTTCAGTTTTCTGCATATGGCTAGCCAGTTTTCCCAACACCATTTATTAAATAAGGAATCTTTTTCTCATTGCTTGTTTTTGTCAGTTTTGTCAAAGATCAGATGGTTGTAGATGTGTAGCATTATTTCTGAGGCCTCTGTTCTGTTCCATTGGTCTACATATCTGTTTTGGTACCAGTACCATGCTGTTTTGGTTACTGTAGCCTTGTAGTATAGTTTGAAGTCAGGTAGCATGATGCCTCCAGCTTTGTTCTTTTTGCTTAGGATTGTCTTGGCTATATGGGCTCCTTTTTGGTTCCATATGAAATTTAAAGTAGCTTTTTCTAGTTCTGTGAAGAAAGTCAATGGTAGCTTGATGGGGATAGCATTGAATCTATAAATGACTTTCTGCAGTATGGCCATTGTCAATATATTGATTCTTCCTATCCATGAACATGGAATGTTTTTCCATTTGTTTGTGTCCTCTCTTATTTCCTTGAGCAGTGGTTTGTAGTTCTCCTTGAAGAGGTCCTTCACATCCCGTGTAAGTTGTATTCCCAGGTATTTTATTCTCTTTGTAGCAATTGTGAATGGGATTTTACTCATGATTTGGCTGTTTGTCTATTATTGGTGTATAGGAATGCTTGTGATTTTTGCACATTGATTTTGTATCTTGAGACTTTGCTGAAGTTGCTTATCAGCTTAAGGAGATTTGGGTCTGAGATGATGGGGTTTTCGAAATATAAAATCATGTCATCTGCAAACAGAGACAATTTGACTTCCTCTCTTCCTATTTGAATACCCTTTATGTTTTTCTCTTGCCTGATTGCCCTGGCCAGAACTTCCAATACTATATTGAATAGGAGTGGTGAGAGAGGGCATCCTTGTCTTGTGCCAGTTTTCAAAGGGAATGCTTCCAGCTTTTGCCCATTTATTATGATATTGGCTGTGGGTTTGTCATAAATAGCTCTTATTATTTTGAGATACGTTCCATCAATACGTAGTTTATTGAGAGTTTTTAGCATAAAGGGGTGTTGTATTTTATCAAAGACCTTTTCTGCATATATTGAGATAATCATGTGGTTTTTGTCATTGATTCTGTTTATGTGATGGATTACGTTTATTGATTTGAGTATGTTGAACCAGCCTTGCATCCCAGAGTTGAAGCTGACTTGATCGTGGTGGATAAGCTTTTTGATGTGCTGCTGGACAGTATTTTATTGAGGATTTTCACATCGATGTTCATCAGGGATATTGGCCTGAAATGTTCTTTTTTTGTCTCTGCCAGATTTTGATATCAGGAGTATGCCAGCCTCATAAAATGAGTTAGGGAGGAGTCCCTATTTTTCTATTGTTTGGAATAGTTTCAGAAGGAATGGTACCAGCTCCTCTTTGTACCTCTGGTAGAATTCAGCTGTGAATCTGTCTGGTCCTGGGCTTTTTTTGGTTGGTAGACTATTACTGCCTCAATTTCAGAACTTGTTATTGTTCTATTCAGGGATTTTATTTCTTCCTGGTTTAGTCTTGGGAGAGTGTATGTGTCCAGGAATTTATCCATTTCTTCTAGATTTTGTAGTTTATTTGCCTAGAGGTGTTTATAGTATTTTCTGATGGTAGTTTGTATTTCTGTGGGATCAATGTTGATATCCCCTTTATTATTTTTTTATTGTGTCCGTTTGATTCTTCTCTCTTTTCTTCTTTATTAGTCTGGCTAGCAGTCTATCTATTTTGTTAATCTTTTCAAAAAACCAGCTCCTGGATTCATTGATTTTTTGGAGAGTTTTTCATGTTTGTATCTCCTTTAGTTCTGCTCTGATCTTAGTTTTATTTCTTGTCTTCTGCTGGCTTTTGAATTTGTTTGCTCTTGCTTCTCTAGTTCTTTTAATTGTGATGTTGGGGTGTCAATTTTAAATCTTTCCTGCTTTCTCCTGTGGACATTTAGTGCTATAAATTTCCCTCTAAACACTGCTTTAGCTGTGTCCCAGAGATTCTGGTACGTTGTGTCTTTGTTCTCATTGGTTCCAAAGAACTTATTTATTTCTGCCTTAATTTTGTCATTTACCCAGTAGTCATTCAGGAGCAGATTGTCCAGTTTCCACATAGTTGTGCAGTTTTGAGTGAGTTTCTTAATCCTGAGTTCTAATTTTATTGCACTGTGGTCTGAGAGACTATTTGTTACAATTTCTATTCTTTTGCATTTGCTGAGGAACATTTTACTTCCAATTATATGGTCAATTTTAGAATAAGTCTGATGTGCTGAGAAGGATGTATATTCTGTTGATGTGGGGTGGAGAGTTCTGTAGATGTCTGTTAGGTTCATTTGGTCCAGAACTGAGTTCAAGTCCTGAATATCCTTGCTAATTTTCTGTCTCATTGATCTGTCTAATATTGACAGTGAGGTCTTAAAGTCTCCTACTATTATTGTGTGGGAGTCTCTAGGTCTCTAAGAACTTGCTTTATGAATCTGAGTGCTCCTGTATTGGGTGCCTATATATTTAGGATAGTTAGCTCTTCTTGTTGCATTGATCCCCTTACTATTATGTAATGCCCTTCTTTGTCTTTTTTGATATTTTTTGGTTGAAAGTCTGTTTTATCATAGACTAGGATTGTAACCCCTGCTATTTTTTGCTTTCCATTTGCTTGGCAAACATTCCCCCATCCCTTTATTTTGAGCCTATGTGTGTCTTTGCATGTGAGATGGATCTCCTGAATACAGCACACCAATGGGTGTCGAGACCATTTAGGTCATGGAGACCCTAACCCAGTGGTGCTAGAGGAATTAAAGACACACACATAGAAATATAGAGTGTGGAGTGGGAAATCAGGGGGCTGACAGCCTTCAGATCTGAGAGCCCTGAACAGAGTTTTACCCACGTATTTATTGACAGCAAGCCAGTGATAAGCATTGTTTCTATAGATTATAGATTAAAAGTATTACTTAACGGGAAACAAAGGGATGGGACGAAACAAGGGATGGGCTCTGGCTAGTTATCTGAAGAAGGAGCAAGTCCTTAAGGCACAGATCACTCATGCTATTGTTTGTGGTTTAGGAAGGCCTTTAAGCGGTTTTCTGCCCTGGGTGGGCCAGGTGTTCCTTGCCCTCATTCTGGTAAACCCACAATCTTCCAGCGTGGGTGTCATGGCCATCACGAGCATGTCAAGTGCTGCAGAGATTTTGTTTATGGCCAGTTTTGGGGCCAGTTTATGACCAGATTTGGGGGTTTGTTCCCAACAGATGGGTCTTGAATCTCCAATTTGCCATTCTGTGTCTTTTAATTGGGGCATTTAGCCTGTTTACATTTAAGGTTAATATTGTTATGTGTGGATTTTATCCTGTCATTATGATGCTAGCTGGTTATTTTGCCTGTTAGTTGATGCAGTTTCTTCATAGTGTTGATGTTCTTTACAATTTGGTATGTTTTTGCAGTGGCTGGTAACAGTTTTTCCTTTCCATATTTAGTGCTTCCTTCAGGAGCTCTTGTAAGGCAGGCCTGGTGGTGACACAATCTCTCAGCATTTGCTTGTCTGTAATGGATTTTATTTCTCCTTCACTTATGAAGCTTAGTTTGCCTGGATATGAAATTTTGGGTTGAATAATCTTTTCTTTAAGAGTGTTGAATATTGGCCCCCACTCTCTTCTGGCTTGTAGGGTTTCTGCAGAGAGATCTTCTGTTAGTCTGATGGGCTCGCCTTTGTGGGTAACCTGATCTGGCTGCCCTTAACATTTTTTCCTTCGTTTCAACCTTCGGTGAGTCTGACAATTATGTGTCTTGGGGTTGCTCTTCTTGAGGAGTATCTTTGTGGTGCTCTTTGTATTTCCTGAATTTGAATGTTGGCCTGTCTTGCTAGGTTGGGGAAGTTCTCCTGGATAATATCCCTGTAGAGTGTTTTCCAACTTGATTCCATTCTCCTCGTCACTTTTAGATACACCAATCAAATGTAGGTTTGGTCTTTTCACATAGTCCCATATTTCTTGGAGGCTTTGTTTGTTCCTTTTCATTCTTTTTTCTCTAATCTTGTCTTCATGCTTTATTTCATTAAGTTGATCTTCAATCTCTGATATCCTTTCTTTGCTTGATTGATTTGGCTATTGATACTTGTGTATGCTTCTTGAAGTTCTCATGCTGTGGTTTTTAGCTCCATCAGGTCATTTATGTTTTTTTCTAAACTGGTTATTCTAGTTAGCAATTCGTCTAACCCTTTTTCAAGGTTCTTAGCTTCCTTGCATCTGATTACAACATGCTCCTTAGTTCAGAGGTGTTTGTTATTACCCACCTTCTGAAGCTTACTTCTGTCAGTTTATCAAACTCATTCTCTGTCCAGTTTTGTTCCCTTGCTGGTGAGGAGTTGTAATCCTTTGAAGGAGAAGAAGTGTTCTGGTTTTTGGAATTTTCAGCCTTTTTGCACTGGTTTTCCTCAACTTCATCAATTTATCTACCTTTGGTCTTTGATGTTGGTGACCTTTGGAGATGTTGGTGACCTTTGGATGGGGTTTTTGTGTGAACATCCTTTTTGTTGATGTCGATGCTACTCCTTTCTGTTTGTTAGTTTTCCTTCTAACAGGCCCTTCTGCTGCAGGTCTGCTGGAGTTTGCAGGAGGTCCACTCGAGACCTTCTTTGCCTAGGTATCACCAGTGGAGGCTGCAGTACAGCAAAGATTGCTGCCTGTTCCTTCCTCTGGAAGCTTCATCACAGAGGGCACCTGCCAGATGCCAGCCGGAGCTCTCCTGTATGAGGTGTCTGTCGACGCCTGCTGGGAAGTGTCTTTCAGTCAGGAGGCATGGGGGTCAGGGACCCACTTGAGGAGGTGGTCTGTTCCTTAGCAGAGCTTGAGCTCTGTGCTGGGAGATCCACTGCTGTCTTTAGAGCTGGCAGGCAGGAGCGGTTAAGCCTGCTGAAGCTGCACCCGCAGCTGCCCCTTCCCCCAGGTGCTCTGTCCCAGGGAGATGGGAATTTTATCTATAATTCCCTGCCTGGGGCTGCTGCCTTTCTTTCAGAGATACCCTTCCCAGAGAAGAGGAATCTAGATAGGCACTCTGGCTATAGCGGCTTTGCAGAGCTGAGGTGGGCTCCACCCAGTTCAAACTTCCAGGCAGCTTTATTTACACTGTGAGGGGAAAACTGCCTACTAAAGCCTCAGTAATGGCAGATGCCCCTCCCCCCACCAAGCTTGAGCATCCCAGGTCGACCTCAGACAGCTGTGCTGGCAGCGAGAATTTCAAGCCAGTGGATCTTAGCTTGCTGGGCTCTGTAGGGGTGGGATCTGCTGAGCTAGACTACTTGGCTCCCTGGTTTCAGCCCCCTTTCCAGGGGAGTGAATGGTTCTGTCTCGCTGGTGTTCCAGGCACCAATGGGGTGTGAAAAATAAACTCCTGCAGCTCACTCGGTGTCTGCCCAAATGGCCGCCAAGTTTTGGGCTTGAAACTCAGGGCCCTGGTGGTGTAGGTACCTGAGGGAATCTCCTGGTCTGCAGGTTGCGAAGACTGTCGGAAAAGGGTAGTGTCTGGGCTGCATTCCTCATGGCACAGTCCCTCATGTCTTCCCTTGGCTTGGGGAGGGAGTTCTCTGACCCCTTGTGCTTCCCGGGTGAGGCGACACCCACCCTGCTTCAGCTCGCCCACTGTAGGCTGCATTCACTGCCTAACCAGTCCCAATGAGATGAACCAGGTACCTCAGTTGGAAATGCAGAAATCACCTGCCTTCTGCGTTGATCTCGCTGGGAACTGCAGACCGGAGCTATTCCTATTCAGCCATCTCGCCAGCCACTTACAGTCTGTTTTGTTTGTTAATTGTGTCACCACTATTGCATTCTTGTGATTGCAGTATGCATGGTATATCTTTTAACATTCTATTACTTTCAACCTATTTGTACCTTTGAATTTAAAGTGCATCTCATGTAGACAATATATAGTGTAGTTGGATATAACTTTTTAAATCTAGTCTGACCATCTGCTTTTTGATTGGCTTGTTTAATCCATTAACATTTAATGTTATTATTGATATACTTGGATATACTTTGCTATTTTACTTTTTGTTTCCATATTCTTCATGTGTGTTCTTCTATTCTGCATTAATTCTGTTGAATTAAATGAATATTTTCTAATGTAGTATTTTCATTTCTTTAATTACTTTTTGCTGTTTATTTCCAGTTCTTTATTAATTTCTCTAGAGCTTGCTACATACATATTAACCTATCAGAATCAGTTTTAGATTTATACTAATTTAATTCCAGCAAGCTATAGAAATGTTACTCTTATGTACTTCTGTTTGTCTGTATTTTATGGTATCAATATTACACATATTACATCTTTAAATGTTACAAACTAAACAATACCTTGTTATTATTTTACGTAATTTTGTATCTTTCAAATAAGCTGAGAGTAGAAAGGAGAGGAAGTATATATTTATAGGTTTTGTCATATACAGCCTTCTTATTTATCATTTGTGGTTCTCTTCATTTGTTCCCTGGATTCAAGTTACCATCTGAATTTTGTTTTAGACCAATACAGCTTCTCTCACCCACCTCTTTTGTGTTATTACTGGCAAATATATATTTATGTGTTATAGGCCCAATTTATATGTTATATATAAATTCTTCTGTGAAATTGCTTTTAAATCAGTAAAAGGGAAAAGAGTAGAAGAAATGCATAGTTGTACTGTCTTTTTGATTACATAACTACCTTAATTGGTGCACTTTGTTTTTTTTGCATGTAGATTCAGATTACTGGCTGGCATCACATTTTTAAATTCTGAATCACTTCTTTTAGAATTTATTATAAGCTAGGTATGTGGCAAATATTGCTAATTATTTCTCCTGCCAGTTTAAATCTACTCTTGAACCCTCTTAGTATTTTTACTTTTCAGCTCTTGCATTTCCATTTTATTCTTTTTTATAATATCAGTCTTTATATTCTCTATTTGATGTGATTTTATAACCATATCTTCTTCAATTTTGGTTTCCTTTAATTCTTTTAACATATTTATAATGAATTATTTGAAGTGTTTATTTTTTAAATCCCACATCTGGTCACTGTCACAGCTGTTGCTTCCCTTTTTCCAGTATATGTCCCGTTTCCTTACGTGTTTTACAAATTTTTGTCAGAAACTTCACATTTTAGATAATCTAGTTATGTGTTTCTTAATGATGGGGATATATTCTGAGAAATGTGTCATTAGACAATTTTATTTTGTGAACGTCATAGAGTTTACTTATACAAACCTAGATGGTATAGCTTACTGCACACGTAGGCTACGTGGTATGGCCTTTTCCTCCTAGGCTACAAACCTACAGAGCATGATACTGTATTGAATACTGTATGTAGTTGTAATACTGTGGTATTTGTGTATCTAAACATATCTAAATATAATAAAGGTAGACTAAAAATAAGGTATTATCATCTATGGGACCAACATTGTATATGCCGTTTGTTGTTGACCAAAACATAATTATGCAGCACATGACTGTATATTGTAGCAACTCTGGGGTGAAGTTGCTAGGTGAAGCCTCTGATGTATGTCCTTGGAAGATGCAGCTTGGGTGTACCCACAGCAGTTTTGGCAGGGCTATCTCTGACTGTCTCTTTTCCTAAACATACTCACTCAGATGATTGATCTATTGCTTTCAACAGTGCCCTAGGAAATAAATTGCTCTACTGATCCAGTTAAATTTGGGTTTCTTGAACTATTAGTTCTTTAGATCAGTGTTTGAGATATGTTCTGATCCCAGTATTGCTTCTCCTAGGTGACTCTGTGTTGCTGTCTGGCCAACTTGTAGTTTAGCTTATAACGCCAGTGAATCTATGAATCTGTTCTCAGTTGAGCTTGTCTACACTTACACGCAAGTGAAACCAGTTCCTTTGAGATTCAGAGCTTTCTGTTCTGCAGCCTGGTTCTCTTCCCTGGATAAATTCTCTGAGCGATAGCACTGAAGCTGAGGCTGGGGACAGTGGTGTGCTGCTTTCTGAGTGACACCCTGCTTTAGGAGCTGAGCATTTGATGTAGGGGTAGCAGGAGTCGTAGGTATCATCAGCTTATAGTCCTGATGTGGAACCCTTACACCATGAATTGGGGTAAGGGTGATGGAGGACTCAGTATTCTCAGTGTTCCTCTACCTGATTTAGAGCCTCTGTCTCAGGAGGTAGGACTAGGTGGAAGAAGGTAGCCATCACCTCTCAGCCAGATTCACCTGCAACTTAATAACTTCAGCAACACGGAGCTGGGGCTAGGATGAGAAATGCTGACATCCTTCCTTTCCTGGGAGATAGTCTATTAACTGAAAGCTGGGTGGGGAAAGAACCCTGTGTTAGGCTGTAGAAATCTGGAATGGAGTGTCTCTCTCCTTGAGCTGAGGGGAGGGAGGAAGGGAGCAGGTCTTGATTCATATGCTTTGTTCAAATACTGTTTGATATGGTTTGGCTGTCTTCCCACCTAAATCTCATGTTTAATTGTACTCCCCAATTTTGGGGGAAGGACCTGTTGGGAGGTGATTAGATCATGGGGGCGGATTTCCTCCTTGTGCTTGTGATAGTGAGTTCTCATGAGATCTGGTTGTCTGAAAGTGTGTAGCACTTCTTTCTTCACACTCTGTCTCTCCTGCTCCATCATGGTAAGACCTGCTTGCTTCCCCTTCACCTTCAATCATGATTGTGAGTTTCCTGAGGCTTTCCAGCCATGCTTCTGTACAGCCTGCAGAACTGTGAGTTAGCTAAACCTCTTTTCTTAATAAATTACCCAGTCTTAAGTAGTTCTTTATAGCAGTGTGAGAACGGACTATTACACTGTTCTTACTGACATGCGATAGACTTCTTTGAATAAATGTTTCTTTATTTTTTCTATGCCCTTAGGACAATTTCCAAAGACTGTTTAATGGTTGTTTTTAAAAAAGAATTTATAGCAGCTTTGTTGGAGTTTGCAGAGCTCCTCCAGCTGTCTAGTCAGAAGTCTGTCTCCCACAGTTATTTTTTAGTAGTAGTGATTACTTTATTCAGTTTATTTCTTCTTGCACACATTATAGTATTCATATTATGAGTAAAAATTTAATTTCTCCTAGAAATAGTTTTAATCCAACTCTCCAAATTCATTGACATGAAGATATTTATAGTGTTTTGTGTAGTTATTTGTTTTTTCTTTATATATTAAATTTTACAATTTTTTCTGTTAATTAGTACATTTTTTGATGTTTTCTTTATGTATCATGGATTTTACTGTCCTTCTACCTAAATTATAATTATTTTTTGTATTTCTCAGGGATTCCTTCTTTGATTTTTCTTGTTCTCTTTCCCTAACTTCCTTTCTTGTGTTAACCTTGTTCTTTATGTAGACTCTTGAGTTGTACAGTTAGCTCACTTATTTTCTTTCTATTTTTTGGGTAAACCTAGTTAAGACTATAAATTTACTTTTTATTACTATAATTGCATCCCACAATTACTGATATGTTTATCATCATTTCTAAATATTTAGTCATATTTACTATGATTTCTTTTATAGTCATTTGTTATTTAGTACTATTTTATTTGTTTAAAAATGTTTGAGGGATTTTTGTTGTTGATTTTTATTTTGATATGTGTGTCAGAGAATGTGGTTTACATATTACAATGTTGAAGTTTTGTGTTTTGTTGACTTCTTTCAAAGCCTCCTTCTGACAATTTTTTATTTCTGGAATGCTAATTAAACATATTTATTGGCCAGGCGTGGTGGCTTATGCCTGTAATCCCAGCACTTTGGGAGGCGAAGGAGAGTGGATCACAAGGTCAGGAGTTCAAGTCCAGCCTGGCCAATATGATGAAACCCTGTCTCTACTAAAAAGAAAAAAGTAGCCAGCTCAGTGGCAGGCGCCTGTAGTCCCAGCTACTCGGGAGGCTTAGGCAGGAGAATTGCTTGAACCCGGGAGGTGGAGGTTGCAATGAGCCGAGATCACGCCACTGCACTCCATCCTGGGCAACAGGGCAAGACTCTGTCTCAAAACAAACAAAGAAACATATTTATTAGGATTTCTTAACTTATCATTCAAAACCTTTAGCTTGTCTTTCATATACCAGAATCTTTAAATGTGGTGTATTTTAGGCACTCTCATGCAATTTACCAAATGTTTCTTCAGGTGTGTTATGTCTGCCATTTGGCTTATCTATTTCACTTAAGTTATTTATTTTTTAACTTTGGTGATTTTTCTTTTTATTTCAATGACGATATTTTCATTCTCCAATATATTAGATCTTGCATTTTTATAATCCCCACTTGTTTTTGGTCATATCCACCTGTTTTTGTTTTATAATTTCCTGTTCTTAATTTATTCCTCTCTTTAACATTTTGAGGGTTTACATTTTTACATTTTCTTAAATTTTAATAATGTACATATACTTCTTTGTATCCTTACCACCAACAAAATAGGTTTTATTGCTCTTTTAATCTATATAGTGGGTGTAAAAAACTGTATCACTTATAATTTGCATTTTTCTTAATACTGTTATCTTTGAGCATCTATTTATGTATGTTTATTTTCCCATATAAGATTTTCAGTTTATATATTTTGCCTGTTTTCCTGTTTTTGTGCACTTGTCAATTTCTAACAGTACTTTGACTATAGATCAGTGGTTCTCAAATTATGGTCTGTGAAACTCTGGGAGTCCCTGAGACACTTTCAAGGGATCAGTAAAGTGAAAACTAATTTATTATTATACTAAGACATTATTTGCTATTTCTACTGTGTTGATATTTGCACTTATGGTGGGTGAATTACTGTCACCTATTTAGTAGAAAGCAAGGCAGTGGCCTTGAACTGTGCTGGCAATTGAATAACTTCTTAGTTGAGACACTGCTGAAAACAAAAGCCAGGTTAACAAGGGAGAAAGTGGCAGAAGTTTATGCGTGTGCTGTACCTATCATGCTGGAGAGGCCTCAAATCAAAAGTATCTCCGATTGGTGGCTTAGGGGCCTTGCTTACATAATATTTTAACAAAGAGCCACAAATCCAATTTAGTGACAAAACATAGGAGAGAGCAGTTCCAGTCTTCTAAAAGATTAGAAAATGTGGGATGATAGTAAAATCTGTTCCCAGATTCCTTTGGTGCCTGCTGGTGCTTTCTCTGGACAGATTAGCAAGTGTTGTCTCCAGTAAGGAAGGATTGGTGTCCTGCCATCGGGCAAATAGAGGCTAAGGCAGAATGGTCCCCTCCATTTTCAGCGTCTTTAACCTTACAATCCTCAATATTTGGGGAAGAAATATTTTGTTTTTCTTCAGTCCCCCTTTTACAGCTTTAGTTTTAGAAAGTTTTACATATTAAATTCCAAGTTGGTAGCTTTGGGGAGATTTGGATTAGAGGTTCTAACCTGGCAAAGGGTGAGAAACAGATTGAAACAAGTAGAAAGGAACAAATTTGGATTCCATATCTTATTGAATGAATCTCTTAGTCCTGAGAATAATAAGCTTAGTTGAACAGGTGAGCCTGATTTCAGGAGATGGTGTTAGAGGTGAGTTTTTTTTTTCAAATTTGGTTTCTATATGGTATAGGCACACTGGTATTTAGTTGGAATCATTTTTATGGAAAACACAGAAAAACAAAAGTTAACATCTGGAGCAGTCTGCAAACTAGTCTTTGAGTTTGGAGGGCAGTCAGCTGAGAATATTTTAGATTTTGACTCAAAACATTTCAGTTGGGATGGGCAGGGAGTGGCAATTTGATAGATTTTCCCAGATTGTAGTTTGAATCAGGTGTTCCACTGAACTTTCTGTACATACATAAGTTGTTGTAGTGATTTCTCCAAAGTTTGTATCAGGTTGTCTAGCATTAACTTGCAGGGGGCTTTAGGAAAAGCAGTTTTGATGTCTAGGGATTTCAAGTCAGATGAGTGAGTGGGAGAAATATTGGAAATTTTAGTCTGCAGAGTCATAGTCAGATATTGGAAGAAACTAAAAATTCAAGACTCAGCCTAGATAATTAAAAAAAAAAAACCCTCAAAAACAAATGGACAAAGCTAGAATCTAATAACAGGCACACTATAGTTTTTAAATTTTTCTTGAAACATAATTTTTCTCTCTCTGGTCACCTATTTCTACCAAAGATCACAGTGAGTCCAGTTTTGTTGTTAAGGAAGTTTTAGCCTCATTATAGTTGGCTTGATTAGTTATATAAACTGTAGCAAGGCCGGGCACAGTGGCTTACACCTGTAATCCCAGCACTTTGGGAGGCCGAGGCAAGTGGATCACCTGAGGTCAGGAGTTCGAGACCAGACTAGCCAACATAGTGAAACCCCATCTCTACTAAAAATACAAAAATTAGCCGGGTATGGTGGTGCACACCTGTAATCCCAGCTACTTGGGAGGCTGAGGCGGGAGAATCACTTGAACTTGGGAGGCAGAGGCTGCAGTGAGCAGAGATTGTGCTGCTGCACTCCAGCCTGGGCAACAGAGCTAAACTCCATCTCTAAATAAATAAATAAATAAATAAATAAATAAACTGTAGAAAGAATAATTATTGACGTTATTATAGACTCTTTTAAAGTTGGCTTTGCTGGAACTTGTCATAAGGAAAAGACTTTTAAAATCCTCTCCAGTTTAGGAAGTCAAGCTATGGACTCACCCTCAGATTTTACCTGTAGTACTTGAGTGAATTCTTTTCTTGAAGTCCCCAAAATATTTAGAGTATGCTATGCCTCTCAGAAACTGATATTTTTTTACTTACCACAAGGCTAGTAACCCTGTAAAGAACCATGTAGACAGGGTACTTGGGCAGTTTTTCCAAGGGATTAATTGGATCCTAGTTAACCTTTAGTTCCTTAAAGCAGCCTGGTCATACCTGAAAATGTGACATCGCAATCAAAGCCTTTGTAATATGTGTTTTCAACTGTGTCTTATTATGAAAGGAAACAGATTCTTATTAATGTTATGCAAATAACTATATTGCCATAAATTAAAAATATTTATGGTTAGTTTCTCAATTCAGAAGAAATCAGAGAGAAAGGCAAATGTTTTGATTTTGCTTTCAAAAATATGCTTTACCCAACTCCTGCAAACTATAAGTAGCTAAAAAAAAAGCTTTCTTGACTCTGGAAAAAAAAAAGTAATCAGCAATGTTTTCAACAAAAAGTGATAAAAATAATTTTAGTCCTACATCAGTTCAGTCCCACATAATTCTTTTTCTGCTTCATGTTAGATTAGCAATTTTATGAGTCCAGTTTTTAAAATTGGAGTTACTCAAATTCTTACCCAGTCTAATTGTATTATCTCAGTGATGTCAGAAATC
Source organism: Homo sapiens (assembly GCF_000001405.40). Lineage (NCBI taxonomy): Eukaryota > Metazoa > Chordata > Mammalia > Primates > Hominidae > Homo > Homo sapiens. The sequence continues at coordinate 50,032,892 of NC_000007.14, read as the reverse complement.
TGTACTTAAGTGTATTTAAAGTCTATTCCATGAATCATCTTGAAGATACTTTAGGATTTGCGAGAGATTTTGAAGAAAAAACAAAAGCAACAGAATAAACAGTAACACATCCAGAATGTTTATTAGGGACCAGTTCTGTAGGCACTTTTGCCTACCAACTACAACAATCTCAGACTCCCAGAAGGCAAAAAGATGTTCAGTGCATCGGTTAAGAAGACAGTTTTATCATGAAGAAAAAGATTCCTGACTGTGTAGGGAGGTGTTTACCAGCCAAGGGCTAATCCTGCAAGCAGCCTCCCACCTGCAACGTTAACTCTTTTAGGCACATAAGCTGATCCTGAATTGTTGCTGGTTTGTGTGTACTTCTGCTGGACACTCAGAAGAGTATACTTTTGATACAGTGTTTCAGAGAATTTGGGGGATATTTTGACTTAAATTCAGACTTAATTCTATTTCAGGTAATACCTTGATATGAGTCAGATTTCTGGAGAGAAAAAGTTTTCTTTCCCTGTCCCCAGTCATACTGTGACTCAACTATAGTTCCAGCTCTGACCCCTCAGGTTCAGTTATTCTATGTGATATTTGTATATATTACATATCTTTGATATTATAAATCATGATATATGTAATATATACATGATAAATGTGTACCTACGCTGATGGATGAATCAGTACAAAAAGCATGTTAGAATTCCTGTTCAGAAATGAAACCTATAGAGGTTTCCTCAGCAATTAGAAGCTGTCTGGTCTCTACTCCAAATACAAAGATGGACAGTAGCTAAGTATGTGTACTTAATTTTAGCTTAAATGTGTAGGTAAGAAAGTAAACAATGGCTGGGTGCACTTCAGTGTGTGCAGGAAGCTTTTCCTGAGCGTAATCCAGGAACAGGCAGGGAAGTCTCCCTTGTTTGACAGAAGTAGCAACAGAGCGCCCTGTTTTGGAAGATGAACTTTTCTGACTTTTGGTATTGTAGTGAATTTCTTTTCATTTTTATTTTTCTTGTGTCATTTCAGTGAGAATTTGGGATGGGCAAAATATATATATATATGTGTGTGTGTGTGTGTTCTCAGTTCCAGATGTTGTACTCAACTCAATAAAACTAATTGTGTATTTATTAGAAACATATATTTTTGAATATTGTTCATAATTATATGACTTTAATTTCTTCCAAGATAAATATTTAAACTTAGAGAAGTGTTGTACCTGAGTTTGAGCAGCATAGTGTTGAGGTAAATAAAAGAGGCTCTGGGACCAGGCTCGGTAAGTTAGAATCTTAGTTTTGATAGCATAGGCATTGGACATGTGACATAATCCCTGCCGCCCTCAATTTCTTTATGATGGATAGAAAATCTTAATGATGTTGAGAGATTCAAATGAGTCACTATTTGTAAAGTGTCTATCATAGTATTTGGTACTTAGTAACTGCAAGATAAGTGTTGGAGAACTAAAAATAAATATAATTATATCTAAAAACATGTACCAAGAATTCATACCAAATAATGATATTTCTTAAATAGTTGCAATATGTTTGAATTATTTAAATAACCATTTTTGTGTCTTTCTCTTGTTAATTTTTTACAGCTTATCGTGAGCCTCATTATTATTATCAGTTCACAGCTCGATATCATGCAGCTCCCTGCAATAGCATTTATAATATTTCTTTTGAGAAGAAACTTCTTCAGATTTTAAGCAAACTGCTTCTTGACCTTTCATGTGAAATTTCCTTACTTAAGTCTGAATGCCATCGCGTTAAAATGCAAAGAGCTGGTTTGCAAAATGAATTGTTCTTTGCATTTTCAGGTAAGTCTATACAATTTGTTAGAAAAGCAAATGGAGAACACATAACTAATAGTTAAAAAAGTTGTTAATTACTCACAGCATTTTTATGATATAAACATAAACACCATACATCCAAATATATTTTGTTCTCTACTTTGACTTAGTGCTGTTAACCCCTCAAATAGAATTCTGCTGATTCGTGTACTAATGAAAAGTTTGTTCTCTCAATAACTTACACTGCTATGATAATTTACTGTAGAGTGGAATTTAGTATAAGGAATGTCATGATATTTAGATATAATGATTTAATTTGTAAAATCATCTAATTATAAGACGGGTTAATATCATAGACCAGAGGAACCGTCCAGCTTAGTATGCTTTTCTTAATAATGTGGAGTAGAGGCCCAGTGTTTTCTGGAAAACAAAGAATTGGACTTTATATTTATATCTTTATATTTATCTTTATATTTATAATGGTTTATGAATGACCACTTAGGAATACCCACGCATGTGTTTTTAAGGGGTCCGAGTGACAGTAGGGCACCCTTCCCCTTTCATCTCAAATGTTATTGCTTGCTAGTTTCCTTTCTCCTTTTTTAGGGTTTTTTTTTAAATTATTATTTCTCTGCTATCAGAGTTTGATTGTATTTAATCATTTCCCTGACTTTCCCTTCTCTTTCTTTTTTGGCCATCTAGGATTGAAGTTTTAGAAGCACAATTGAGAGGCATGAAGCTTTAAGGGAAAAAAACAAGTTCAGCCTCATTTTCTGTCTTTTATCTTCCTTACTTTTCACCTGGGGTCCCTTCTCTTCTCCTCTCTTTCCTTCTCCTCTGCCCTCCCCTCCCCTTGCTATTCCCCTTCCCTTCCCTGTCCTTCCCTCTCTCTCCTCTTCACCAGAAATACATTGAGAGTTTTTCCCCAGCCCCTGGGTCTGTTTAATAGGTAGATCAGTCCTTAGAAAACCTGAAAGTTTGGCTCTCTTCAGGTTCAGCACTTTGTGAGGCTGAGGCAGGTGGATGACTTGAGGTCAGGAGTTTGGGACCAGCCTGGCCAACATGGCGAAACCTGCCTCTACTAAAAATACAAAAATTAGCCGGGCCTGGTGGCATGGGCCTATAATCCCAGCTACTTGGGAGGCTGAGGCAGGAGAATCACTTGAACCCGGGAAGCTGAGGTTTCAGTGAGCCGAGATCGTGCCACTGCACTTCAGCCTGGCTGACAGAGTGAGAATCTGTTAAAAGAACAACAACAACAACAACAACAACAGCAACAACAACAACAACAAAAAACAAAAGCTGAAAGTATACTAGACTCATTAAAGAGATTATTTCCAATAGAAATAAAGCATTATGGGCTTGATTTGCATTTCTCCAAAGGCAAATGTTGTTGAGCATCTTTTCCTGTGCTCATTGGTTATCTGTGTATCTTCTTTGGAGAAATGTTTATTCAAGTCCTTTGCTCAATTTAAAATTTGGTTGTGTGTCTTTTTGGTGTTGTTGTAAGAGTTCTTTATATATTCCAAATACTGTATTCTTGTTAATATGCGATATGCAAATATTTCTTCCATTTTATAGGTTGTTTCCTCACTTTCTTAATAATATCCTCTGATGCCCAGTTGATTTTAATTTTGATGATGTCCAATTTACCTATTTTTTCCTTGTGTTTCTTGTACTTTCAGTGGCATTTCTAAGAATATGTTGCCAAATCTGAGGTCATCAAGATTTACTCCTTCTGTAGTTTTAGCTATTACACTTACGTCTAAGATTCATTTTGAGCTAATTGTATATATAGTATGAGGTATGGGTTCAACCTTATACTTCATATTTTGCATGTGGCTGTCTGGTTGTCCAAGAACATTTGTTGAAGAGACCATTCTTTTCCACACTGAATGGTCTTGGCATCCTTGTTGAAAGTCAGTTAACCGTAAATATATGGGCTTATCTCTGAACTCTCAATTCTATTTCATTGTTCTGTATTTCTGTTCTTCTGTCAGTACACCATTTTGATTACTGTTTGATTTGTGGCACTTTTGAAATTGAGAAGTGAGAGTGCCTCCAATTTTGTTCTTCCTTTTCAACATTGTTTTGGTAATTTGAGATTGTAATTCCATATGATTTTTAGCATCTCTTCCGTTTCTGACAAAAATTACCATTGGGGTTTTGATAGGGATTTCATTGGATCTGGACATAGCTTTGGATATTATTGCCACCTTAACAATATTAAGTCTTTTAATCTGTGAACACAGGATAGCTTTGCATTTATTTAGAACTTGTGTAATTTCTTTCAGCAGCATTTTACAGTTTTCAGTGTATAACTATAGTCCTGTAACTCTTGACAAATGTATTTCTAAGTATTTTATTATTTCTGATGCTATTATAAGTAGAATTTTCTTAATTCCCTTTATACATTGGTCATTGCTAGTGTATAGAAATACACTGGGTTTTTTTTTTTTTAAAATGGATTGTGCACCTTTGGTTGAATTCCTTTATTAGCTCTAATAGTGTTTTTTTTGTGTGTGTGAAATCTTTAGTAGTTTTTATATAGAAGATCATGTTGTCTGTGGATAGCAATAGTTTTACTTCACACTTTCCACCCTGGATACATTTTACACCTTTTTCTTGCAAAATTGCTCTTGCTTGGGCTTCCAGCACAATGTTTAGTAGAAGTGGCACAATTGGCATCTTAGTCTTGTTCTTGATCTTAGGAGGAAAGCTTTCAGTCTTTCACTGTTGAGTATGATACTTGCTGTGGGTTTATAATGAAAGGACTTTGTATTTTGTTAAGTACTACTTTTATATGAAATGAGATTATCATGTGTTTTTTTTTTAATTTTCACCCTGCCTTCTATTAATGCATTGTACTCTATTTTGATTGTTATATGTTCAACAATCTTTGCATTCCTGGATTATACCCCACTTGGTCATGGTGTATTCTTTACCATACTGCTGGAATTGGTTTGCTATTTTTTAATTAAGAATTTTGCATTCATAATGGATATTGGCCTGTAATCATATAATTTTCTGGCATTGGTGTCAGGGTAATGCTAGCTTCATGATATGAGTTTGGAAGTGTTACCTCCTCTTCTATTCTTTTGGAAGAAAGTGAGATGAATTTTATTTAATTCTTCTTTAACTGATAGAATTAATCACTGAGGCCTTTGGGTTCTGGTTTTTTCTTTGTTGGCAGGTTTTTGATTAGTGATTCAAACTCCTTACTTAGTTATAGACCTATTCATATTTTCTGTTTATTCTTGAGTCAGTTTTGGTAGTTTGTGTGTTTCTAGCGATTTATTTCATTTAGGTTACTTAATTTATTGGCCTACAATGGTTTATATTGTTCTCTTGTTATCCTTTTTATTTCTGAAAGGTAGGTAGTAATGTCTCTACTTTGATTTCTCTATGTGAATGTTTGTCAATTTTATTGCATTTTTTCCAAAAACCAGTTTTGTTTTCTTTATTGCTTTTTCTATTCTGTATTTTATATCTTTTCTACTCTTTATTATTTCCTTCTTTTTGCTACCTCTGGTTTTAATTCATTCTTCTTTTTCTAGTTTCTTAAGGTGTGACGTTAAGTAATTGATTTGAAATCTTTCTTCTTGTTAAGTATAGGTGTTTACACCCATACATTTCCTTCTGAATACTGCTTTAACTGCAACCCATACTTTTTGGTAGGTTGTATTTTCATTTTCATTCATCTACAAGTATTTTCTAATTTCCCTTATAATTTTTTTGACCTGTTTGTTGTTTAGGAGTATGTTGTTCAATTTCCACATATTTGTATACATTCTAGATGTCCTTCTGTTAAGACTTTCTGATTTCTTTCTTTTGTGGTCATAGAAGTCTAGTCCAAATGACCACCAGGATGGCTAAATAGTAGAAAGAAGAGATTTATTGGTGACATCAACTTGCAATTTGGGAAGATATGGTCTCTGGTGTGGACTGAAGGCACTCTCTCTTCCAAAGGGAAGGGTCCATATTAACAATAGGGTCTTACATATTCAGCTTGTTTTGGGTAAAGCTATACATATTTATGAGGGGGGGTTGAGCACATGTTCAATGGGTAGACATGTATGTAACTTAACGTTCCGTGTTCACTTTGGGGTGGGGTTTTAGCATTAAAATGAGGTAGAATTTGGCTCTGTCTATTGAAAGGTTGACTATAAAACACAAAGAATTTGTGTGCAGTCTCTATTAGCTTGCTGAAACTGGCTTAAGGTCTGCAGTTGCCTTTCAGGAAGGAGTATTTGTAAGGCAGATTCTCTATCCAGTCAGAATTTTAGTGGTCTGGGTTGTAAATCAGAGTTAGGAAGGGAGTCTGGCAATTTGTCTAATAGCTCTTGTTGTTAAAGAGTTTAGCAAGGTGTGTGTGTGTGGTTTTTTTGTTTGTTTGTTTGTTTTTTGTAGCCATAGAAATTTAGGGAATTGACATGCCAGCTGAGCCCTGAACCTTTAGCTCATAGCTAATTTTTGTTTTCTTAACCTTGGGGTCCATCTTAGTTGATAAAGGGGCATCTATTTTTGTTTCTCAGATTATGGAAGCTGCTTTATATCATTTTCATCTTCTTATACTTACTGAGACTCTTTTGTGGTTACACATATGGTCTTCCTGGAGGAATGTTTCATGTGTACTTGTGAAGTATGTGTATTCTCCTGTTGTTGGGTGGAGGGTCCTGTGTATATTGTATAGATCTAGTGTTGTTCAAGTGCTCTATCTGCTTATTGATCTTCTGCCTTTTATATTCAATATTGAAGGTGCAGTATTGATGTCTTCCACTATTATTATCTGCTTTTCCCTTCAGTTCTGTCAGTTTTTTCTTCATATAATTTGGGACTCTGTTGTTAGAGGCCTATATAGTTATAAATGTTATATCTTCTTTAATAGATTGGCCCTTTTATCAAAATATAATGCATTTCTTTGCATCTTGTAACAATTTTTGACTTAAAGTTTATTTTCTCTGATGTTTGTGTAGAGATCTGTTTATATTTTTGTTTCTTCTTGAGTTAGTTTTGGTAGAGTAGTGTGTTTCCAGCAATTTGTCCATTTTGTCTAGATTTGATGACTATTTGCACAAAATATCTTTTTTCATCCCTTTACTTTTAACCTATTTTTCTGTTTTTGCACCTAAGGTGAATCTCTTGCAGACAATAGTTAGATCCTGCATTTTTATCCATTATGTCCACTTCTGCCTTTTAATTGGTGCCTTTAAATTAAACCACTTATATTTGAAATTATTACTGATAAGGGAGGACTTACTTTTGCCTTTTTGCTGCACATTTTCTATGTTGTGTGGGTTTTTTTTACATTGACTATTTTTAGAGCAGTTTTTACAATTTTTACAGAAAAATTGAGCAAAGTATAGACACACACATTTTTACATGCAAATTTGTATGTAAAAAGTCATTAACAAACCCAAGGTCACTTTAATTTTCTTTGTTTCCAGCTTTCCAGTTTTGTGTATTTTACAAAGATGTCTGTGATTATATTATGAAGTTAATTTTGGTGAAAGGTATAAGTCTAGATTTATTTGCATGTGGATATCCAGTTGGTCAAGCATCATTTTTTAAATGACTATATTTTCTCCCTTGAATTGCCGTTTTTTTCCTTTGTGAATGATCAGTTGAATATATTAACATGGGTATATTTCTGGGATTTCTGTTCACTTACATTGGTCTCTTTGTCTGTTCTTTCATCAGTACTATACTATCTTGAATTCTGTAGTTTTATAGTAAGTCCTGAAGTTGGGTAATGTTGGTCCTCTGTATTTCTTGCCTTTAATAATGTGTTGGCTCTTCTAGGTCTTTTGCCTTTTCACATAAATTTTAGAATCAGTTTGTAGATAAACACAAAATATTTTACTGATATTTTGAGTGTCACTGAGTTTAAAGTATATATCAAATTGGCAAGAACTGACATTGTAACAATAGTGGATCTTCCTATCTATGAACATGGAATATCTTTTTATTTACTTAGATCTTTGATTTTTTTAATCAGAGTTTTACAGTTTTCCTCATACAGATATTGCACATATTTTGTTATATATTTCATTTTTGTTAGTGTAATGGCATTTCATTGTTTTCAAATTACAGTTGTTTATTACAAGTACATAGGAAAGCAATTGACTTTTTAAAACAATTTTTAACTATAAATTTAAGTTATACAACATGTTTATACACATATATGTATATATTAAAATAACTATTGCAAGTCAAGCAAACTAACATATCTATTATCTCACATCATTATCTTTCTTTTCCCCTCCACCCCATGGTAAGAGCATGACTCATGGTAAAATGACTCTTCTTGCAAGTTTTTAGCATATAATACCGTATTATTAACTAGAGTCCTCGTGTGGTACATCAGAACATCAGATCTCTAGATTTATTCATCCTTCTTAACTACAACTTTGTACACTTTGATTCACATCTCCTTATTACTCCCACCCCTGCCCTGCCCCTGGGTAACCACCATTCTACTTCCTGCTTTTATGTATTCAATGTTTTTTTTCTTAAAGTGAGATCATTCTGTATTTTTCTTTCTGAGCCTATAGTATTTCACTTAACATATGTCTTCAGGTTCATCTGTATTGTGGCAAATGGCAGAATCTCCTTTTTTAAGGCTGAATAATATTCCTCTGTGTGTGTGTGTGTATAATGCATTATTTATATATTTATTTATATCTATCCAGTCATCCATGATTGAACACTTAGGTTATTTCCATATCTTGGCTGTTATGAATAATGCTGCAGTGAACATGGGAGCATAGATAAATGTATGAGGTTGTGGTTTCATTTCTTTTGGATATGTACCCAGAAGAGGGATTGCTTGGTCAAATGGTAGTTCTATTTTTAATTTCTTTAGTAACCTCTATACTGTTTTCTACAATTGTTGTACCAACATACATTCCTACTAACAGCGTACAAGGGTTCCAGTTTCTCCACACCGTCACCACTACATTATCTATCATCTTTTTGACAACAGCCATCCTGCAGGCATGAGATGATATCCCATTGTGGTTTTCATTTGCATTTCCCTGATTATTGGTGATGTTAAGCACTTTTTCCTTTTTTTCTTCTCCTTCTGGCATTACCATTTTGTATATTATACAACTTATGCTATTATTCCACAGTTCTTGGATATTCTTTTCTTGTTTTTTTAATTCTTCTTTTGAGAAATTTCTACTGATGTATTTTCAAGCTTCAATCTATTTAATTCTTTCCCCCAGCCCCACTGATGGGCTCATCAAAGGCATTCTTCATTTTGGTTAAAGTGATTTTGATACCTAGCATTTCCTTGTGATTCTTAGAGTTTCCATTTCTCTCACTGCATTATCCATTCTGTTCTTGCATCTTGTCCCATTTTTTCCATTAGAACTCTTAGCATGTTATTCATAGTTATTTTACATTTCTGTACCATAATTCCCAAATCTCTGCCGTATCTGAGTTTGGTTTTGATGGTTGCTCTGTTTCTTGAAACTGTGTTTAATTGACTTTTAGTATGTTTTCCATTTTTGTGTGTGTGTATGTGTGTGGAAAGCTGAACATTATGCACTAGGTAGTAAAAAATTAGTTAAATAGTTCTTTTAGTGTGTGATATTTCTGTTTATCTGTCTGGGATTTGGGCTTTGTTTACTGTTTATCGTAGTACTAGAGGCTACATTTTTTTTTATCGTCTTGTTATTGTCTTTCCTATGGTCTTTGAGTGATATGGAGACTTTTTCTTGAATAAGACTTGAAATGCTTTCCATAATAACACCATGGCATTATACGGAACACTGTAAATATAGTGGTAATGTATGCATGTATGGGGGGTAAGCATCCTGTAAGTCTGTGATTTGCTCTCAGTTTTTTCAGAGAGCCTGAGTCCTTCGCCTGAGACCTTCACAAGTGCTTCTCTTTCTCAATTTACACTGAGAGGGCTAGAGGGGGTTTGAATTTGGTATTTCCCTTCCGCCAGGTCATTGAGACTCTGGTAAAAATGAAACTTTGTTAAGGTATTTCTCTTGAGGCGGGGTTTCCAAAATACTAGCTGTACTTCAGATGCTCCTGTTGTACTTTGGTTTGGTTTACTTCTAAGTGGTTACTTTTCTCCTTCCATTTGCTAGAAGCACAAGATTTTCCTCCAGTCTTAACCCTGAGAACTTGTGGGGTTTCCTAGACATAAAGCTCAGGGAAGTTTGGAAGCCCTCCCCTACTGCCCAAGAATACTCCTCATTGCAGTTTTAACTGTGGAGCTTGTCCACTCTGAACTTCTTAGCAGTCCCTCAATTATAATTTAAATTATCCTGGTAATGGCTCCAGTAGCAGGCTTCTGCTCCTGGTAAGTTGTGATTCTCTGTATACACCTATCTGCCTCTACATTTTTGGAAGCTGCAGTTTTCCCAGTGACCTCAATTTTCTGATGGGTCTAAGAAAAGTTGCGGATTTTTTTGTTGTTGATACAGGCCTGACAACTGACAAGTTCCGTAGATGTCAAATAGAAACCAGAAGATGTCTCATATCTTTTTTGTTTGATTGTCCCTGTTACTACCTTCTTTTGTGTTTCATTATTTATAGAATACCGTTTAAATTTCCTTCTCATTTCATTTTATTAATATATTTTAGTTGTTTTCTTGGTGGCTAACCTGAGAACTATAATTAGAATTTCAAACTTGTAAGAAACTAGTTTGAATTGATTCCAGCTTAGTTATAATAGTATTCCAAAACTCTGCTCCTGTGAAGGTCACTCCTTCTCTATGCTATTGTCCCTAATTACATTACTATATATTGTGTATCCACTAACATAGATTGTAATTATTGTTTTATTCATTTGTCATTATTATCATATAAAAAAGATGAGTGAAAAAAGAATACTGACTGTTATATTTATCTATATTTACGTTTTATATTTACCTAGATGTACTCCTGTGTAGTTACTTTTGCCAGTATTCTTTTTTTGTTTGTAGTAACAAGTTACTATCTATTCTTCATCAGCTGTTGATTTTTGGAAGATCGTAGATTCTCCTTCATTTTTGACAGCTTGTTTTGCCAGATACAGGATTCTTGGTTGAAGTGTTTTTATTTCAGTTCTTTAAATATATCATCCCACTGCCTTCTATCCTCTGTGGTTTTTCATGAAAAATCTGATGTTCGTCTTATTGTGGACACCTAGTATGTGACAAATTACTTCTTTCTTGCTGCTTTTAAGACTCTCTGTCTTTGATTTTTTAAAAAATGGTTGCCCATTTATTATAAATGATATTACAGAAGATACAGATGTACTGCCAGATGGAAAAGATGCACAGGGCAAGGCATGTGGGAAGGGGCCTGGAGCTTACATGCCCACTTTGGGCACACCACCACCCAGTATCTCTGCATGTTCAGCAACCTAGAAGCTTCTGTCTTTGATTTTTGAAAATTTCATTATAATTTGTCTCAGTGTGGGATTCCTTGTATTTACCCTATGTGGATTCTATTTATCTTGTATGTGTTTTATCAAATTTGGGAAATTTTGGCCATTATTTCTTCAAATACTCTTTTTGCCACTTTCTCATTTTTCTCTCCTTCTGTGTCTCCCATCATGTATATGGTGGTACACTTGATGTTGTTACACAGATGTCTTAGGTTCTCTTCACTTAAAATTTTTTTTTTCTTCTCTGACTGGATAATTTCAGTGAACTGTCTTCAAGTTCACTAATTCTTTCTTTTGCTTGCTCAAATCTGTTGTTGAAAATGTTTAGTGAATTCCTCATTTCAGTTGTTAACAATTTTCTGCTCCATAATTTTTATTAGATTTTGTCCTGTAACTTATTTTGCTTTATTGATAATCTCTATTTGTGAAGGCATCATTTTCCCTATTTAGTTCTTTGTTCATGGTTTTCTTTAGTTCTTTGAGCATATTTAAGATAGCTGATTTAGAGTTTTTATACAGCAAGTCCAATGTCTGTGTTTCCTCAGGGACAGTTTCTATTATATTTTGTTCTCTGTGAATGGGCCATACATTCTTGTTTCTTTATATAACTACTATTTTTTTTGAAAACTTTGCATTTTAAAATATTGTAATGGATACTTTTGAAATCAGATCCTTCTGCCTCTTCAGTGTGTATGTTTCTTGCTTGTATGAGTTGTAGTTGTTTGTTTCATAATTTTCTGCATCTTTTGTCATGTCCTCTGAGGTCTGTCTTCCATTTACCTGAACTTTTGTTACATACACATATTTAACCTTTGAATTCTCTTTGACCTTTGTGGTTAGCTACTGACTTGACAGAGATTTTCTTATATTCTGTGTTGAAGTTATCTTTTGTTGATTTAGCATTCACTTGGTTGTTGTAAACATTTGATCATTTTCTGGAGTTCTGACAAAAGTTGATTCTGACCATTTTTCTTCATTTTTTTCCATGTTTCTATGGAAAAAGGTGGCCAGCAGTTTTCTTCTTTACTATTTTTGCTGGCATCATTCCTATCTTCTTTATTTTTTAATCTTGTAGAAAACTTATCTTACAAAAAGCTAGGTGATTGTATACAGGATGAGGTTAGTCAACTAGCCTAAATAAAGAGGGGATGTGCGAGAAGCTTAGGAGGAGATAGCTGATGCAGAAAACATGAGTGTCATGTGGTTTGCCTGATATGGTGGGGATGGATATAATGTCTGTTGCCTGTTGACACCATTAATACTGGACTTGGGCTGAAACAGTCTCCTAGATATTTGTTACTTTAGCAATCTTTTGTGTATACTGATTCTGAAAAGATAGATAAGAAAAGACCTTATATTTCTTTTGATTCTATTTTGTGGTTTCTGACAGTTTTGCATTAGTTTCATGAATAGTAGATCTTAATGAATGTTAAAAATTGCCTTAAACTTGTATAAAGATTCAAAAGTAAGAAAATTTTACATTATCGTGATGATTCAATCTCATAATCATTTTATGATGCATTGGTAGACTCAGGTCTGCCACCTTCTGAATTACTTTGTGGACAGTCCATTCAAAAGCTGTACCTTAGGTTATTAATACTTAAAAGACCTGGCTACAGTTTGCTAGTGCTTTTCATAACTCTACGTATATTTCTTTTCTTTCTTTTTTTTTTTTTTGAGACAGAGTCTCACTCTGTTGCCGAGGCTGGAGTGCAGTGGCGTGATCTCAGCTTACTGCAACCTCCACCTTCCAGGTTCAAGCGATAAAATTTAGAGATTTAACTTTTCTTGGGCCTAGATTTAGATAATCTCATTTTTTAAAAGGACTTAAGGTAAAAATAGAATATAAATAAAACCTTTTCTCCCCCAAGTCTGTGACCCTAGTTGGACCTCTGTCTGAAATTAACTGATCTAATTTTATAAAATCACTAGGTTGGATTTTGTTGTCTTGTCTATAATATTGTATAGTACCTCATAATATCAACTCAGATGGCAAGAGTGAAGTTTCACACCATGTATGGGTTTGGGAAGGTATGAAAGAAATATGTTTAAACAACAAAATAAAGATTTCCCATTATTCTGGGAATATACTCTGCATATATTCATACTTTTATGATCAATTTTATGATCTTCATATCAACAGTTGTCCATCAGACATATTTTACATGACATACTAGGTAAATGTTGGTAAAGGAGAGTAAGGATCCCTCTTCAAGATTATATTATAGTAAAAAGAAAATATTCATATAATAATAGTACAACTTATGTAAATACTGTAGAAGAGTTACCAAGTGTTTTATGGGTTCTAAGGAAGTGAAGATGTTATTAAGGAGATGAACACTTAAGGAGGCCCATGAAAAATTATTGGTGTTTTGGAAGAATTTTATGGAAAATGAACAACTTAAAGTCATGTACACAGGCATCATAGAGCAATATTTGGAGTAGAATAGCGAATGGATAGCATCCAAGTAGAGTTATGGGAAAAACAAAATTGTCAAGATTGGTAGATAAATTATAGAGATTTTCATTGCTGGGGTAAAGTATTTGTTTTTAAATATATCCTCATAACTGGAAAGGGTGACAAAAATCACATTATTCAGCCCCTTGTTTTACAAATTGGAGTAGAGGCCTCAAATGTTATTTTACATTATACCTGTGTTTATTAGTAGACCTCCTATAGAACTCAGGCTAGAAATCAGATTTCTTTCCATGTATTTTTTAAGTCTTGTAGTACAATAGGAACATTTCTCAGATGATCTTGCAGAGACAGTACTCATTTCTACATTGCTAAATTCAATGGGATTTTGTTGATTTTGTTCACTTATGTATCCCAAGCACCTAGAGTAATTCCTGGCACACAGTAGGCTCCTGGCAATTATTTATTAAATAAATGAATGTATGTCTGAATGTAAATATTCATCATTTTAGTTACCATGGCCCCTACTAAAATCCAACCTCATTTCCCTTTCCAGTATTGTGATCAGAGTTTGTCCTACCTCTATCATTTTGCAGCTAGAGATTAAGAATTGAGTTAAATGACACACAGTATATTATATAGAGTTAAATACAGTATTGAATGAATGCACATAAATGTATACATACATATACATATGTATGTTATTAAAATTGAAACAAATCTGTTGCTCAGATTTTACAAAATCAACAGCCAAACATTATCAGGAAAGTTGATTAATTCTTAAGTTCACTGAAGAAATAAGGTTGTCTTGATTTATAGAAAGCAAATTGTTGACTTAGGTTTTTTGCTGAAGAGTCATTTAGCACTAGGAAAATTGCTTAATATTTTAATGGAAGAGAAATGTTAGAATATCCTTTCATTTTTCAAAATCCAATTTAAATATTGTGACAGAATACATTATACCCATGATAAAATATAATATATTTTCTCAGTTTCATCTCTAGACACTGAAAAAGGACCCAAGCGATGTACAGACCATAACTGTGAACCTTACAAAAGACTTTTTAAGGTATGTTATGTGAGGCTGGTAAAAGGAAAAAAAAAGTTAAATGAACATGCCCCATGTGTAAGTAAGCATCCTAGCTATTTATAAAATACGTTGAATCCCCACAGTTAAGGATTTCAACAATAAAAATAAAACTTTACCCACTAATAAAAGATAAGACATTAATAGAATGTATCTTTATAAAATACTTTCAAATTTAGCCTTTTGTAATTGGTTATATGAAGAAGAATGGTTTTTCTATTTGTTTTGCCTTATTTGCTATTGCTAATTAATTTATAGTTATTATTCAGATAGAATATTGTCCATGTTACCATTGTCCATCATAAATAACAAGCAAATTTGAACCATCTTTTAATCTATTTTCATATTGCTTTGCTCCATACCCGGCATCCTGTACCTATGCTTAGGGTGAAAATGATGCTATATCTTCTAGAAGGAATTTAAATTAGTTGTTTTTTACATTATACTTAACATATTGTTCATGTTCAATGAATTTATGACAATATCTTCCTATGCCTAATTATAATTTACTGACCATAAACACATTGTAAACAGTAATATTTTTAAATGTTTGACATATATAATTATTTACATTATAATGGTTGTAAAGTGTTTCTACTAAAGGTATAAGTATTGTATACAGAGATCAATATCCATTATTTTTGCCTAGTGAAATTGACAAGGGGATTCTTTCTTAATTTGTACTCAGTAAGCCTCCTGAAATATAGTTTAAGTCAGGCATCCCCAACTCCTTGGCCACAGACTGGTACCAATCCATGGCCTGTTAGGAACCAGGCCATACAGCAGGAGGTGAGTGGCAGGCTAGAGTGAAGCTTCACTGTGTTTATAGTCCCCCATCCCCATCGCTTGTATTACCACCTGAGATCTGCCTTCTCCTGTCAGATCAGATCAAGCGCAGCATTAGATTCTTATGGGAGTGCAAATGCTATTGTGAACTGTGCATGTGAGGGATCTAGATTGTGTATTCCTTATGAGAATCTAATGCCTGATGATCTGTCACTGTCTCCTGTCAACCCCAGATGGGACCTTCTAGTTGCAGGAAGACAAGCTCAGAGCTTTCACTGATTTTACATTATGGTGAGTTGTATAATTATTTCATGATTTATTACAATGTAATAATAATATAAATAAAGTGCACAATAAATGTAATGCCCTTGAGTCACCCTCGAACCATCCCCCACCCTCCCAGTCTGTGGAAAAATTGTCTTTCATGAAACCAGTCCCTGCTGCCAAAAAGGCTGGGAACTGCTGGTCTAAGTCATTAATTCACATATTATCTCATATCTTCATTTAAAAAATTTTCTTAAGCATTACCTCTCTTCCTTGGGATAGGTTTTCTTCTTTTTAACTCTTGAAATAAGATTTAGGATTTGAGGCACCATGAAGAGAGCACTTAATCTTAATTTTCTTCTCTCAGTTTTTAATATGTGAGTACTGTGATAAACATTAGTCAGTTATTACCTAAAACATCTTTTACCCTCTACCAGTCTTAAACAGTCACAGACCCTGAGCTAGGATAATTTATTTGGAAATGGGGTTGGAATGTGTGTTAAAGCATAGGGATTAGGAGTAGGGGAAGGAATCTGACCCATTTTATTATTTTCCCTGATGGTGGGCTCAAGGTGATAATTGTTTGAGCTTTCTTATGTCATTTTTATTTATTCTTTTTTCTTTTACATTCAGGGGGTACATGTGCAGGTTTGTTACATGGGTAAATTCCACATCGTTGGGGTTTGGTGTACAAATAATTTTGCCACCCAGATAGTGAGCATAGTACCTGATAGGTTGTTTTTCAACCCTCACCTTCCACCCTCAAGTAAGCTCTGGTGTCTGTTGTTCCTCTCTGTGTCCATGTGTGCTCAATGTTTAGCTCCCACTTATAAGTGACAACATGTGGTATTTGGCTTTCTGTTTCTGCATTAATTTGTTGAGGATAATGGCCTCCAGCTGCATTCATGTTGCTGCAAAGGACATAATTTAGTTCTTTTTTATGGCTGCATAGTATTCCATGGTGTATAGGTACCACATTTTCTTTATCCTGTCTACCATTGGTGGGCATCTAGGTTGATTCCATGTCTTTGCTATTGTAAATAGTGGCAGTGAACATATACATCCATGTGTCTTTATAGCAGAATGATTTATATTCCTTTGGGTATGTGCCCAGTAATGGGATTGTTGGGTCAAATTGTAGTTCTGTTTTAATTTCTTTGTGAAATTTCCGAACTGCTTCCCACAGTGGCTAAACTAATTTACATTCCCACCAGCAGTATAGAAGTGTTCTCTTTTCTCTATAACCTTACCAACATCAGTTATTTTCTGACTTTTTAATAATAGCCATTCTTACTGGTATGAGATGCTATCTCATTGCGGTTTTGATTTGTTTTTCTCTCATGATTAGTGATGTGGAGCATTTTTTCATATGCTTTTTCATATGCTTGCTGGCTCCCTATATGTCTTCTTTTGAGAAGTGTCTGTTCATGTCCTTTGCCCTTTTGTTAATGGGGTTGTTTGTATTTTGCTTGTTAAGTACTTCATAGATTCTGGATATTAGACCTTTGTTGGATACATAGTTTGCAAAAATTTTCTCCCATTCTGTAGGTTTTCTGTTTACTGTGTTGATAGTTTCTTTTGCTGTGCAGAAGCTCTTTAGTTTAATTAGGTCCCATTTGTCTATTTTTGGTTTTGTTGCAATTGCATTTGGAGACTTCATCATGAAATCTTTGCCAAGGCCTATGTTCAGAGTGGTATGTCCTAAGCTTTCTGCTAGGGTTTTTAATAGTTTAAATCTTTAATCCATCGTGAGTTGATTTTTATATATGGTGAAATGAAGGGATGAAATTTCAATCTTTTCTACTGAAAGGCAATTTTATCACTATGCTTTATATAGAAACACAAAATAATTTTTAAAGCTTCCAAACAATGAAGCTTTGAGTACAAGAGGTCTGTAGTTTCATTAAGTTAATTTGTTCCTTTTCCTCCCCCAAATATCTGCTGTCTGACTTTTCCTGTCCCATGGAAACTTTTTTTTTTAATGCAATATGTTTATCTTTCTTTCTTCTTCAGCACAGAAGTTTCTTATTTGGTTTGCTACAGCAAAATAAAGAACAGCTGGGACTTTTCTGTCTTGATGATAGTATAAGAACAGTATATTGGCATATGTAAAAAGAATTCAGAATTTGCAGGCAATGGTATTTTCACAAAAGCACCTTCATTTAAAAATCTGAAAAATTATTTGATGTATTTGTCTCATTGTTGGTCTCATTTGCCTTTCAACTTTAGTACCTTTTCATCTTGTGTTAGCATCTTATATATTATTAAATACAATCTTTTGATTTTAGGAAGATTTAAGTAACTGAAATTGTCTCCAGACTACAGTAAGGCCAAATTTACTTTGGCATACTTGTCCCAGTGATGTTGTATCTAGCTTTTGAAGATTTGTTTTAAATATGTTGTATTAGGCTGGGAGTGGTGGCTCAAGCCTGTAATATCAGCACTTTGGGAGGCTGAGGCGAGTGGATTACTTGAGGTCAGGAGTTCGAGACCAGCCTGCCCAACATGGAGAAACCCCATCTCTACTAAAAATAAAAAAAATAGCCGGGCGTGGTGGTAGGTGCCTGTAATCCCAGCTACTCAGGAGGCTGAGGCAGGAGAATCACTTGAACCCGGGAGGTGAAGGTTGCAGTGAGCCAAGATCACACCACTGCACTCCAGTCTGGGCAACAAGAGTGAAACTTCGTCTCAAAAAAAAAAAAAAAAGAAAAAGAAAGAATAAATAAAAAATGATAAATAAATATATTTCTTAAGTGTACCATTTTCGTTCCACTCTTCTCTGTTTTGTCAGTCCTTATGCTAGTGCCATACTTTCTTCATTATCTTTTGTCAGTAGTGTTTTTAACTTCGATTTTTTGTCAAGGTTGTTCTGGATGTTCTAGGTTCCTTTCCTTTCCAAGAAAATTTAGAATCAGCCTGTATGTCAATTTTCTCAAAAAGGACTGCTTGGGTTAGGATTGGAGTTTCCTTGAAATGATCAATTTGGTGAGAAGTGCCATTTTAATAGTATTCAATCTTCCAGTACATGAAAATGCTACATTTCTCTCTCTAGGTTTTAAAAAATTAATATATATGATTATTTGGAGATGAATAATATATTGTCTCCTCCTTCAGAGAAGTTCATGGGAAAGTAGGAGAATCAACATATAGACAGGTTACCTTATGTATGCAATGTAGTAGTTACTGTAACAGAAATAGATAAAGGATGATAGGATAATATATAATTGATTAATATTTTTCTAGAAGTTGAAGAAGAAAAACAATGCCACTGCCATATATAGCAGATGGTATTTACTCATTCATCCATTTATTTTAAGTATGTTTGCAAGTCAAGCTATCATAGTGTCATTATATTCAAATAATTGTGTAATTACTTGACTCAAGTTTTCAGTTGAAAATCAGACCAAGTGGAGCTTGATTACAACCCAGAAAGTAATCTATTGAGTCTTTCATATCGGGGTCATCTCTGACATATCACTCTTAAGAAAGATGACTAATATTCCCTAATATTAAAAAAAGATTTTAATTGGGTAAAGTTTATATTGGAAAATTCGTAATCCATTATTTTTTCATCTCTTTACAATATTATTAATAAAAATTAGTCTTTGAAAGGAGAAATGCCATTGTCTTATGTTTTTCAAAATAGACTATTATTACCTAGAATTGGAAATAGTATAATAATAAATATAAGAAGACATTTGCTACTGATGGCTTTAGACAGAAATTTTATTTGCAATATATTTATATTTGTGTAATGTTGAACTTCTGTACATGCCAAAAGAACTTCATTACATGGTGGTCTCCTTCATGAGCTCTCCCATGGAAATTACTCTATTCTTTACAGTCAGAGAAATGTGATGCCTTTCTTCAATCACTGTTACATTATGCAGGTTTTTATATTTCTCTTTTTCAACTTCATACATCAAGTGACATTATAACAACTATACTGTAAAATAATTTAAATAACTATATTATAAAATAATAGGGCTTGGGTTGGAACAGTCTTCTATGTAATAATTTTATCTCTGCAGAATTAAATATATCAATTTGAAAAAAATTATCTTCTTTTTGCATTTTTTAGTGTAAAGGTCTTATATTCATTTGGGTTAAATTTATTCCTAAGTTTTTTGTGGGGGATTTGGATGCTATTTTAAATGGAATATTAAAAAATTCACCTGCTAGTTGTTTCAATTTTCAGCAGATATTTTCATATTATCCTTGTATCATGCCACCTTGCTAAATTAACTTGTTAATTATAGAGTTTTTTTACAGATTACTGAGGATTTTCTATGTAATCTATCATGTCATCTGCAAATAGAGACAGTGTTACTTCATTATTTTTATTTTTGTACATTTTATTTATGTATTCTGTTTTCTCTGAATACCTGTAATCTACAGTACAACATTGAATAGATGTGGCAAGAATGGGTGTCCTTTTCTTTCTCCTGATCCTAAAGGGGGAAGTACCATCTAGTATGATGCAAACTCTAGGTTTTCATAGATACCTTTTATCAGAATGAGGAAGTTCTCTTCTATTCCCAATTTACTGGGAGATTACATTACAAATGGGTGTTACATTTTTCAAATATTTTTTCTGATCTTGTTGAAAACAACTTATATCTGCATTATATTTGTTAATGTTTTATTAAGGATCTATATATATAAGTTATATATCATGTTATTTTTTGTAATGTCTTGGTCAGGTTTTGATATTTGGACTATAGTGGCCTTGCAAAATGACTTGTAACTGTTTCCTTCTCTTATATTTTCTGAAAATGTTTTTAGTTATTAGTTTACTTTCCTTAAGATGTTTGATAGAATGCACTAGTTGAAGCACTGGGTCCTGTAGTATTCTTTGTGGGTAGGTTTTCAATAAGTAATTATATCTGAAGTACATGTAGGGATATTTGGATTTTCCTGTTCATTTTGTTCACTTTTAGTGAGTTGCGTGTCTCAAAAATCTCATATATTGGATCAAAATTGTCAAATTTTTCTGGCATGAAATTGCTTCTAATATTATCTTTCTGATATTTGTAAGATTTGTAGTGATTATCTCTCTTTTCTGATATGTTGAGTGGTATGTGTTCTCTCTCATTTTCAGTTTTTTTTCTAATTTCCTTCTTTTTTTTTTTTTCTTTTTTGAGACGGGGTCTCACTCTGTCGCCTAGGCTGGAGTGCAGTGGTGCAGTCTTGGCTCACTGCAACTTCTGCCTCCCAGGTTCAAGCAATTGTCCTGCATCAGCCTTCTGATTCACCACCATGCCCGGCCAATTTTTGTATTTTTAGTAGAGACGGGGTTTTACCACGTTGGTCAGGCTGGTCTCAAACTGCTGACCTTGTGATCCGCCCGCCTTGGCTTTCCAAAGTGCTGGGATTACAGTCATGAGCCACCACACCTGGCCCCTTCTTTCTTTTTGATTCTTGAGTTATTTAGTAGTGGGTTGCTTAATTTCCAGATTTTGGGAATTTTCCTAATATCTTATTATCAATTTCTAGTTTAATTCTGTTTTGGTTAAAGACACACTGTGTATATTTTAAGTCCTTCTGAATTTATTCAACATGCTATTTAGCCTTGCGGAATATATTATGTACATATTAAAATACTCTGTAGATGTTGGGTGTAATGTTTTATAATTAACTAAAAGTGGATGGTGGTGTTGTTCAGATCATCTCTGTCATGGGTTGGCAAATTTTCCTTGTGAAGGACCACATAGTAAATATTTTAGACTTTGTGGGCAACATGGTTGTCTGTTCACTTTACTGATTATTTCCTTTGTTGTGCAGAAGCTTTTTAGTTTAATTAAGTCCCATCTGTTTATCTTTGTTTTTGTTGCATTTGCTTTTGCATTCATCGTCATGAACTCTTTGCCTAAGCCAGTGTCTAGAAGAGTTTTCCAGTGTTATCTTGTAGAATTTTTATCGTTTCAGGTCTTAGATGTAAGTTTTTGATCCATATTGAGTTGATTTTTGTATAAGGTGAGAGATGAGGATCCAGTTTCATTCTCCTACATGTGGGTTGCCAATTATCCCAGCACCATTTGTTGAATAGGGTGTCCTTTCCTCACTTTATGTTTTGGTTTACCTTGTTGATGATCAGTTGACTGTAAGTATTTGGCTTTATTTCTGGGTTCTGTATTCTGTTCCATTGGTCTGCATGCCTGTTTTTATACAGTACTATGCTGTTTTGGCAACTGTAGTTCATAGTATAGTTTGAAGTCGGGTAATGTGATGACTCCAGATTTGTTTTTTTTTTTTTTTTTTTTGCTTGGTCTTGCTTTGGCTATGTGGGGCCTTTATATTGGTTCCATATAAATTTTAGGATTATTTTTTCTAGTTCTCTGAAGAATGATGATGGTATTTTGATGGGAATTGCATTGAATTTATAGGTTGTCCTTGGTAAGATGGTCATTTTGACAATATTGATTCTACTCATCCATGAGCGTGGATGTGTTTCCAGTTGTTAGTGTCATCTATGATTTCTTTCAGCAGTGTTTTATAGTTTTTCCTGTAGAGATCTTTTACTTCCTTTATTAGGTATATTCCTAAGCATTTCACTATTTTTGCAGTTGTTATAAAAGGAGTTGAGTCCGTGATTTGATTCTCAGTTTGGTCGTTGGTGGCGTACAGCAGTGCAACTGATTTGTGTACATTGGATTTTATGTCTTACATTTCCCGTCAAAGATGTGATAACGTTTTAGTAATTTTCTATAAGGCATGAGATTTAAGCTAAAGATTATTTTACTTTTTTTTTTTGCCTATGGATGTCCAATTGTTCCAAAATCATTTGTTCAAATGCCATCTTTTCTCCATTAAGTAGCTTTTGTATCTTCATTAAAATACAGTTGAACATATTTGTGTGGGACTATTTTTGGGTTCTTTATTCTGTTTCATTGTTCTGTGTCTTCTAATATCACATGGTCTTGACTACTGTAGCTATCTAGTAAGACTTACTAATGGTAGCGTTATTCATCCCACTGTATTCTTGTTAAGATTGTTTTAGCTACTTTAGGGTCATACCTTTCTATATACATTTTGAATAAGCTTGTAGATGTGTACAAAAATCATTTTGGGATTTTGATAGGGATTGTGTTAAACCTATATATAATTCTGGGGAAAACTTACATTTTTACTATATTGATTCTTCCAGTCCATGAACATGATATGTCTCTACATCTTCTTAGGCCTGCTATTTCCTCTATCAGTATTTTGTAATTTTCAGTATACAGATCTTTTATGTGTTTTAATAAGTTTGTATGTAATTATTTCCTCTTCTTTGGAGTTATTTTGAAGAACGTTATGTTTTAATTTTGGTTTTCAAATGTTCATTATTAGTGTGTTCAAATGCAATTTATTTTTATGTGTTGATATAGTTTCTTGTAAACTTGATATATTAAATTATTCTAGACTTTTTTCATTTTGTTTTGTTTTGTTTTGCATTCTTTGGGATTTTCTATCACAATTACGTCAGCTGTAAACTGAGATAGTTTCATTGTTTCCTCTGTGTTTTATAAATAGGGAGTAAGTCTCACTCGTGAGATGTTTAGGGATGGTTCTAACATGACCACAGAAATTATATTCAGAGAGATATACGAAATTAAAGGATTTTTAATACCCACCAGCCCTAGAGATAGGGGCATGGCATGGCAAGCAGGAGGCCTTGTGGTAGGAGCTTTCAGAGAGTAAGTGCAACCAAGCAAGTGGGGAGCCTGCTGGGGTAAGTGGGGTGCAGAATGAGAGACAGAATAGAGAACCATTGGGCAAATGCCTTAATCAGGGTCAGCAAGAAGGTGAACTTGTGGCAGGTTCACTGCTGGACCTGGCCATCTGGGTGGGGTGCTCACAGTCTGTTTGAGAGGACGTTGAAATATCAGGGAAGAATTAAGTTTTAAGAATTTACAAAACATACCCAATCAGTATGTGCTTTTTTTTTTTTTTTTGAGACAGAGTCTTTCTGTCACCCAGGCTGGAGTGCAGTGTTACAATCTTGGCTCACTGCAACCTCCACCTAGCAGGTTCAAGTGATAATCCTGCCTCAGCCTCCCAAGCAGCTGGGATTACAGACACGTGCCACCGCACCTGGCTGATCTTTTTTGTATTTTTAGTAATGACTTGGTTTCACCATGATGGCCAGGCTGGTCTTGAACTCCTGACCTCAGGTGATCCACACAGCTTGGCCTCCCAAAGTACTGAGATTACAGGCATGAGCCACTAGTACCTGGCCCAGTATGTGTCTTCATTTACTCTTTTGCTTATTGCAAAATGAGCACTGTGCCTGGCCCAGTATGTGTCTTTATTTACTCTTTTGCTTATTGCAGTGGCTAAAACATCCAGTACTGTGCTTAATAAAAGTGGTGAGGGTGGACATCTTTTCCTTGTTCTCCAGCGATGGGGAAGGCATTCATCTTTTCACCATATTGTTTGTAGATGCTTTTTAGAAATCATTTTGACCATGTATACGAGGACTTATTTCTGGTTTCTGTATTCTGTTCCATTGGTCTGTTTGTCTGTCTTTATGCCAGTACCATACTGTTTTGATTACTGTAACTTTGTAGTAAGTTTTGAAATCAGGGTGTGAGCCTTTCAGTTTTTCTGTTCGTTTTCAAGATTGTTGGGCAAGTAAGGGTCTCATGAGATTTCATATGAATTTGAGGATGGGTTTTTCTATTTCTGCAAAAAAAATGGCATTGGCATTTTGATAGGGATTGTATTAAATCTATAAATAGCTTTGGGTTGTATTAACATCTTAAATGTGTTAATGCATGAAAATGTGATGTCTTTTCCTTTATTTGTATCATTTTAAGTATTTTTCAGCAACATTTTCTAATTTTCAGCATACAAGTTTTTCATATCCTTGGTTAAATTTTTTAACTAAGTGTTTTATTCTTTTTTGATGCTATTGTAAGTGGAATTGTTTTCTTAATTTCCTTTTGGTATAGTTTGTTTTTAATGTATAGGAAAACAACTGATATTTGCATGTTGATTTACTGTCCTGCAAGTTTGCAGAAATCATTTATTGCAGTGTTGTTATGTTTTTTGGTGTGGAATCTTACAAGTTTTCTGTATGTAAGATCATGTCATCTGTAAACAGAGATAATTTTATTTTTTCCTATATAGTTTGGATTTATTTTATTTCATTTTCTTGCCTAATTGCTGTTCCTAGGAGTACTGGTGCTGTTTTGAAAATAAGAGGCAAAATCAGGCATCTTCGTCTTATTTGTAATCTTAGTGGGAAAGCTTTCAGTCTTTCAATATTGAGTATGATGTTAGTGGTGGACTTTTGTTATATGGCCTTTATTATGTTAAAGTAGTTTTCTTTTATTCTGAAGTTTTTTTAGTGTTTTATTATGAAAGTGCATTAATTTTTAAAAAATACCTTTTCTACATCGGTTGAAAAATATATATTTTTTCCTTCATTCTCTTGTGATGTATTACACTGATTGATTTTTGTATGTTGAAACATCTTAACATTTCAGCAATAATCATTCTTGGTCATGGTGTACAATCATTCTTTTAATGTGCTGTTGGATTCTGCTTTGTTGAGAGTTTTCTATCTCAGTATTCCTCAGGGATATTCATTCATGGTTTTCTTTTCATGTAGTCTTTGTCTTGCCTTGGATTAGGGCAGTATTGGCCTCATAGAATGAGTCTAGAGGCTTCTGTCTTCTACAGTTTTTGAGACTTTAGGAAGATTGATTTTAATTCTTCTCTAAATGATCAGTGACATTGTTACCGATAAAGCCATCTGGTTCTGGGCTTTTCTTTGTTGGAAAGTTTTTTGTTACTGATTCAATTTCCTTACTAGTTACAGGTCTACTCAGGCTTTCTGTTTCTTCATGATGCAGGCTTTGTAGGTTGTATGTTTCTAGGACTTTGTCCATTTTATCTAGGTTATCCAATTTGTTGACATACTTTTTCTTTCAGTCCATTTGGAATGCTATAAAAATACCTTAGAAAGGGTAATTTATAAATAATAGAAATTTATTTCTCACAGTTCTGGAGGCTAGAAATGCCAAGCTCAAGGTTTCAGCAGATTTGGTATCTTGTGAGGGCTCACTGTCTGTTTCATAGAGATAGTGCCTTCTCTTGGTTGGTTCTCACATAGTAGAAGGAACAACAGCTCCCTTCAGCCTCCTTTATTAGGGCACTAATCCCATTCATGAGGATCCTGCTCTCATGACTTGATCACCTCCCAAAGGCCCTACCTTGGCATTTAAGTTTCAACATATGAATTTTTGGGGGACACATTCAGACCATAGTGCAATTGTTTATAATATTCTCTTATTTTTTTACTTTCTGTAAAATGGGTTGTACTTCTTCACTTTCAGTTCTGATTTTAGTTTTCTTCTCCCTTTTTCTTAGGTAATCTAGCTAAACGTTTATCAGTTTTGTTGATCTTTTCAAAGAAGCAATTCTTGTTTTGGTTAGTTTTCTGAATTTTTCTATCCTCTATTTTGTTTATCTCTGCTGTAATCTTTTAAATTATTTTCCTGTTGCTATATATAGGTGTAAATTGTTCTTTTTCTAATTCTCTAGGTTGTAAAGGTAGGTTGATTTGAAATGTTTATTCCTTGTGTAAGCATTTATAGCTATAAGTTTCCTTCTAAACACTGCTTTAACTGAATCCCATAAATTTCCCTTGTGCTTTCTTCTCTGACCCTTTTGTGTTTAGGGATATCTTGTTTAATCAATAGATGTGGATTTTCCAGTATTTAATTTAATCATATTAAATTAGAAACGGAAAATTGATTGGAAAAGATTCTTTGTATTATTTCAACCTTTTACATTATAAATATTTGTTTTGTGGCTTTACGTATGGTCTACCCTGGAGAATGTTCCATGTGCACTTTAGGAAAAAGTATTTTGTCATATTGGGTGGAGTGTTCTGTGCATCTTTTAGGTCCTGTTGATCTATGGTATTGTTCAGGTTCTCTATTTACATACTAATCTTTATGGTTGTTCTGTCCATTACTAAAAGTGGGGTATTTTTGTTGTGTATTTCTCTCTTCAATTCTGTCCATATTTGCTCCATATCTTTAGGCGTTCTCACGTTTGGTGTATATATATTTATGATTATTATAGCTTGTTGTTGAATTGGCCCTTTCATCATTATATAATGCTATGTCTCCTGTAACCATTTTTTGACTTGTCTGTTTTTTTCTGATATTAGTATGCTCTTTTTTGAATACTATTTTCCAAGGAATATCTTTTTCCATCCTCTCACTTCAACCTGTATGTATTTTTAAATCTAAAGTGAATTTCTTATAGAAAGCATATCGTTAGAACCTGATATTAATGTAGGCAAAACACACACACACACACACACACACACACACACACACACACACACATATATAGTTATGAAGTTTAACTCATTTATATTTAATGTAATTACTATTAGGGAAGAACTTACTATTGACATTTTGGGGTTTTTTGTACGTCTTAGAGCTTTTTTGCCCTCTTTTCCTCCCTTACTCTCTTCCTTTTTGTGTAGTTGATCTCCCATAGTGCCATGCTTTGTTTCCCTTCTCATTTCCTTTTGTGTATATTGTATAGATATAGTATTTGTGATTGCCTGGGGCATTAGATAGAACATCTTAAAGTTATAACAATCCATTTTAAACTGATAACAACTTAATGTCAGTCATGTGCAAAATCTATACTCCTTTATAGCTCTGCACCTTCCCATATTTTGATGTCACAAATTACAATTTCATATTCTGTGTGTCCATTAATATAAATTTATGCTTTTGGTTTTTAAATCTTTTAAGAGTTAAAAATTGACTTACAAACCAAAATTACAACAATGCAGGGTTTTATATTTTTCTATATATTTTTGTTTACAGAATTACTTTATATTTTTATAAGACTTTGATTTATTCTCTAGAGACCTTTCATTCCAAGTAGACACACTCTGCTGGTGGTAATTAACTTCCTCAGTTGTTGTTTATCTGAAAATACTCTAATTTCTCTTTCATTCTTTGAAGGACAGTTTTGTTATATGTAATTTACAGTTGACAGCATTTAAAATTTTTTTAGCACTTGAAATATATCATCCTACTATCTTCTGGCCTCCATGGTTTCACTAAGAAATCAGTCAATGATCTTACAGAGTTTCTCTTGCCTTTTTTTTTTTTAAAATGATTCAGTTGTTTTCTTTGACAGTTTAATGATAACTTCTGCTTATATCGTATCTTTAAATTATTACTACTTAGCATTCACTGAGCTTTATGTATTTTTGTGGCCATTTCTGTCTGTATAAATTTGGAAAATTTTCAGCCATTTTTATTTAAATAAACTCTCTGCCCTTTTCCCTCTCTCCACCTTGGATTCCCATAATGCTTATGCTGATCAACTTGATATGGTATCTCACATATCGCTTAGGTTCTATTCATATTTCTTCATATTTTAATCTTTTTCCTCCACAGATGCTAATTTCAAATGACCTGTTTTCAAGTTGACCAATTGTTTCTTCTGCCTCATTGATTCTGCTGTTGAATCTCTATAGCAATTAATTTTTCACTTCAGTTATTATGCTTGTAACCTCCAGAATTTCTGTTTGGTTTTATTATTTCTGTCTATTTGTAGATTGTATTAGGGTTTTCCAGAGGGACAGATCCAATAGGATATATGTATCTATAATAGGGAGTTTATTAGGGAAGATTGGCTCACAGAATTATAAGGCAAAATCCAGTGGAAGGCTCTTTGCAAGCTGGGGAAAGACAGAAGCCAGTAGTGGCTCAGTCCTAGAATGAAAGACTCAAAACCAGGGAGGCCTACAATGTAGCCCTCAGTCTGAGGCCAAAGGCCTGAGAGTTCCTGGAAGACTGCTGTTGCAGGTCCCAGTCCCTGAGTCCAAAGGCTAAAAAACCTGGAGTTTGACATCCCAGGGCAGGAGGAAAGGAGGCAAGCATCTGGCATGGGAAGAAAAAAAAAAGAGAGCTAGAGGACTCAGCAAGCAAACTTATCCCACTTTCTTCCACCTGCTTTGTTCTAGCTGTGGTGGCAGCTGAACAAAGTGCAACCCACTTTGAGGATGGGTCTTCCTCTCCAGGTCCCCTGACTCACATGTCAGTCTCTGCTGGCAACACCCTCACAGACACACCCAGAAAAGTGCTTCACCGGCCATCTAGGCATCCCTCAATGCAGACATGCTCATGTTATTATTATTATTCTAATTTTGTTCATAAACTGCTTTCCTGATTTTGTTCATCTATCCATGTTCTCTTTTATGTAATTAAGCATATTTAGGGAAATTTGTAAAAATTATTTGTCAGTTCAGTAAGAGATGTGTGTTTTTTAGGGTTGGTTTCTGAAGATTTATTTTTATCTGTGGAATGTGCAATTTTTTTTCCTGTTTCTTTATATACTTTGTAAACATTTGTTGAAATTTGAGTGTTTAACAAATAGCCACTTTTCCTTGTCTCTGTGGACTGGCTTAGTGCAGGAGAAGTACTTCCCCAATTACTCCATTATATGAGTTCTGGGTCCCTTCAAACTTGTTCTGCAGTTCCAGCACACCACATCACCTGCCTTTGCTGTCAGTGGCCTCCAATCTGGTATCCAAACTATGCCACTCTTTCCATCAGCTCTCCAAGTTAAGTGAGACAGAAATTAGTCTCTCAAGTAGTTCCCCAGACCAGCTAGAATGCTGTAAGCACATTCCACACCTTTTCTTCTCTCTCTAGGGAGGAATGAAGAATTGGGCATCCTCACTTCAACTGCACTGTGCTGTGCCACTGGAGGTGAGGTGGGATAGTCTGAGCTAGAGTGAGCAAAATATAATGACATTTTCTCCTCTTCTAATTGCAGCTTTTTCTTGGCCAAGCATTAAAGTTAGGTTCTGCAGCTTCTTAGCTAGTTTCTAGAGTTCTTACAAAGCCATTTTAATCCATATATTATTGTTTATTCAGGGTTTCCATGGGGGAAAAAGGACATGAAACTTCCTAGTCTGCTGTCTTGTTGATGTTACTTCACGTGGAATTTTTATTTCATTTTCAAATCAAATTAGAATCCAGAAGAATCAACTCATGATAATACTATGTTAACAGTATATTTGTGTATTTCCCATACCATTTTCAGTACTAGTATGTCTTTTAGGGTTTTTCCTCCAAAACAAGTAGGGAATTATTAGCAAATTGTGTCTGTAGAATAATTTCTGTTTTAGCTTTGGAATAACACATTGCATTTTTGCATGGACGAAAACATACAGTAACTTCTACCCTTAGTTTTAGATTTTTTGGTAACATAACAATCATTTTATCAATAAATGTTTTATCCCAAATACTGTGATTTTTACCTTGTTGGGTGCTGGGAATTTTGATATTCTTATAAATGTTCCTGAGCTTTGTTCTGGAATACAAGTTATCTGGAAAACAGCTTGATTCATTCAAGTATTGCTTTTATGACTTCTAAAGTAGGATCTGAGCAGTGTGTTTAGGCTAGATCTAATTATTCCTTACTTCTAAGATAAGACCTTTATGCTTTAGAAGTCCTGTGAATGTTCAGCTTTTCTATTCTGGTGGTATTAAGAAGTAGCATTTCTGACCTGGTGTGATCTTCAGATACTTTACCCTTCTGGGTAGTTCTTTTTAGGTCTTGGGAAGATTCTGTACATATGCTGATGAATACTCAGCTAAATACATGAGAATGAGCTGGGTGTGGTGGCTAATAACTGTAATCTAAGCACCTTGGGGAGGTTGAGGCAGATGAGTCGCTAGAGCCCAGGAGTTCAAGACTAGCCTGGGAAACATAATGATACCCTGTCTGATATGATTTGGCTGTGTTCCCACCCCCATCTCACCTTGAATTGTAATAATCTCCACATGTCAAGGGCAGGGCCAGGTGGAGATAATTGGATCATGGGGGCGGTATTTCCCATACTGTTCTCATGGTAGTGAATAAGCCTCATGAGATTTGATGGTTTTATAAGTGAGAGTTCCCCTGCACAAGCTCTCTTGCCTGCTGCCATGTAAGACGTAATTTGGCTCCTCATTTGCCTTCCACCATGATTGTGAGGCCCCCCTAGCCATGTGGAACTGTGAGTCAGTTAAACCACTTTCCTTTATAAATTACCCAGTCTCAGGCATGTCATTATTAGCAGTGTGAGAACAGACTAATACACTGTCTCTACAAAAAATTAAAAATTAGCCAGGTGTGGTAGTGTGTGTGCTTGTAGTCCCAGCTATTTAGGAGGCTGCCTCGGTTGCGCCACTGCATTGCAGCCTGAGTGACAGAGCAAGACCTATGTAAAAAAAATACATGCATACAAAATAAATATTAATACTTGAGGATAACCCTCACAGTTCTGAGGGCTCACTCTATGCAGCTCTCTCTTCTCTTTTACATTTTACTACTAACAATAGTCATGTTGGCATTCCCAGATTCTAATTTCCATCTTTGCAAGTCAGGGGTCCTCCCGGGTTTCCCATCATTACCACAGCTAAAACTTTTTCAAGGTAGTAAGGTAAAGTATTCAGACACCTCACCTCATCTGTTTTGTGCTCTTTAGGAATGGATTATTCTCCTTCATTGCAAGATGCCCAGTGTGTGTCTTGTAAACTATTGTTTCATGTATTTTGTCTGTTTTTTGTTTTTATCAAGTGGCTGTCCCTGTTACTCATTCTTGGCCAGAGGCAGAAGTTCTCAGTAATTTTATGTTCCTCGCATTACCAGATACAAAAAAGAGGAACAGGTTTTCTTAAGTTTTTTTCCCCCACCTATATGTATCACAAATGAAAAACTGATGGGAGTGCAAAGAAGAAGGAAAAGATGTTCAATTATTTCTTCCCTATATTGTTTAAAGTTTTTGTCTCCAAGCATTAAAAAGCCTCCAGGAGAAAATTTTAGGTTCCTGTCATAGCAAATACCGTACAACTCATAAGGTGAGGTTCTTTGAAGTCTCTGATTTTATCATGGTAAAATTTTGTAGAACTTCCCAGAAGTTTCATGTTCTTCATTTCTGCACAATAAGATGAAAGATTAGTTTATTAGTTTGCTAGGGCTGCTGTAGGCTATAACATAGACCAGCAGGCTTAAACAGTATAAATTTATAGTCTCACAGTCCTAGATGCTAGAAGAGCACGATCAGGGTGTTGGCAGGGTTGGTTTCTGCCAAGGGCCTGTCTATTTGGCATGCAGATGGCCATGTCTTCACATGGTCTTTCCTCTTTGTATGTGTGTCTGTGTCCTTAACTCTTCTTATGAGAACACCAGTCATTGAATTAGGGCCTACTTTAATGGCCTCATTTTACCCTAATTACCTCTTAAAAGGTCCTATCTTTAAAGGCCTATATCTTTTGCATATCTCCAAATACCATTACATTCTGAGGTACTGGGTGTTAGGGCTTCAACATATGAATGTGGTGGTGGGGGCATGAATCAGCTCATTGCAGCTTGGGTCATCAAAATATAAAGAACAATTTATAGGTTTTTTATTTTTCTTTTATTCCATACAAAATACTATAATGCTGAGCATCATTCAAATACTACCTGTACTGCTTCCAGATGGTGAATGAAGCTGAGATTTGCTGGGTTAATGCAGTATGCTTTGTAGTGAGATGGGTATAAAGAAGTTTTGCTTTCAGTCCAAAGTTACTGGAGAACAGGTAGCAAGGTAGGGAGACCTGCATTGGAGGTCATCAGATGCTTTTCATTGCTTTTCCTTAAAATAGAAGTTATGGACCTTCTCTTATATTATTTGATACTTTTAATTGCAGATCTCTACTTAATAGGAATATAAATCAAGTTGGTGCGGTCATCAAAAAATTCTTTAAACAAGTGCTTTATTCATCAAGTATTAAATTTTCTTTTCTTTCAGAGTATTTAATTGACCCTGGGAAAGGGACATACATGTCTAATAATTTAAGAAAAATGATCAACGTCTATTTCCTTGGGAATGAGAAATCATCACAAAACATATTTGATTCTTATTTATTGACAGCTTTGCAATTAATTACTAAGGCTTAAAATTAGAATATTAAAATTCAAATATGTATTTTTTATATCCTCATTTTTGACTACTTTTATTTGTACAGTTTTCATAGTACTTACTTTATAAATTATAATATCTATACATACCTTATCACAGTCTACTGGTATAGATATTTTACCACTTTAAAAATAAAGTGTAGAAGCCTTACATCTATTTACTTCTATCTACCCTCCCTATTAAAAAAAACAACTAATTTCCTCTGTGTACATCAAGCACATCAGGTGGGGTTATAATTTTTGCTTCAAAATTTGGCGAGAAGAAAGATCGATTATTATCCTGTGGTTTTTATGTGTCAACTTGACTGGGCTAAAGGGTGCCCAGTTGTAGCTGGTACACCATTATTTCTGGTGTGTGTAGAAGGGTGTTTCTGGAAGTGATTACCATTTGAATTGTTCGACTGAGTAAAGATTACCCTCACTAATGTGGGTGGGCACCATCCACTCCACTGAGAACTTGAATAGAACAAAATAGAAGAAGGGAGGATTTGTTTCTGTTTGAGCTGGAACATCCATCTTCTCCTTCCCTCAAACATTAGTGCTCCTGATTCTTAGGCCTTAGGACTTGGATTGGGACTTAGA
The DNA here is from genome assembly GCF_000001405.40 of Homo sapiens. Lineage (NCBI taxonomy): Eukaryota > Metazoa > Chordata > Mammalia > Primates > Hominidae > Homo > Homo sapiens. The sequence goes on along the minus strand of NC_000007.14, from coordinate 49,999,603 downwards.
CCATCATCTTTTGGTTCTCAGACCTTTGGACTTGGACTGGAATTTACACCACTGGCTTTTCTGGTTCTCCAGCTTGCAGATGGTAAAGTGTGGGACTTCTTGTCCTTCATAATTGCATGAACAAATTCCCATAGTAAATCTTGGAGATCTACTCCTTGTATTATACATATCAAATAATATTATACTGACTACAACTGGGCATTCTTTGGCGCAGTCAGCTTGACACATAAAAATCACAGGATAATAGACTATCTTTCTCCTCACCAGCTTTTGAAGCAAAAATTATAACACCACCACATTATATACATATGATATATATAGTATATATATATACACACACATATATAAAAATATATATACAGACACACACACATGCATATATATATATATATGGAGACTTATTATAGGAATTGGAGAGTTATTATATAAATGTGTGTCTGTGTATGTATGTATATGCGGCAGGTTGAGTATCCCTTACCCAAAATGCTTGGGACCAGAAGTGTTTTGGGTTTTGGATTTTTTCAGGTTTGGGAATATTTGTGTTAAAATTACCAGTTCAGCATTCCTAACTCAAAAATACAAAGTTCAAAAATGCTATGATGAGCTTCTTGCCAGGACTCAAAAAATTTTGGATTTTGAACCATTTCAGGTTTCAAATTTTCAAATTAGAGATGCTCAACCTGTGTGTGTGTGTTTGTGTGTGTGCATTTGTGTGTGGTGTGCACTCATGTACACTATTCTATTTCTCTGAAGAACCCCAACTAATACTGTTTTTGGTAACAAGAGCGGTTCTAGAGGAACAGAATTTTAAGAGTAAGTTTTCTGAAATAGTTCTGGAGTTTCTGGAATTGGCTCTCTAGTCTTACTAGATTTAAAGATACTAATCACTCTGAATCTCATCTGGTTCTGGAGTTTCTGGAATTGGCTCTCTAGTCTTACCAGATTTAAAGATACTAATTACTCTGATTCTCATATTAAAGAGAGCACTGAGAGTCTGTAGCAGGAAGTATTTATTGAGATGTGAAAATTATGTACTGTGGATACTTGTAGTTAATCACTTATAAGAAGCAAGGAGCCTGGTGACTCTGTATAATACTTCTGAACATTTTTGAAAATTTATGGAATTCAATGATATTTCTTATTTTTTCCTAATGTCACTGGACAAAATAGTAAAAGGAAAGGGTTAGCTCAGATATTTGAATTCCCGGCTCAAGTATCACATAAATGGCTTCAGACGTTCCAGGTGTGCCCTGAAGCGGAGAGTCTTATCTCCTATAGCTGCAGGGCCGAATATCAATTGCAGGATCCCATCCTGTGACTGGCCAAATTACAAAGCAAATTGAACTCTCAGCTTCACAAGGTATCTACTGTTAAAATAAGGGCATTTAGGCTGGGCGTGGTGGTTCACGCCTGTAATCCTAGCACTTTGGGAGACCGAGGTGGGTGGATCACGAAGTCAGGAGTTTGAGACCAGCCTGGCCAATATGGTGAAACCTTGTCTCTACTAAAAATACAAAAATTAGCTGGGCGTGGTGGCGTGCGCCTGTAGTCCCAGCTGCTTGGGAGGCTGAGGCAGGAGAATTGCTTGAACCCAGGAGGCAGAGGTTGCAGTGAGCTGAGATCACACCACTGTACTCCAGCCTGGATGGGAGAGTGAGACTCTGTCTCAAAAATAAATGAATAAATAAATAAATAAATAAAGACATTTAATTGAGAAAGAATGGGATCCTTTAAGGTGGGATGGGGACATTTTGCAAGCCACTGATGAAATTGAAAATATTGAGCCCCTAAATTCTGATGAGTCTTCTTTGCCAGCACAAGTGGCTTCTCTAACCACAGTGAAAAGTGGCTTGTTCAGCCCTAATGACAGTGGTGTTCCACCTACAGTGGGGCCTCCCTTCCAATGGTGGTATCTGCCTTTCCACTTCCCTCTGAGGTGATTAATCCTACATTGCCTGAGGACATGGTAATGGCTTCCCCCGAAGCAGTTGCCATGCAAGAAAATGCTGATTTTCGTCAGGAAACAACACTAATACCTCCCTTTACTTCTAGACCTGTAATTGGATTCAAGTCCTAGAAGACCCTTAAAGGTGAGGCACAAAGTGTGACCAATGAGGGAGGTGGCCATACTTCAAAATAACTACTTAAGTTTTCTAATTTATGCAAGTAGAAATCTAAGGAAAATGTGTGTGAATGAATGTTAGAGCTATGGGGTATTAGATGTTAAAGGTGGATCAGGCCATATTTACTGATATGGGCTCACTAAGCAGACATTCTGCAGTTAATATTGTAGCTCATGGAGTTAGAAGGGGCCTAACAGTTTGATTGATTCGCTGAAACATGGGTCAAAATATGGCTGGCTCACTGTAAGTGAATTAGAAATGCCTGATCTCTCTTGGTTAATGTAGACAAAGGAATTCAAAGGTTTAGGGAGATTGGAATGCTGAAGTCAATTTGTGATTTAAGACCTACTCACTCACATTGGTAGGGCTCAGAAGACATATCTTTCACCAATGCTATGAAAAATAAATGTGGGAGCAGAGCCCAGCATCCTTGAAGAACTCAATAGTTAATTGCTCTTCTCTGTAGGCCAGACTTTACAGTGGGAAACACAGTCAATCAACTGGAAGCCTAAATGCAACGGAAGTAATTGGATTCAGAGTTAATAGTAATTTAGCAGAGACTAAGTGAGAAACTCAACCACCAAAGGCAAGGTGGGCATAGTAAGCCTAAGGGACAGCAGAGTCAAGGCAGCCATCAGCATAGTCTGACATATGCAGACGTATGGCATTGTCTAGTTAATGATGGTGTTCCTAGAAGTGAAATAGATGAGACACCTACTAAATTGCTACTTGATTTGTTTAGGTAGAAAAGTTCCAGGTCAAATGAACAAAGTCTAACTCATAAAATAAAAGCAGAAGATCAAGTCACCTCAATCAGTTCCTAGGCTTGAACCAGTTTACAGACTCAGACCACCTTGAATTGGTGACTGGATCCCCTTGTGAAAAGACCCTAGTAAACAACCAAAAATTTACACTGTTAATCTTTCTCCCAGCCTTCCCTAATGGGACTTAATGGCCTTTTACTAGGGTAACTGTGTCTTGGGGAAAAGGAAATAATCAGATCTTCCAGGGACTTATGGACTTGACTCTGAACTGACATTGATTCCAAGACTCAAAATGTCCCTGTGGCCCTCCAGTCAGAGTAAGGATGTGTGGAGGTCGGGTAGTCAGTAGAGTTTTAGTTCAGGTCCATCTCATGGTAGTTCCATGGGTCCCCAAACCCACCCTGTGGTTACTTCCCCAGTTCCAGTTGCATAATTGGAACAGACATATTTAGCAGCCGGGAGAACCCCTGCAAAGTTTTGTGACCCGTGGAGTGAGGGCTATTATGGTGAGAAAAGCCAAGTGAAAGCCATTAGAGCTGCTATTATCTAGGAAAATAGAAAGTCTTTAATGCATAATATTTGTACATATTGACGGGATACATGTAATATATTGTTAAATGTATAGAATGCATAATGATCAAGTCAGGACATTTACAATATCTATCACCTCGAGCATTTATTAATTTAATGTGTGGGAATACTTGAAGTCCTTTTTGAAATATAAAATGCATTGTTGTTAACTATAGTCACCCTACTTTGCCATGGAACGTTAGAATTTGTTCCTTCTGTCTAACTTTATGTTTGTATCCATTAATGAAACTCTCTTCACTGCCCGCCCCCAAACCCTCTTCCCACCTTCTGGTAACTGTCATTCTACTTTCTACCTCCTTGAGAACAACTTTTTCGTTCCCACATACGAATGAGAACATATGATATTTGTCTTCTGTGACTGGCTTGTTTCACGTAACATAATGGTCTCCAGTTTTATTGATGTTGTTGAAAATCACAGGATTTCATTCTTTTTATGGCCAAATAGTATTCATTATGTATATATATCACAGGAAAATAGTAAATTAAAGCAATGCTGAATTCTTGGGAGGATTGCAGAGTTTACTGCCATCATCAAGGACTTAAAAGATGCAGATGTGGTGATCCGCATTTATCTCTCCTATTTGGCCTGTGCAGAAAATGGATAAATCTTGGAGAATGACTGTGGATTATTTTAAGGTTAACCAAGTGGTGATTCCAGTTGCAGCTGTTATACCAAACGTGGTTTTATTGCTTGGGCAGATTACAACATCTCCTGGTGCCTGATCTGTAGCTGTTGATCTGACAGATACCTTTTTTCCATCCCTGTCCATAAGGCCCACCAGAAGCAGTTTGTTTTCAGCTGAGAAAACCAGCAATACACCCTCAGTGTCCTGCCTCAGAAGAATATCAACTCCCCAGCTCTATGTCATAATTTGGTTGTCAGAGATCTTGATCACCTTTTCCTTTCACAAGATATCACGCTGGTCCATTATGATGACATTATGCTAAGTGGAGATATTGAGTGAGAAGTAGCAATTACTTTAGACTTATTGATAAGATATTTTATGTGTCAGAGAGTGAGAAATAAATCTGATTAAAATTTGGGGACCTTCTGCCTCAGTGAAATTTCTAGGGGTTCAATGGTATGAGGCCTCTTGAGATAACACTTATAGGGTGAAGGGTATGTTGTTGCATCTGGGTCCTCCTTCAATCAAAAAAGGGGTACAATGCCTAGGAGGCTTATTTATATTTTAGAGGCAACATATTCCTCATTTGGGTGTGTTACTCTGGCACATTTACATAGTCACCTGATAGCTGCTAGGTTTGATGGGCCCAGAACAAGAGAAATGGATCTACGACAGGTCTAGGCTGTTGTACAAGCTTATGTGCCATGTAGGCCATAAGATCCAGCAAATCCGATGGTGGTTGAAGTATCAGTGGCTGATAAGGATGCTGCTTGGAGCCCTTGACAGGCCCTAATATGTGAATCATATCACAGGCCTTTAGAATTTCGGAGGAAGGCCCTGACATCTGCCAGTAATTACTCTCCTTCGGAGAGACAGCTGCTTCTACAGGGCCTTAGGAAATATTGAATGCTTGACCATGGTCCACCAGGTTACCATGTGACCTGAGCTACCCATCATGAACTGGGTGTTATTTAACCCACTAAGCCATAAAGTTGATCATGCACAGCAATACTGTTATCAGATGGAGGTGGTATTCACTTGACTGGGCCTGAGCAGACCTTGAAGCACAAGTAAATTAGTGCAGAAGTGGCTCAAATGCCCATGTTCCCCATTCCTGCTGCACTGCTTCTCTCTCCCAGGCTGAACCTATGGCTTCATGGCGAGTTCTCTATGATCAGTTGACAGAAGAAGAGCTCAGGCCTGGTTTACAGATGGTTCTCAACAATATGCAGGACCACCCAAAAGTGGGCAGCTATTGGACTACAGCCTCCTGCCTGGGACATCCCTGAAGGACAGTTGTGAAGGGAAATCTCAGTGGGGAAAACTTTGGGCAATGCATCAAAACTGTGCAATTGGAACGAATAATGGCCAGATGTGAAATTATATATTAATTCTGGGCTGTCGCCAGTGGTTTGGCTGGATATTCAGTGACTAGGGAAGATGATGATTGGAAATTTGGTGACAAAGATATTTGGAGAAGAGGAATGTGGAAAGACCTCTCTGAATGGGCAGAAAGTGAAGATATGTGTGTCTCATGTGAATGTTCATGGGTGACTACAGCAAAGGAGAATTTTAATAAGGCAGGGGATGGGATGACCCCTTTTGTGGATACTATCAGCCTTTCTCCTCAGCTACCAGTCATGTCCCAATGTGCTCATGAACAACATGGCCATGGTGGCGGGCATGAGATTATGCATGGGTTCAGCAATATGGATTCCCATTCACTAAGCCTTGTATGACTGTGGCCACCATTAAGTGCCCAGTCTGCCAACAACAGAAACCCACACTGAACCCTTTTACATGGCACCATTCTTCATGGTGATCAGCCAGCTACCTGGTGACAGGTTGATTACATTAGGCCCCATTCATCAGTGAATGGGAAGATTTTTGTTCTAAGTATTTCTTATTTAATGTTGTTACACATATTTTTAAATTTTATTTTACAATTTATTGTTTTTAATATAGAGAAAAACATTTATTGTTCATAGACTATAGTTGGTGACTGCTTTTCAATCCAGTTGCCAATCGGTTCATTTTAATTGGAATGTTTCAATCAATTGTGTTTAATTTAGTTATCAATATATTTGGATTTAAATCCAACATCTTGTCATTTCTTTCTATTTTTCCTATCTGTTCTTTGTAGCCCTTTTCCTTTTATTTTGCCTTCTTTAGATTGTGTCTTTTAAAAAATGATTCCTTTTCATAGCTCTACCTTGGTAGTTTCTTTATTATTTACATGTCACAATTATTATTCTATATGGATTGATTTTCAGCATTCTCTTATGTATAATTTATCCTGGTTTTCTGTTCTTCAGATTTTCCTCTTTTAATTGATTAAACTTTTTTTACCTTATTTTTCTGTTTGATGTTGTACACTTTAAATATTTATTTTAGTGGTTTTGCTTCAAGTTTTAACATATGTACCAGGCAGCAGTCCTGAAAATTAGTTTATTTTACACTCCTGAAATATACAAGGCCTTAAGAACCTTTAACTCTCCTGACTTGCTTTTATCTTTCACTGTTTTAGTTTCTAGTATTTTAGTTCTATTCCTTTTATTTTTCTACTTGTTATTGTTTCAGAATATCAGTGTCTGTTTAGATTTACCCACAATTTTATTTATTTATTTGCTTTTCTTCGTATATTTTAGTCCTTCCTTCTCTTGTCATTTTTCTTCCAGAATTTATTGTGCCTCCCAGATCTGAGGATTCATTGGCTGTCAGCAGTTAAGAAACATTTTCAGCCAGAATTGTTTTGAAAATTCCGTTTTCTACATTTGCTTTTCTGTTCAGCGGTACACTTGCAATAAATGCATTTTATGTAAATTATATCATATCTCAATGAAGTTATCTAAAATAATGAAATTTCTATTCACTATAATTTGGATTTTCTCATTGATTTCTCCATCTCTCTTATACTATTGTAATATTTTTTTCTAGCTGTTTATGTTTTTCATGTTGAATATTATCTTCAGATATTCATTGTGTTTCATTATTGTGGCTACATTTAGGTCTAATCTGCTGCTAAAGCTGTCCATTTAATTTTTAATTTCACTCCATTCATTATGTGTTTTCAAATAGTTTATTTTTCAAATGTGTTTCCTCTCTTTTCATGATACAGATTCCCTTGTGTTTTCATTCCATTTTAAGCTTATATATTTTAAATATACTTTTAAAATCATTTTGTATGTTATGTAACTGATATTCAGTTATCTGAATTGCTTGATGATCTAATTTGGCTGGTGTGGCTTCGATGTTTCTTCATTTCATCATTTACTTCATAATTCTGGTTGATAAAGCCATGCTTTTTAGACCTTTATCAGTAAGTAGATAGCCACTTTGGTCTAAGAAGTCATACTGGAGTTTTCCTCCTCCAACCTCTCTACCCTCCCTGCCTCTACCACCCTCTAAGAATCCTTGTTTTCTCCCCTTTGTAATCAAATTTATTTTCTTTGTCCACTGTGAATTAGGGACATAGCTATCGTTAGGTTTGTAGTTTTCTCCTCAGTTTTAGCTCTCATCTCCTTTTCCTTCTTTCTCTCCCTTCCTTCCTACATTCTTACTTTTCTTTTTCCCTCTTTCCCTCTCTTTCTTCCCTTTCTCCCACCCTCTCTTACTGTAGAAATGTGTCTACACAAAATCTGTGTTTCAGTTAGGTGATTTTTGACGGGAGGTTTTCTCAGGGTATCTAGGACACCACAAGGCTAAAAATAGACATATTTTTCCTATTTTTAAATTTCATTTCTACCTGCCCACTCTCTGTCTCATCTGCTTTTTTCAGTGAGAAATATACTACTTAAAAAAAACTTAATATGCCAGTTTACCTCTCTAATAATTTCAAAATATAAATTATAATTTGTCTTTAATCTTTCTTTTGAAGAGCCTGATTTTCTAGTGCAAGTTTCAGTTTCTGGAGAAAAAACAAAGGAAGAATGGATTGTTTTGCTTTTTGCTTCAGGATTGAAGTTGTCCCGACATTGCAAAGTGAAAATTTTCTGATCTGAAGTTTTAGGATTAATTATGTTTCTTAGGAGTGAATTCCAGCTTTCATAGAATTCAGATTATATAACCCTTACTTTCTTCCTCATTCCTTTGCTTTTGCTCTCAAATTTAGCTCAATCTCATATATCTCCGCCTAATTCAGTAATATGAGATCACATTATTGCTGTTCTGATGTTCCTAACAAGAGAGGGACAATTTTGAGTTTCTGGTTAATCACTTTTTATAGTTATCTGTAGAGACTTTATGTTATAAAGTCTGTACACCCCATCTCTTATTTGCATTCTGAGCATCAAAATAATCCCTTTCCTACAAAAATTCACATTTCTCTCCAGTTCATTCAAGACACCTTTGTGTTTCCATCTCCTTTTTAAAATTATTTTTCCAACCCCTTTTGATTATTACAGTCATTTATCCCAGAGATTCCCAAATATGGGTGTTAATCAGAGATATTCAAAGAACTCTATTTTATAAGTATAATATCTGTAACACCTTGTAAATACTAGTTCTCCCCTAGTGGATATTTGAGCCCTAGTTGGACTATAATCCTGTATGATATCTGTTGCCTATCCTAAAACACCCATAATGCTAGTTGCTGCCTTCTTGTTAGACTAATTAGTTAACTAATCTTGTTAACTAATCTTGTTAGACTTCTTGTTAGGTGTGTTAGACCAATCTAGAACATATATTAAAGCTGTTCCAGTCATATTTATTCACAATGAGCTTGGCATGGCCAGTAGGACAGATTGTAGTAATTAAAATAAGCTGTTCATTTTCATGCAAAAATGTGTTTATTTTACAGATTGCTCATTGTTGAAACAGTAACAGTTTTTTTTTTGTTTCCTGAACCATCAACCAATTATTGTAAAACATAGTCCCCCCCCATATATACTTAATCCCTCTATAAAGCTTTTCTTTTCAGGGGACGTTTTTTTCAAAGGAGTCCCAGGGTTGCAGGGTGCATTCCAAAGGGGTACAGACTGAAGATGAATGGCTACTCATCTAGAAAGAGGGGAGCGACTCATCCCAGTTTCCCTTCTCTTCCTAGTGAATATCCAGGGTATATGAGGACGAGAAAGTGAGGCATCCCTCTTTCTTTCATCCGTCCTTGTATCCCTGAGTCTGGTGACTACGACAGGGTGCTTTCCATGGGTGTCAAAGCGGCTTTCACCCATATTAATGGGGTGCCCAAGGGGGTGGGAATATCTGCTCTTACCCACATACGCCCTATCCCCTCTGCTGTCAGTAGCCTTTGAGTTTTCTAGACCTCATTTATGCCATGGATACTAGAATGACATTTATCCATGAAACAGGAGGTTTGGCTTAATCAGCAGGAATTAGTCATGCTTACCTGTTCTGTGCCTTTTAACTTCCATTATTGTCTGCCTCTGGATCCCTTAGATCCAGTTTTCTTTCCTAGGGCTTTGACCTGAAGCTTGGAATTGAATTTGGGACAAAAATGTGTTTTGGGGGGACTCTTTATCATAAACTGAATGCTAAGGTGAAGCTGTAAAATTGAGTCCTCTTCCAACAAGGGAGAGAAAAGGATATCCTGTGACATGCCAAGAAAACTGGCAGCTATAGTTATGCTTGCTAAGATTGGGTGATGGGTCTTGACTTTGTTTGGCTCCCTTGATCTTGCTTTCCTAAAAAGGAAAACTCTGAGTAATGGGCACCCTATTTATTCCTATCACCTGGCAGAATTTTCAGGATAATTGCTCAGAACTAGAATATTGATCCAGATTTTTACATTACCCATACCCCTTTTTTCCTTCTGGTCTGCAGTCAGAGATTACTGGTTGGTTCACAGGAATAAGCAGGGTTACTCTAAAATGTAGGCAAAAACTTAAAAGCAACTAATGAATGTAGATTTTGATGACAAATGTATGATAAGTTTTGAAACAGAATTTCTCTCTCTCTAGTCCTCATTTTTGTTAAAAACAAATCATGATAGGACTAACTTGTTTGCAAAATAGACTTTAGTCTTATACTTGGCCTGATTATTTGCATAAAGTGCAGCAAGAATAATTATTTTTACATAGACCTTTTGGATTCACTTTGATGGAACTCTGTTCCACAAGGAATCTCAGATAGGACTTTCTAAAGCCAAGCCCAGCCATGGGTTTGTACCCTCAAACCTGTGAGTTGGGCAAACTCCTCTCTTCTTGAGGTCCCTAGAGCATGGGGTTCCCGGGCCTGTTAGAAACTGACATTCTTTACTTTCCACAGGTTAGGAACCCCGTACAGGGACTGTGTACACAAGGTATGAGGCCAGTTTCTCCCATGGGACCTTTATCTGCAAGTCGAGCTTGATTCCTTAAAGGGAAGCATACCCTTCCAGTCAAAGCCTTGGTAAAACAACCAATTTCTCCAATTGCATTCCTGTTGCAAAAGAAAATGGATCCTTATTGTACTGATGCAAACAACTATAACGGCATAAATTAAGAATACTCAGAACTAGTTTCCAAATTCTGAAGAAGCCATGCACAGAGAGAGAGAGACAAATATGCTCCAAATTTTGTTCATAGGAGTATAACTTACTCAATTATTAAAGGTCATAAATAGCTCAAAATAAGCTTCCTTGACTCTGAAAAACAAAACAAAGATCAGCAATGTTCCAATCAAAAGTCATTACTGAAAACATTACTTCAGTTTTCTATTAATTCAGTCCATTCAGTTAACTCTTGTTTTGCTTGATATTTGTGAACATTTCAACTCTTCCTGAGTCCTGTATGTTTTTCCTTTATTCCAATGTCACAATCTCCAGAGTTTTCAGAAACCTGCATTTGAGACTGCCTGTCAGAGTTTTGTGGCTGATTATAGACCATCCTTTGAAGAGGATTAAAATAAGACAACAATTATCTGTGAATAATAGAATGTCCATGGTAGTTACAGTTAGAAACATGACTAACAAAGAAATTTGGTTATCTCTGTGGTTTATAATAACTTAGCATAACAACCTTAATTGTGATTGATAGCATATACTCAGAATTTTAGAAATCCCATACAATTTTGGAACACAAATTAACATTATTACATAAAATATAACCTAAAGAAGATTAAGCATCATTTTGGCAATCCCATGTACCTAAACATGTCAAATAATCTTGTTTACCACTCTTCTAGATGCTCCAGGGGCCCTCTGTAGCATCTAAAAGCTAGGTGTCAGGAAAGACAATTTTTGAAACTGAGGTTTGATTTGAGGAGGCTTGTTAAGTATGTTAGAGGCTTAAAACACTTGATGATATGAAAGAATTCCAAATTTCCATATTATTTATTTTTCTAAAATGATGACTTAGAATTTTTTTAAAAGCAAAAACCTTGTATAACCTTTTACAGATTTAGCTAAAGAGCAGATTAGTGCATTAAGAGTATTTTGTTATGCTTTTAATGCTTAATTTACAGAAAAACCATATAATACTCTGTTGAATTTAATGTATTCACACATGAAATTTCTTTCGCAAGATTAATTTTTACAATTCTTCCACAACTTGTTTGAACTTTTAGCTTTATCTTATCTAATTCAAAACAGTCCTTTAACCCTAGGTAAAAATTTACATTTTGACAACATCTGCATTTTACCAATAGTCTTTAAGGCTGTTTTTATTTTTCAAAAATTAATGTCACGTGAACTAAAAGGTCCCACAGCTTTTATTTTCCTTTTAAAAAATATTTGATCCAAGTGCTTATCCTTCAAATCAGTTAATTAGAGCTCTTTTTTATAGACATTGCACACACACACACACACACACACACACACACACACACACACACAACACATATATAACTACACAGAAAGGCAGAAGAAGATCCAGTAACTATTTAGACTGTTTGCCAGTCTCCTAATTGGATTATTGGCCTCTGGATGGAACTCTCTAAGGCTAAAAAGGCTTAAAGCAAGGCTAGGAAAGCATGCAGTTTCCAGGGCCTAATAAACAGGTATAGCTGGAAGATTAAAAACAGATTTTGAGAGGGATCTAGCCACCTCTAATTCCTAGGACTCCTTTAGGAAAACAGAGGTCTCTCCCAAAATGGAATTTGTGGCACCTTTTCTGTTTTTCCCAAGGATTCCCAGGCCATGAGAAATCATCTTGGGGCCTCTCATGCACCCATTAAGATAGGCAAGGCAAAATGGAGAAAAATAGTTTAGTCGACTGAGAAAAAAATCTTTTTCCAGGAAAATAAAGTTTAGGAAGAGAAAAACATAAAGGCCTTTTAAATATACTTATAACTTGGATATCCACTTTGAATTAAGCTGAGTGCTCTTTAAAAAAATCCTTTTAAATCCCTTATTACCTGACTTTATCCATGCCAAACAACCAATATTTGTAGCTTTGAAACTTTATCAAAGGTAATCTCCCAGGTGCTCAGAGAGGAAAATTCAAGGTGGTTCGTGGAGGGGAAGAGAATCAACAAATGTCAAAGGTCACACAGATATCAAACCAGAAAGGACTCACTCCCTAAGCCAAGATTGAACCCAGGCCGCCGCTGTAAAATGTTGGAGGCTAAAAGCACTGCCACCTGCTTACAGGTCATGCTTCCAAGGACATAAAACAAGATGAAGGCCTGCAGCGAAGTTTGCCACTGACCAGTTTACCAGACTGTCTTTAATAGAGGGCCTATGGAGTCCTGGGCCCATATCCCATCCTAAGATACCCCTCTTTTTGACAGAACCGTAAAGACATGTGAACCACTCCAGATTGGCTATAACTTAAGACCAGCCTCACAAATCCTTTTTCATAAATAAAACTTTATGGAGAATATAAACAGTGATAGTTGGGGTCCTGGCCTAGTAAAATGTCTTCTAAAAGGAAAAAAGCCTTTTGCATAAAAGTTAACTCTTGACCTGGTGGAGAAAAAAAAAAGAAAAACAGCTTAAAGTTCAGGGCTGTGTTAACTGAGGGAAGAACCTCTTATTCTTATGCGAATGGTTCTTCCAACAAGGAGGGAAACTTAATTGCTGTTTCTTCCCTGGGGCTGGAACAGAGCTGGACTTCTTGGCCAAGGGAGGGGAAGACACTGTGGATACACACGTGGCAGGGAATGCTGGCCAGCCTGCCACGCAGGACCCTTTGGGCATGGGCCCCAGCCCCAGCTGGGAGGGAAGGGGGAATGGGGTGCTGCTGCTTGCCTTTCAGTCCCATGGGTGCCTGCGGCCATTGTGGTGGGGTGGTGCCATTACACTCCTGAAAAAAAGAAGGAAAATGCTGTAGAAAAGGCTGGGTTAGACCAAGGTTGACATTCCTGACCCCCAGGAGCAACGGAGGGTGGGGGATACAGTTTCTTCTACTCTCAGAAGTCCAAGGACAAAAAGGCTCAGATACAAGAGGGGAAAAGATGCTTTGATCTGCATTTTACTCACCTTTCTTCATGTCCCCACATGGGCCACCAAAATGATGCAAGATATTTTGCTCCTTAGTTCAGCTAAAATCTAGGTCCTTATCACACAACCAGGAAAAATTAGGTGCATGGACACATTGAAAGTTTGAGGAGAGCAGAATTTATTAAAGAACGCTCTCAGTGAAAAAAAAGGGGTTCTGCCAGCAGGCTCCCAACTCACAGATTGCATACCAGGTCACCACACACACCAGCTGAAGGGGCCAGGTCTCTTCTCACTGCTTAAGGCATGAATCCCCAGTGGCTGCACCCCATTTTCCCAGTGTGCAGGCAGGCCCCCAGTCTGTTGCCAGCATGTGCAGACAAGACCCTTGGCAGGTTCCCACATCTGCACAAAAGCATCTGATGTAAACACTTGTGGGGCGGGTTGGGGATTCTCCAGGGATCCTCCCTTATCTGCCTCCTGCATCTATCACTAGGTTTTCTCAGGTCTAACTTCATTTAGGTTTTTTTTTTTTTTTTTTTGCATGGGGTATTAGGAAGCCTAATTAGGCTCTGTGTGATGTAATCTGAGTGATTAGGAATGTGTCTCCTGACACTTTTAATTATAGTCTCAAATTTAAATGCAATTAATTTCATAACACATATTTTGAGTATCCTTTATCTGAAATGGTTGGAACCAGAAGTATTTTAGATTTCAGATATTTTCAGATTTTGAAATACAGTAAATCTTCACTTAATTTCATCAATAGGCTTCTGGAAACTGCAACTTTAAGCAAAATGACATATCACAAAATAAATTTTACCACAGGCTAAATGATATAAACAAGAGTTAAGTTCCTCTGGCATATTTCTGGTTGCAAAAATATCACCACATTTTGAAATAAAGACCCAAAACATTTTTAATATTAAACATTGAAATAAATGTGAGAAATACATATATTTAAGAAAGAGTAATAAAAACAAAGTATAATAATTATTTACTTGTTCCAGTTCAGTGTCACAGGTGGCTGGAGCCTATTCAGGTAGCTCAGCGCTCAAGGTGGGAACCAACGCTGGACAGGGTACCATTCCATCACAGGGTGCACTCACACACATCCACACTTACTCCCAGGGGGACAATTTAGCCATGCCAATTAATGTAACGTGCATCTTTGAGATGTGGGAGGAAACCAGAGTACCTGGAGAAAACTCATGCAGACATGAGGAGAACATGCAGACTCCACATGCACAGTGGCCTAGCTAGGAAGCATTTTTTTTCTCTTCAACATTATAACAAAATGACATTGAAGGAAAGGACATTATTTGAGGACCTGCTGTATTTGCATATATATAAAATGAGATATCATGGGGATGGAACCCAAATCTAAATAGAAAATTTATTTATGTTTCATATATACCTTATACTAGGGGTCCCCAATCCCCAGGCCTCGGACCAGTACCAGTCCATGGCCTGATAGGAAACAGGCCACACAGCAGAAGGAGAGTAGCAGCAAGCGAACGTTACTGCCTGAGCCCCGCTTCCTGTCAGATCAGTGACAGCATTAGATTCTCATTGGATCACAAACCCTATTGTGAACTCCACATGGAAGGGATCTAGGTGGCACGCTCCTTATGAGAATCTTAATGCCTGATTATCTAAAGTAGAACAGTTTCATCCCAAAAACATCCTACCACCCTGGTCTGTGAAAAAACTGTCTTCCATAAAACCATTCCCTAGTGCCAAAAAGGTTATGAACCACTGCCTTATATAGATAACCTGAAAATAATTTTATGCAATATTTTAAGTTACTTTATGTGTGAGACAGAGTTATTATTTTATCACCCTTTGTGGGTGTTTTTGCATGGGAGAACCTGGACATTATAGAAATTGTAATGGAAGAGGTGTAATTTACAAGATATTGGAAGAACTCAGTAGACATGAGGTGCACCATTAGTAGTTATAGATCAGCCTGTGTGGTCCATTTATCCCTGCTCCTGACTAGATTGGAGGTGCTAGTTAGTGTGGCAGAATGAGTAGAACTAACTAGCTTGTAGCAGTTTGAATTTATGCGTACCTCATACTTGAATGCATAGATCTTAGCAGTCAGAGAAGTCTAAGGCTCTTGTTAATTTTAGGAGGCAAGCCAGTATAATTATTACAAACATAAAGATAATTATAGATCAGAATGATGCTTTATTTTTTTAGATTTAATTTTTGAAACAGAGCTAGAAGTTATATATTTTTTTGTTTTTAAATTAAATTTTTCTTTGTGAAAAGAGTTGATGTTGTGCCTCAGGATAAGCTTCTTACAGATGCTTATAATATATTATTTTAAAGTACATTACATTTCTTAATCAATTTCAAAGAGCTTTCTTGATTTTGCTCATATACTTATTCCTGTATTATTCAAAATACAAAGGGACCAAAAAGAAATCTTCAAATGATTTCTTTGCATTGTAATTGGAAGTGCATTTAGAAATATTTGATGTTTATAGATGACATCTTTTCAGTTTTGTGTGTTTTATTTATAGTCTGTGAGTGCAAGAAAAAATAATGACCTTGAGACTTTGTTTTCTTTAAATTCTAAATCCACATGCATCCTTATTTGTTCTAAAATTACATTTTTTATGGCTAACAGTTTATCAAATTGTATTTATGTTTTAGGCTAAAAATCTCATAGAGAGATTTTTTAATCAACAAGTAGAAATTCTTGGCAGACGTGCAGAACAATTACCTCAAATATACTATATTGAAGGTACTCTCCAAATGGTTTGGATTAATCGCTGCTTTCCAGGATATGGAATGAATGTCCAGCAACATCCAAAATGTCCTGAGTGCTGTGGTATGTAATGAATTATGATTTCATGTTTTATATTGTTGAAAATTTATGTGTTTTCATTAAGCCTAAGTGAATGCATATCACTTATTTTTACTATCATTTAGGTATTTTTTCATAGTTTATTTAAAGTAGTGTATTTGAAAAGTGAATCTAAAGATGTGAAAGAAAAACAGTCTGGCTTAATTTTGGCCTTGGTATTAATATTACAGCAAGGGAGTTTAGGATCATTAGGCAGTTATCTGGGAGGAAACACAAATAATAGTTATGAGTCACTTAGAGTTCCTGACTTTAAAAAAAGCCAATTAATATATCTTTTAGAATCTACTATTGATGAGTTTAGGTTTGTATAGTCTACAGTAGATATCTTTGTGACTTTTTCCTTCCTTGTGAAATAAGTATATGAATTGTTTTATTACCAATTGTTTTTTCTAACTTTTGGTCCTAGCACTACAGGATCTGAGCTGCTCTCTGACATTCATTCTTTCTTTTTCATCTTTACTATAGAAGAGAGTTCTGTAGAGGCTGTTGACTTAGATTGAGCACATGAATTCAAAGTCTTTGCATTTCTATTATTGAGAGATTAATGGGCCAATTAATTTTCAGTCTTAAAAGAGTTTTAACAATTTATACTAATATCACTAAATTTATACCTGTCTTAGTCTGTTTCATATTGCCATAAGAGAATACTTGAGCCTTGATAGTTTATAAAGGAAAAAAGTTTATTTGTCTCACGATTCTGATGGCTGAGAAGTTTGAGATTGAGCATTCAGTGAGGGTCTTCCTTTTGCTTTGTTTTCTTTGACTTGGCTACAGTTATCTTTATAATTTTTTTGTGTTTCATTATTGTTTAAAAATATGAAGTTTCACAAAAATATAGTACACAGGAATATTAGGAAATAGAATACAAATTAAACAAATGACTTCCAACTGTTAACTTTGTAACTTTTTAAAATCAGTGATTATATATATTATGTATTATATATTATATATAATTATATATTATGTATTATATATTATATAATTATATATTATATAATTATATATTATATATATTATGTATAATTATAAATTATATATAATATATAATATAAATATATAATATAATTATATTATATATTATATATTACATTATATATATATATAATAAATATATATAATAATAAATTATATATATATAATATATATTATATATTATATATTTTATATAAATATTTATATTAATATATAAATATTTATAATTATATAATTATATAATTCATATAATTATATAATTATATAATTCATATAATTATATAATCTATATAATTCATATAATTATATAATCTATATAATTCATATAATTATATAATCTATATAATTCATATAATTATATAATCTATATAATTCATATAATTATATAATCTATATAATTCATATAATTATATAATCTATATAATTCATATAATTATATAATCTATATAATTCATATAATTATATAATCTATATAATTCATATAATTATATAATCTATATAATTCATATAATTATATAATCTATATAATTCATATAATTATATAATCTATATAATTCATATAATTATGTAAAATTATAATATATAATATATAATATACCATATATAATTTATATTATATATAATATATTATATATAATTATATATATTATTATATATAATATATAATATATATTTTATATCAAGATATTATATAATATATAATATAATATAATATAATATAATTATATAATTTATATAATTATATAATATATAATTTATATAATTATATAATATATAATTTATATAATTATATAAAATTATAATATATATTATATAATATACCATATATAATTTATATTATATATAATATATATTATATATAATTATATATATTATTATATGTACATAATATATATTATATATATTTTATATTATATATTATATATATTTTATATATAATATATATAATTATATATAATATATATAATTATATATAATATATATTATATAATATATATAATTATAATATATATTATATAATATATAATTATATATAATATATATTATATAATATATATTATATCTGATCTATATTATATATAACATATATAAATATTTACAATTTGTATATAAATATATATTACATTATATATAACATACATTATATGATAGAAATAATCACTGATATTTAAAACCAGTGATTTTATATATATAAAATATATATAATCACAATTTTAAAAATAGTTACAAAGTTAACAGTTGGCAGTTATTTCTTTGTTTAATTTGTATTCTATTTCCTAATATAACTTTGTACTATATTTTTGTGAAAGTTCATATATTTAAATAACAAAACACAAAAAGTTATAAAGATAACTCTAGCCAAATCAAAGAAAACAAAGTAAAAGGAATAGTCAGTAGTCTATTTTATGAAAAGGCTTTTAATCTAACTTAAATTGCAGAAAGAAAGGAGAAAAGAACAATTAGAAATGACTTAATGAGAATGATATTGCTATGATTTGGCTATGGTTTGTTTGTTCCCACAAAATCTCATGTTTAAATTTAGTTCCAAGTGTGGCAATGTTGGGATGTAAGGCGTAGTGGGAGAGGTTCGGGTCGTGGGAGCAGATCTCTCATGAATAGATTAATATTCTCCCTCGGGGTGACCGAGTTCTAATTCTGTTAGTTCCTGTGAGAGCTGGCTATACAAAAGAGGCTGGCACCTGCCCCCCTCTCTGGCTTCCTCTCTCACCATTTGAGTTCTGCACACTCAGGCTGCCTTTCACCTTCTGCCATGGGTGGAAGCAGCCCGAGGCCCTCACCGAATGCCCAGTCTCAAACTTTTCAGCCATCAGAATCGTGAGACAAATAAACGTTTTTCCTTTATAAACTATCCAGGCTTAAATATCCTCTTATGGCAATATGAAACAGACTAAGACAGGTATAAATTTAGTGATATTAGTATAAATTTTTTAAACTCTTTTAAGACTGAAAAATTAATTTTTATATTATGTATTATATAATATATGTTATATATTATATATTTATATTATATATATTATATATTTATATTATATATATTATATATTTATATTATATGTATTATATATTTATATTATATATTTATATTATATAATTTTATATTATATAACATATAACATAATACAATTTAATTTTATTAATTAAATTATAATATAATATATAATTATAATATAAATATAATATATAATTATAATATAAAATTATATTATAATTATATATAATATAAAATTATATTATATATATTATAATATAATATAAAATTATATTATATATATTATAATATAATATAAAATTATATTATAATATATATAATATATAATATAAAATTATATTAATATATAATATATAATATAAATATATTAATATATATTTATATATTATCTAATATATGATATATATCCAGAACACAGATATGTAATATACATAATATGTAATATATAATATATTATATTATATTATATATATTTTATATATATATATATATATATATGTATAACTCCAGAACACAGATAAGGATAAAGAAAAACATAGAAATACCCAAAAAATAAACTGGAACATAGTAGTTAAGCTATTACATGTATTTATATCATTATTCAAAGAAGACTTAAACTAAAATTGTTAAAATATTTGCATCTCCTCAATTATAAGTATTTTGAAATTGTCAAACATAGCTCTTTCAAGTGAAGTAGTAGTTTTGAATGTCAGAATTACACATAATTTTATCATTAAAAATTTTTTTTGTATTTAAAAACTTTGGGTAACAACACAATTGTAATGTTTTCTAATTTCACCATGTAATGATTACACTCAACTTATTATGTACTACACTATTTGATCAAGGTAATTGTTTTTATTCTTGTCATAAGAAGTATATGAGATAATTTAACATGAATCTCAAAAATATTTTCTGTCTCTAAAATACTGTTTTGTGCTCCTGAATATTTGATCTCTGCCCACGGAGTTTATATACTTAGGAGATGCATCCATGAAACAATTAGGGAACAAGAGACTGTTAAGGGAAAAATACAAGAAGATTATATAAAGAAAATTGAGTTTGCAATAGGATAGATCACAAGGGTTCAATGTAATTGTGATACGGCTTTCTCGGTGAGACTTGTGTTTGAGTCTTGAGGAAGTTACTTTGCAGGATACCAGGATAGCAAGTACCATCCAAGCAATAGCATGAATGAGCATCAAGTTTATGGGGGGGAATTTTGCTTAAATAAAATAAAATTTATTTTTTGGATTTTATGGGCTCATCATCATTGCTCAATAGACTTATTAATTAGTGAGTTGCTAAATTTCATTT
The DNA here is from genome assembly GCF_000001405.40 of Homo sapiens. Taxonomy (NCBI): domain Eukaryota; kingdom Metazoa; phylum Chordata; class Mammalia; order Primates; family Hominidae; genus Homo; species Homo sapiens. The sequence goes on along the minus strand of NC_000007.14, from coordinate 49,979,005 downwards.
TGTGCCATCTTATGGTTAATAAACATTTTAATTTATAATTATCTTTGTGTTATCATTCCTGTAAGCTATTAAGCAAGATTCAGTTCCCTTAATGTAACATTCAGGACCCCATAGGATAATAATAATTTTTGTTTATTTTACAGGAGGTTATCACCCTAACGTTTTAGAAAAGCATATAACTACTCAAAAAGATACTTAAATAATTCTCTGAATAGAAAATGATTTAACAAATTACCCTGTATTTTAAATTAGGATAACACTAGTTAAAAGACAAAATTAACATAGTAAATGAATTTAAAATCCATTCAAGTATGAAACTGACTACTAGATAAAATGATGATGAGCTCACAAAATATATGAGGTATCTCATGAAACAACTTCTGTCCAGAATAAAATGATATACCATGTTTATATTCAACAAACAAGATTGAGACAAAGCATTTTATGACATAAGGGAAGTTTGTTTACTTTCTCCGTAGTAGGTGAAATAAGCACCAGATTTGTTCTTTTCCTTCTGGAAGAGAAAGCTTGTTTCCTTATAAATTAGTGAAGACTTAACATTTCCACCTATATTATTTTTCTTTTTCCTAACTTATTTAGTACTTTTAAATTAATTTATACTGAAAAGCTTCTCTGTGATTTGACATTTACCATTCCTTATAATGTACAACATTTTGTTAATCAGTTTTGGCACTTTAAAGAGAGACTTATTAAATGTGTGAATTATCAGTGTCTTATAATTTTATAAATTATATAATATACTACAACCAAAGACTAGCCTAATATTACGTTGTTTTTAAAAGAAGTTTGTGAAAACACAGATTCTGAAATGCTTTACTTTTCAATTTCTATTATATTTTTGTATAGCTTATATATTCAACTTTCTCCCATGTTATTTCTGCTAGTTTTTCAAAAAAAAAAAAACAAAAAACCAAAAACAAACAAACTTGTAGATCAAGTAGCATTCTTTGACATAATACCCCAGATCCCTTCCTATTTTTTTCTCTTTAAACTATGGCAGTGGTTTTAAAACTCATAGGTGTATCAGAATTTCCTGAAGATTTTCTCAAAACATATCCAACGTTTAGGAATCAGACATCTACATTTATAAGCTTCCTAGGTGATTCTTACATACACTGAGTTTGAGATATCTGAGTATTAATGTTGATAAGGCAACACATAGAATGTCAGAATATTAGTTTTGATAAGGCACTACCTCGATAGGATGCCCGTGCTTCTGCTGAGGTAGCAGACTGTTTGCCACTGATTATTATGGATTAAATGTGTAGCTCAATAATAAATTAGACAACTTTTTTTCCTATTGCTTTCTCTTTTTTAAAAAAAGAATAGCTATTGCTGATTCAAGCCTTTTGATAATCACATGGAAATTCCAGCAGGGAGTTCTTTCTTTATGACACGGTATCTGTGTCTGTGATCAGAAATGATTAGGTTGCAGGTTAGCATATTTAATCATCTTGAGATGGTTTTATTAATAAAGTGTACATTTGTACTTTATGCAGGAAAAGCAAATTGTTTAGTAGGTAAAAATGTTTTTAAATAAAGCATTTCAGAGTCAATAAATTTATCCTAAAGACTTGCATCCCTGAACCCTTGTTTTGATTTTACATCAGAGGATCAGAGACAAAAAAAAGTTTCCTTTGCGTCGTTTTCACTACATGTATTTAAATAGTTCTATTATCAGTACGAAATAAAACTCATCCGCCTTTTCGACCCACAAAGACATTGTTCTTATTTTGAATCATTATATTTCTGAAGAAACTAAATAATTGAAAAATCATGGCCAATGGATAGGTCATTCTATGGATTAGCAGTGTGGAATGCCCAGATTTTCCTTAAATAGATACATTTCTATTTATTTATTTATTTATTTATTTATTTATTTAGAGACGGAGTCTTGCTCTGTCGCCCAGGCTGGAGTGCAGTGGCGGGATCTCGGCTCACTGCAAGCTCCGTCTCCTGGGTTCACGCCCTTCTCCTGCCTCAGGCGCCCGAGCAGCTGGGACTACAGGCGCCCACCACCGTGCCCGGGTAATTTTTTGTGTTTTTAGTAGGGACGGGGTTTCACCGTGTTAGCCAGGATGGTCTCAATCTCCTGACCTCGTGATCCGCCCGCCTCCGCCTCCCAGAGTGCTGGGATTACAAGTGTGAGCCACTGCGCCGGCCGATACGTTTATTTTCAGTAAAAGCAGTCCATGTAATTTGGAAAACTTACTTGAGTGAAACTGTCTTAGATATGTTGAAGAATTAACAATATCATGAAGACTTCGTGGGTCAAAATCTAAAAAACAAAAATTAGTGCTTCTCCCGGCCATGATGAAGTAGCTTATAGCAGACAAAAGCTCTTTCTGGAAAAACTAGAAAAGTCTAATAAAATTTTAAAATTACTCATTCTATTAAAGACATTGGTAAAATGTCAGGGCATAAGGATTCAAGAGGCAGCATAGCTCCCTTCCTTTCTATCATGGATAGAAGGGGGTGTGTGGAAATGCATGACAGATACCAAAAGGCAATAGGATGACATGTTTACGTGCTGAAATCAAACAGTTGTCAACTTATAATGCTATACCTGATGGAAATATCATCATACATGATGGAAAATCAAAACACCATTAGACATAACATATGAGAGAATTGCTGTAGGCAAATCTACACTCAAAAAAGGACTAAAGGGAATTTTTCAGTTAGTTTAAAATGATCCCAGGCAGAAACATGTTCATGCAGGATGGCATAAGGGGCAATGGAAAAGAAAAACATAGAGATAAATGTAAATAAATATTGACTACGCAAAAATATATAATGCTTTATGTGCTTAAAATATGTAGAACTAAATATATATGATCATGGTAACACCAGAAGCAAGAGGGAGTAAATAAAATGTTTTCAGTTTCAACCATTGTCTAGAACTGGTATAAGTAATGATTTGTATTAGATTGTAATAGTAGATTAAGATGCATGATGTATTCTTTAGGACAGCCACTAAAAGATAGTAAAATAATATGTATATAACAATTAGTAGATAGAAAAAATGTTACCCCAAAACTCCACTTTATTTATCCAAAAGAAGCCAAGTTGGAAAGGGGACAAAAAAGTACAATTGGAACAAAAAATATTTCACTGAAACGATCAATTTAAATTCAGTATGCATGGCTCAGAGTCCCATCTCTACTGCCTCTTCTCCTGAGATACTGGAGACCCCAGGTGACTCTTATGAAGCATTTGTGACCTGTTAACTGAAGGAATTAGATTAGTATGCAGGATGCCAGGACATCCTGGAAGCCAAAAAATGATAGCAGAATAGAGGCTTTGCCAGCACACCTCACCCACTTGGAAATAGCAATATAGTGTATAGAGATTCACAATGAGAATTTTTATCCAAGGAAGAACACGGGAGTTCAATGTAGAAGTGAAAGAAAACTTTGTTTTCTGGGAAAAGAAGATGGGCAGTAGCCCACATGATGAGGTCCAGTGGAAAATTGTGTGAAAGCCCAGTACATGAGAGGGAGAGTGAGTGTCTCTGTGATACCCATTCCCACTGGGTAGCCAGGCAATCCAGGCCACAGAAGAGCTCCTTGACCCTCCAAAACCCTGAATCTGACTTGGGGAGCAGTCAGGAAACTATGAGAAGGAACAGCACTGGGAAGTGTACCAAACTTGCTCCCGGACCTGGGCACCAAAAGAGGAGGCCATTCCTTTTCCTAGATCCTAGTGAGTTGCTTGGGAACATGCCAGTTAGCACGAGTGACAGTCACTGTTTTTGAGAATCTCAGACTGGGGATTGGCACTCTGGCCTTGAGGAGGGTAGGAGCTCCCATAGCCAGAACTGACAGATGAGTATGACACCCCTGACCCCTGCCACTTTCACAGAACTGTAGCAGGAAGCTATTTGTCTGAGTTTCGCAGACTGAAAGCAAACTGCTTGTGACTTAACTTATTGTCCCCACTTGCTGCCAATGTCAGGGCATGGGAGGGAATGCCACTGGGTCTAGAGGATAAAAGCAAAGTGGGTCCCACAACTGCTCACTAGGCTGTGGAGCCAGTCACTCCATTTCCCCGTGCTGGGTCTTTGGCATGGCAGCAGTTCTTCCACTCCTCAATGGGGCATTTCTCTAGGGACCTGAGAACTGCTCCCTGACCCCCATCAGATCTGGTGCTATTTTATTCCTTTGTCTTAAAGTCTTGTTAGAAAGTAGTTTGAGACTACAGAAACGTGCGTATTCATCAGACATTTGCCAAATGTATGGACAAAGTTCAACATCAGATGATGAACTAACTTTAGCATCCAGTGATAATTCCTGCATGTGACAATTGTTTCTGTGTTGTTTGCCTAATGGCAGTTTCTGTATTCATTATTCTATATTTATTGATTATAATTCTACTCTAAGGGAGAGTTATATTCTCTTCCAACTTATTGGTTTTTTTGCCATTATGGATTTATGAATATTGTATTCCTTTAGTTATTTTTCATTGCCATCATTATTATGTTGTTCGTTATCCAAAATTTCACCATTATAGTTTCTGTAAAGTAAAATTTGTACTCATGCAATATACCCTCATTATTTTTTGAGCAGTTTCTCACTTTATGGCATCATAACATGTTCCAGGCCTGCCTTTTAATTATCCTGCCCAAACTTTCTCATTAACCATGTCTCCCAGAAGCTCTACTTTTTTTTTATTGGTAAATTATGCATGGCATAAAATATACAGTTTTAACCATTTTTAAGTGTAAAATTCAGTAGTGGTAAGTACATTCACAATATTGTGCAATCATCACCACTATCCATTTAGGATCTTTTTTGTATGACTATCAAAAATTGTATTAATTAAACAATAACTCCATTAGCCCTTCCCTTCATCTCCCAGTATTCTTCATTCTATTTTCGGTCTCTATGAATTTGTCTACTTTTGGTACCTTATACAAGTGTAATCATACAGTATCTGTCTTTTTGTGTCTGGCTTATTTTAGTTAAAATATTTTTAAGGTTCATTCATGTGGTAGCCTGTATGAGAACTAAATTCCTTAAGGTAGAATAATATCTACTACATATACCTGTTCATTTATTAATGGGTATTTGGGTTGTTTCTATCTGTTGGCAATCATGAAGGATGCTTTTATTAGCATTAGTATACAATTATATGAATCCCAACTTTCAAATATTTGCATATATACCTAGGAGTGGAATTACTGAATCATATGGTCATTCTATGAGAGGTCAAACTTTTCCACAACAGCTGCACCATTTTATATTACCACCAGCAATATACAAGCCTTCCAGTTTCTCCATTTCCAAACCAACACTTACTTGTTTGTTTTTTACACTAGCCGTCTTAGTGAATGTGAAGTGTTCCTCATTGTGGACTTGATTTGCATTTCTCTAATGACTAATTGATATTGAGCATCTTTTCATGTGTTTATTGGCCATTTGTATATCTTCTTTGGAGAAATGTCTATTTAAGTCTTTTGTCCAATTTTAAATTAGGTTGCCTTTTTTGTTATTGAGTTTTAGGAGTTCTTTATATATTCTAGACATTAATAGCTTATCAGATGTGTGATTTTTCAAATATTTCTCCCCATTCTGTGAGTTGTATTTTTACTGTCTTGATAATGTCCTAAGTGCACAAAGCTATAAATTTTTGTTAAGTCCATTTTTTTTTCTTTTGTTGCCTATGGTTTTGTTACCATATCCAAGCAGTAATTGCCAAATTCAGTGTCATCAGACTTTTCTGGGGGAAAGTCTGATGACACTGAATTTGTCCAATTGGAGTTAAGTCCAGATTTTTTCTTTTGTTGTCTATGGTTTTGTTACCATATCCAAGGAGTAGTTGCCAAATTCAGTGTCATCAGACTTTCCCCCAGTGTCATTAGGCTTTCTAAGAGTTTTAAAGTTTTAGCTTAGGTGTGTTACTTAGTTTAAATTACTTGTTTGCTGTGTAAGTTAAGGGTCCAACTTCATTCATTTGCATGTGGATATCCAGTTTTGACAGCACCATTTGTTGAAAAGACAATCTTTTACCCATGGAATAGTCTCAGCTTCCTTGTCAAAATCAGTTGACAATTTATACAAGTGGTTTTTTTTTTCTGGGCCCTCTATTCTGTTCCATTGGTCTGTATGTCTGCCTTTATGCCATTATCACACTGTTTTTATTACTGTAGCTTTGTAATACGTTTAGACATCAGGAAATGTGGATTCTTCAACTTTTTTCTTTTCTAAGATTGTTCTATTTGTGGTACGTTGAGATTCCATGTGAATTTTAGGATGAGGTTTCCTATTTTTTGCAAAAATATGCTTGACATTTTGATAGGGACAATACTGAATCTGTAGATTGCTTTGGGTAGTATTGCCATCTTAATAATATTAAGTCTACCAATCCATGACCACAGAATGCCTTTCCAGTTATTTATGAGTTAATTTGTTTCAGCAGTATGTTATAGATTTCAGTGTACAAGCCTTTTGCCTCCTTGCATACATTTATTCCTAAGCCTTGTATTCTTTTTAATGTTACTGTAAATGGAGTTTTCTTAAATTCCATTGGATTATTCATTGCTAATGTACAGAAATGCAGCTGTTGTTGCAAGTTGATTTTGTATGTTGCACCTTTACTGAATATGTATTAGATATAAAAGATTTTGCTTTTTTTAGAATCTTGAGGATTTATACAAAAAAGATAATGTCATCTGTGAACAGATAATTTTGCTTCCTTTCCAGATGGATGTCTTTTATTTATTTTTCTTGCCCAATTTCTCTGGCTAGAACTTTCAATATTATGTTAAATATAAGTGAGGATAGTAGACACCCTTGCCCTGTTATTAATCTTAGGGGAAATGCTTTCATCATTTCATAATTGAATGTGATGTTAGCTGTGAATTTTTCATATAAAGTCTTTACCATGATGAGAGAGTATTATTCTATTCATACTTTGTTGAATATTTTTATCAGAAAAAAGGGGTTGACATTGGACAAGTGGTTTTTCTGCATCAATTGACATGAGCTTGTAGTTTTTTTCCTTTTCATTCTGCTAACGTAGTGTATTACATTGATTTTTTTTCATGTTAAACCATTCATACATTCTGAAAATAACACCTTCTTGGTCATTGTATATAGTCCTTTAGTATGTTATTGAATTTTGTTTTCTAATATTTTATTGAATTTTGGATCAGTAATAATAAGGGATATTGGTCTGTAGTTTTCTTGTAATGTCTTTTCCTGGCTTGGGTGTCATGATCATATTGGCCTCATAGAATGAGTTAGGAAGTTCCTTCCTCTGCAAACATTCAGATTGTTTGTAAAGGATTTGTGTTACTTCTTTAAATGTTTGTTTGAAATTACTAGTGAAACCATCTTGCTGGGCTCTTCTTTATAAGAAAGTTTTTGATTACTGATTCAATTGCTGTACTAGTTATAAATCTGTTCACATTTTCTGTTTCTTTTGAGTCATTTTTTATAGAGTATATATTTCTATAAAGTTTTTAGTATCATCTAAGTTATCCAATTTGTTGGCATACAGTTGTTCATAGTATTTTGTTATCTTTCTTTCTGTTTGTATAAAATCAATAGTAATATCCTCACTTTTAAATTATGATTTTTAGTAATTTGGGTCCTCTCTTTCATTTTTAGTCAATTTAGCTAAAGTTTGTTCCCTTTTTTGATCTTCTCAAAGAACCAACCTTTGTTTCTTTTAAATTATTTTTCTATTTCCTAATTTATTTCCCTCATTATGGTGATTCTGTGTTCAGTTTCCTCTCCTTTTCCTGGTTCCTTAAGGTGTAAATCGGTTTACTGATTAGCAGTCTTTTCTCATGTTTCATATATGTGTTTCCAGCTCTAAATATCCCTCTTACCACTGCTTTTGCTGGATGGCATAAGTCTTTGTATGTTGTGTTTGCATTTTCACTTGTCTCAAGGTATTATCTGTTTCTTTTGTGGGTTTTCAAATTTTTTTATTGATATGGGGTCTTGCCTTGTCAGTGAGGCTGGACTACAGTGACACAATCGTGGCTCACTGAATCCTCAACCCCCTGGGCTCAAGTGATCCTCTCACCTCAGCCCCCTGAGTAGCTGGAACTACAGGCATGCACCACCATGCCTGGCTTATTTATTTATTTATTTATTTATTTATTTATTTATTTATTATTTTGTAGAGACTGGATCTCACTATATTGCCCAGGCCAGTCTCAAACTCCTAGGCTTAAGTCATCTACCCACCTAGGCTTCCCAAAATGCTGGAATTACAGGTGTGAGCCACTGCACCTGGCTGCTTTTATGTTTTCTATACTGACCCTTTGAATGTTTGATTGTATTGTTTAATGTCCACATATTGTGATTTTCAGTGTTCTTTAAATGATTGATTTCTAGCTTTATTCTGCTCTGACTGGAAAATACACTTTGTATGATTTCAGTATTTTAAATTTATTTAAACTTTTTTGTGATTAAGCACATGATCTATCCTGAAGATTGTTTCATGTGCCCTTGACAAAAAAAAAAAAAAAAAAAAAAAAAAAAAAAAAAAAAAAAAAAAAAAAGTATATTCAGCTGTTGTGTGGAGGGTTCTGTATAATACTCTTAGGTCTGATTGGTTTATAGTGTTTTTTAAGTCCTTTATTTTCCTATTGATCTTTTTTCTGAATGTTCATTCATTATTGAAATTGGGGTACTGAAATCTCCAACTGTTACTGTAGAACTCTCTATCTCCCAGTAATTCTGTCAGTGTTCCCTTCATATATTTTGATTCTCTGTTTGAGTATTTTAAGAACTGCTGAGACTGAGTTTGTTTTTCTGTACATCTATTGAGATCATTATTTGATTTTTCTTTCTTAGTTTATTAACATAGGCCAGACATGTAGCTAACACCTGTTATCCCAGAACTTTGGGAGGCTGAGGTGGGTGGATCACTTGAGGTCGGGAGTTCGAGATCAGTCTGGCCAACATGGCTAAACACCGTCTCTACTAAAGATACAAAAAATTAGCTGGGAGTGGTGGTGCATGCCTGTAATCCCAGCTACTAGGGAAGCCGAGACATGAGAATCACTTGAACCCGGGTGGCAGAAGTTTCAGTAAGCTGAGATTGTGCCGCTGCATTCCAGCCTGGGTGACAGAGAGAAACTGTCATTGTCTCTGTCTCTGTCTCTCTCTCTCTTTCTCTTTCTCTCTCTCTCTCTCTCTCTCTCTCTATATATATATATATACATTTATTAACATAAACTTTTTTACTCTTAAACCAAATTTGCATCTCTGAAATAAACCCAACTAGATTCTCATATATTTTCATTTTTATACAGTGCTGTTTGCTAACATTTTTGTAGAAAGTCCTTTTTCTGTGTTTATGAGAGATTGGCTGAAACCTTCTTTTCTCATACTTTTCTAATCAGGTTTTGACACAACTTTATGCCAGCCACCTTAAATTGACGTGTGGTTTATCTTTCTTTTTTCTCTTCTGCATGAATTGGAATAATTTCATTCTTATGTGTTTTTTTTTTTTTGACCATACTATTGAAGTTATCTGAGATAGGTTTTCTTTTTTGGAAGATTAATTTGAAGAAATAATCTTCTCTTTATATTGGTTATGATATCATTAAGATTGTATATTTTGTGTCAGTTTTGTTATATTTTCTCTTAATTGTCAATTCCATCTTAAATTTAAATTTAATGGATCATTACATTCAGGTATATAATTGAAAACTTGTTATGTTATAACTTACTACTTAAGATACATAGATCTTATGTGGGCAACTACAAGAACATTTAGATATATATTGGCTATAAAAATATTATATAGTATATTTTCTATATATCATATTCTATTTATTGTATTATATATGTATGTATAAAAATATGTATAAATACTAAATATATAAATATAGATCACTAATCACAAGTTTACATTAATAGAAGGAAAATTTTCACTATTACAGTAATTTTTCCATCAGGTCTCTTTACAGCCCATCCTGGCCCAGAAGTAATTATTAATGTGACATCAATCACCATAAATTAATTTGCCTATTCTTGAACTTCATTTAAATGGAATAACATTATTATGTCATCTTTTGTGACTAGCTCTTTTATTCATCCTATGTCTATGAGATACATTCTTATAGTTTTATATGACGATAAATATTTTCTCCTGATATGTAGTATGCTATTAACTAGAGTCAGTTTACCCATTCTGTTGTTGATTGGAATTTATTTGTGCTATTATTAACAGTAATTATTAATAATTACTATTAATTACTAATAGCTGTGATATTATGAGTGTAATTGCAAGTCATCTTATTGTTCATGTTTTCAGAAGAAATATTTTCCTTGAATATATATCTATAAATGGAATGGCTAAGTTATAGGCCTGGCATATTATACTAGCTTTAGTAGATATTGCTACACAATTTTTCATGTGCTTGCATGATTGTACTTACGTCAGTAATTTATGAGAGATCTAGTTTAAGATTATATGTTAATTAACATTTAGTTAATCAGCTCCATATGTCTTGATATCTTTTGATGTAAATCTACCAATTTTATTGTTTTTCTTCAGTTTAATTTTTGCTCTCCTAGGTTGCTATATTTTTAGATAAATTTTGGAATCATCTCATAATTTTTACAAAATACATGTCAGTGCTTTGATTTGAGTGGAGTTTAATATATAGATTAATTTTGGAAAATTTGCATTGTTATAATATTGTTTCTTAGAATCCATGAACCTAATATATCTGTCCTTTTATTTATATCTGTTTAAATTTCAGGAAAAATATTTTAAATATAATGGCTTTTAGTCTAGAGATCACACACATTACTGAATTTGGAGTATTTCCTGATTTCTTTTTTTAGTTCTTTTACTTAAGAATTATATAGAAATGTGTTATAATTCTGAACATTTGGTGATTTTCCCAATATGTTTTTTTAAAAAATTAGTTCTAAATTAATCTGCTGTCATTAGAAAAAATACTCTATTAAATATTTTATCTTTTCATACTTATATTTAAGTATATTATAGTATACTGTTTTGGTTACACAAGTACCAGGAGTTAGTATTTGAACATACATTTTTCAGGGAGACAATTCAACCCAGCACAACCTGCCTTGTGGTTGTGGCTCTCAAAAATTCCTGCCCATCCACTTGCAAAATATACTCACACTGTGCCAGATATTCAAAAATCTCATCCCAGCCAGGCACCGTGGCTCATGCCTTTGGGAGGCCAAGGCGGGCAGATCACCTGAGGTCAGGAGTTCAAGACCAGCCTGACCAACATGGAGAAACCCCATCTCTACTAAAAATACAAAATTAGCCATGCGTGGTGGCACATGCCTGTAATCCCAGCTAGTCAGGAGGTAGAGGCAGGAGAACTGCTTGAACCCGGGAGGCGGAGGTTGCAGTGAGCCAAGATCACACCATTGCCCTTCAGCCTAGGCAACAAGAGCGAAACTTCATCTCAATAAATAAAATATAAAATAAAATAAAATAAAATAAATCTCATCCCATTGCAGCATTAACTCTAAAAGCTTACCTAAATATTATCACCCGAGAAAGTCCCAAATTATCATTATCTAGGTCATGTCAGTCTTGTATGGATGAGACTCTAGGTACGATGCATTTTGGTGCAAAGTTCTTCTCCATCTATGGATATATGATCCTAGAAAACAAGGTACCTGCTTCCAAATTAAAAGATTGGGATATGCATAAGATTGATATTCTTATTCCAAAAGGAAGAAATTAGAAGAAAGAAAGGGGTCAGTTATCCCAAGGAACTTTGAAACACAGAAATCATTAGATTTTAAGGCTTGAGAATAATCATCTGTGGCTTTATTCTCTGCCCACTGGACCTGGAGAAGCTCTGCCCTCTGGGCTCATGAGAGCTCCATTCTTCCCTACCTCTGGAAGTATTACTATGGCTGGATCAGCCCTGGGCTCATTGCTCTTCCATCAGAGTCATGTTTTTCTTTTTCTTGAAGAAGAGCACAAGCTTGAGGCCAAGTAGCTCTTTTAGTCCATTTTCTGCTTGTAGAATTTTGGAAATCTATCAGTCCTCTTTCATTTTATCCTTCCTCTGTCCCCGTTTGTCTAAGTAGACATTGATAAAGCATTCTGAAAAATCTTGTGGGTCTCCTGTGTATGCCATGGGAATTTACACCATTAGATGGGGGATCCTACAAAGAACTTTCCCACATAACCCCATTTCTATTGTGGGCTTCTTGGATGTTTGACTAGATCTGTGAATCACAAAACTAATCTCTGCAGCAAAAGTTGTTTATTTCTTAGAAAAGTTTTGATTGTTTGTGTCTTTTGGGTAAAAAATTCTGTCTAGCATTGCTTTCGTTGGACCTCACAACATTCAACATGTTGTATTTTCATTTTCATTCAACTCAAAATGCTTAATAATTTCACTTAATTTTTTCTTTGAGCATTTGGTTGTTTAGAAGAGTGGCATTTAATTTCCAGATTTTTGGGGGATTTCCCGAGATTTCTGTTTTATGGAAACCTAATTTAATTTAGCTATTAGAGTATGTACTTTGCATGCCTAAACACTTTTAATTTATTGAAAAATGTTTTATGGCCTGGTGTATGGTATATATATTTTGGTAAATGTTCCATTTGTACTTCAAAAGAATATATATTTTTCCCTCATATGTCATGTCTATATATGGAGACACATATATTGATACTGAGAGAGAGTGAGAGACAGAGATAGAGAATGGGAGGAGAGTTCAGCAAATATAGATTAGGTCAGTTTTATTGTTAATTTTACTTAAATCTTTTATGTCCTTTACTGATTTTATGTCTACTTATTTTGCCAATTATTTAAAGAGGGGTATTTATGTTTCTGACTAAAATTATGGAAGTGTCTGTTTCTCTTTGAGGTTTTATCAGTGTCTGTTTCAAGTATTTTTAAGTTCTGTTATTAAGTATATAAATGGTTAAGATTGTTATATGCTCCTGGTTAAATCCACTCCTTTATCATTTTGAAATGTCCTTTATTTTTTGTAATAGGTTTTCCTCTGAAATGTACTTTGTCTAATCTTAATATTGTCACTGCAGCTTTCTTTTCATTATTGTTATCATGGTATGTCTCAGTTGTTTATGACTCCATTTATCTGACTTGACCTATTAGGTAGAATTTGTGTTTTTATTTTGGTAGTTGCTTTAGGTTTATAGTATATATTATTAATTTATCTTAGTCCACCTTCAAGTAATATTGTACCTCTTTACATATAATGTAAACATCTTAAAATAGTATGCTTTATTTCTCCACTCCTGACCTTTGTGCTATTGTAGACATCCGTTTTAGTTTTACCTAATGTCACAAATCCTGCACTACACTATTATTATGCTTATTAAACAGTCAGTTATCTTTTAGGTGGATAGAAATAACACCAAAAAAACTCTCATGTATTTACTCATGTAACTACCATTTCCAGTAGACTTCATTTTTTGGTGTATACCCATTTCCATTTGCAGTAATTTTTCTATGGCCTGAAGGACTTTATTTAATATTTCTTTTGGTGTAGCTCTGCTATTGAAGAGTATTTCATTTTTTAATATATCTAAATGTCTTCTTTTACCTTAATTGTTGAATTATTTTGTTTGGTGGATATAGAATTAAGAGTTGATAGTTTTTTTATTCTTTATATATTATATTGAAATGGTTGCCCCTCCTCTGTCTTTTCACTTTGATTGTTTCCAATGAGATATCTGCTTTCACCTTTATCCTTGTTTTTCTTTTTTACCTGATGATTCTTTTAAGGTTTTATCTTTATCATTGCTTTTGAGGAATATTAGTATGGTGCACCTTGGTGTAGTTTTCTTCACAACTCTTTCCTTTGTTTTTGCACACATTGGTAAGTTGTTTGGAAGCAGTTTAATCATTTCTGGTCTTGCTCTTAAGATTTATTAGCTGGGCCAATGATCTGTTTACATTAATTATATTCCACTTACTGGGGCAAGACTTTTCAGTTTCTTCTGACTGTCAGCCTGTCATTCTTGGTGTTTTCAAGACTGACTGATGGGAGCATGGACTATTCTCAGCCCTGTGTGAACATTGGTTATTTTCATCTTATAGTATGGCAGACAAGATCCAAAGTTCATGTCCTAAGGAAACAATAGAAATCCATGATGTTTTTATGACCTAGCCTCAGAAGTCACCTAGTGTCAGTTCTGCCATACCCATGAAGATCCACTTATGTTCAAGAGAAGGTAACTCAGACCCCACTGCTGAATTAAGTCACATTGTAAGAATGTGTAGAATGAGCATATAGTATTTGCCATCTTTGGAACATGCCATTTGGCAAAAAGTCCTTTGCATTTCCATATAGATGTTAAAGTTAGCTTGTCAATATCCATTTTCAATAAGTGAGGATTATTTGGAAAGAATGTGCTTCATGTCTGTAAGTGTGATATACCTGTCTTTCTTTAGGGCTTCTTAAGTTTCTCTCATCAGTATTTTACAGTTTTCAATGATGATGTCTAACACATTTTTTACCCTATTTTAAATTGAATTTTTTATTTCAATTGTTGGCTGCTGATATAAAAATGTAAAATGTATTTTGTATGTGGGCTTTGTTTCTTGTGACCTATTAAACCTATTTCTAGGGGAAAATTTGTAGATACCTCAGGATTTGATACATAAATAATCATATGGTCATTAAATACAGTATTACTTATTCCATTTAAACTTTATGTTGTCTATTTCCTCATTATTTCTATCACAGAGCCTAGAGCCTTAAGTAAATATTTAATATAAATTGTGAGAATAGCTATGCTTATATTTTCCTCAATTTTAGAAAGAAATCATTCAATGTTTTACCTTGAAGCAGATGTTAGCTATATAAATTTTTTAAGATACCCTTTATCAGATTAAGAAATTCCTACTTATTCTTAGTTTACTGAGATATTTTATTGTGGATAAGAGAGTTGGATTTTGTTAAATGCTTTTCTCTATTATTGAAATAAAGTAGTTATATTTAATTTGTTAAAATATGCATTGAACCTTATGTTCTTTTATCAAACTCCACTTTATCATCATATATTGCTGTATCTAATTTGCTAACATTCTAAGCATTTGTATTATTTATATTACATATTTTATTATAATTCCTTTTTCATTTTTATTATGCTGGCCTTTCAAAAACAAGTTGGGCAGTATTCCTTCCTCTTCTGTATTCTGAAAAAATAAGCCCATAATAACAATTTTTGTCCTTAAATGTTTCATTGAATTCACCAATGAAATCAAATGGGCCTAGAGCTTTCTTTGTGAGACAGTATTTCTAATCCTCTTTATTTAAATGTAATGTGTTTATTTTACATATGTAATTTTAATTTTAAACATTTCAATTTTAACTTTATAGCTCAGTGAGTTATGACAAGTATCAAAACTAACATTTAACTAACATCAGTTAACATCACTATGAAGATGCAGAAATTTCCATCACCCTAAATGGTTCCCTTATGCCACTTCACAATCTCTACCATCACTTATTAAATATACCACTATTTATCTGTCCAACTCTTGCTCAGCATTTGAGTTGTTTCCAGTTTTTGTCTAGTGTGAATAAAGTTGTATGAACATTTATGTGTTAAGTTTTTATATGGTTATATGGTTTCCATTTCTCTTGAGTAAATACATAAGAGTTAAATCGTGGAGTGATATGGTAAATATAAGTTAAAATTGTAAGAAACCCCCAACTTTTGCACAGAAATTTTGTGATTTTACACACCCACCAGCAATGTATGAGATTTCTAGCTTTTTCACATTCTCAGAGTGCTTTCTGTTGTCCATCTCTTAAAATTTTAACCATCCTAAAACTTAAAGTATAATAATAATAAAATTAAAAAAAACCATCCTAATAAGAGTATAGTATTATTAATTTGCACTTAATAACTAATGATATATCTTTTCATTTGCTCTTTGCACATTCATATATATTCTTCTCTGAACTGTTTGTTCAAATCCTTTCCTGTATCTTTTTATCAGGTTTTTTTTTAGTATTTCCTTATAAGATTTTTTATATATTTTGGAAACAGGTCTCTCTATGTGCTCTGTCTTCATTTTCTCAATGTTATCTTTCAAGTATCAGAAATTTTAATCTTGACAAAACCAAGTTTCTCAAATTTTTTCTTAATGTTCCAAGGATATTGTGTCTGTCCAAGAAATCTTTGCTTAGATCCAATTCATGAAGACCTTTTTCTGTTTTCTTCTAGAAATGTTGACTTTGTATCTTGTGGCCTTGCTAAACTCAGTGATAGTTCTAATAGTTTATTTTTGATTTTTAGGATTTTTCTTTATATACCTAATCATATTCCACAAGAATAAAGACAATTTTACTTTTTTCTTAAGATCTATTTGCTCATTATTTCTTTTTATTGACTCATGAGACTATTGTATTTAGAAAACTTTAAACAGAAGTGTTAAGAGTGGGCATGCTAATCTTGTTCCCACTATCAGAGCCCTCAGACTTTCACAATTAAGTATGACACTAGTTGTGGGCTTTTCATAAATGCCATTAATCAGGTTGACAAAGGAAATTGTTTCCTATTTATTTTGATTTTTAATCGTAAATCAGGTTGAATTTTTCCTAATGTCTTTTACACCCGAATTGAGATGATCACATGGTTTGTATCTTTTATTATGTTTTTATGATGCATTGATTGATTGACATATGTTAAAGCAACCTTACATAAACTCCCCTAATATAAAATACACGTGATCATTTAAAAATATATTTTTAATTTTTATATGCTATAATAACATTTTGTTAAGGATTTTTGTGTCTATATTCATGAGGGACTTTGGTCTGTAGTTCCCTTCTCTTGTAAATTTTTGTAAAATTTTAGTATTAGGGCACTGCTGTTTCAGAAATGAGTTGCAGTTCTTTCCTCTTCTTGCCTTTTCTTAAATGGTTTATGTAAAATTTAAATTCTTGTTTCAAATATTTAATTCTTCATTGAAGCTGTCAACGGATGTTTATTTTGGTTTTGGTTTTCATGGGAAAGTTTGTGTGTGTTTGATTTATTATGGCTCTTTGGAAATGAAATCTTTATAAATATTATGTTTCAAACACATAAAATAACAGAAATGATATCGGGGGCAAGTGTACATGTATCATCCATTGAAAGAAAATGTCATATTCTGTTACATGCTTTACATTCTTTCTAAGATTTACAGCAATTTTAACAAGACACAGGTGACACCTCCTATGAAGTCCTCAACAATTTCATTGTCTTCTCTCTCTCCTCAGTTATATCCATTATCATAGATTTTTTATCCTAATTAAAAATTTTATGCTATTAACACTTATTGGGATCACGAATAATGACAAATAGTATTGTTTTGCATGATAACCACAAAATAAATGATATTTTGCCTTAAGTAACTTCTACAACTTGTTTTATTTTGGCTCAGCAATGACATACAATTAACTATACATGTTGAAATTTTACAGTTTAGTGACTTGACATGTATATACCCATGCAGGCATCACAATGGTCAAGAAAAGTCCCCTGCCCTGTATTTTGCTTATGCCCTCTTTTAATCTAGCTGACCTCTCAACACCTACTCCTAGGCTTTGATATGCTTTGTGTCATTATAGATTTGCATATGTTTTTGTAATTTTATACAAATAGACATGTAGTATATATATTCCTTGTCTGAATTTTATTAGCATAATGATTTTGAGATTCATCCATTTTGTTGAATGTATTAATTGTTTGTCCCTGTTTATTGCTGAATAGTACTCCATTGTATGGGTATAGCACATTTTGTTTATCCATTCTTTCACCTGATGATGGACATTTGGGTTATTTCCAGTTTTAGGCCATTACAAATAAAGCTTCTATAAATATTCCTGTACAAGTCTTTGTGTGGATATATATTTTCATTTCTCCTGGAAAAATACCTATGACTGTGATTGCTGGGTCATATGGTTAGTGTATGTTTAACTTTATTTATTTTTAAGAAAAGCCAAATTGTTGGCTTTTGTAAGCCAATTGTATCCATATTTAGGAGCCAACAATTGGCTTTATAAAGTGGCTGTATAATTTTGTGTTATACAGCCACTTGTGTTAACTGTGTAACACACTTATAACTTGTGTTATGCAGTATAACTTGTGTTATACAGCAATATGTGAGGTGACAGTTGCTCCAAACCCTTTCCAAAGCATGGTGTTGTCAGTCTTTTACATCTTAGCCATTCCAGTATGTGTGTATTGTGGTATCTCATGTGGTTTTAGTTTTCATTTTCCTGATTAAAAGATATCTTGAGCATCTTTTCAAGTTCCAAATGGCTATTGGTACGTGTTTTATACTTTGTTCGACTATCTTTCCCATTTTTAAGTGGTTTGTTTATCTTATAATTATTGACTTGTAAGAGTCCTTACAATAGTATGGACAAAAGTCCTTTGCTGATATATGTGCTGTATTTTCTCTCAGATTGTGGCCTGCATTTTTGTTTTTAAATTAAAAAGTTGCATAAATATATTTTATTTATTCTATTCTATAGTTTATGTAAGTGTTTGTGTTCTAATACACCTTATCTTACTCTAAATTCACAAAGATTTTCTACTGTTTTTTTTTTGTTTGTTTGTTTTTTGAGACAGAGTCTCGCTCTGCTGCCCAGGCTGGAGTGCAGTGGCATGAGCTCATTGCAACCTCTTTCTCCCAGGTTCAAGCAATTCTCTTGCCTCAGCCTCTCGAGTAGCTGAGATTACAGGCATGCACAACCACGCCCAGCTATTTTTTTGTATTTTTAGTAGAGACGAGCTTTCACCATGTTGACCAGGCTAGTGTCGAACTCCTGACCTCAGGTGACCCACCCACCTCAGCCTCCTAAAGTGCTGGGATTACAGGCCTGAGTCACCGCGCCCGGCCTCTGTGTTTTTTAATAGCATTTTGGATTCCGCATTTAGGTCCATGATCCATTTTGAGTTGATTTTTCTGTTTGGTGTGAGAAAAAGGTTGATGATCATTTTTTACCATAAAGATATCATATCTTAATGATCCAGTACCATTTATTGAAGATACTTTTCTTCCTCTATTAAAATGCCATGTTGCCTCTGGCAAAAATTCAGCTGACTGCAATTTTGTACATTTAATTATGCTCCATTCATCTATGTCTGTTATTTGAACAATACTGAAGTATCTTGATTACTGTAGCTTTATAGTAACTATTGAAATCACATAGGATAATCCTCCAGCTTTGTTTTTATTTTAAAGATTGCTTTTTTCCCTGTTTTTTGAATTATTGTATGCATTTTAGAATTAACATATCAATTTCTACAAAGAGTTCAACTGTAATTTGAATTGATTTCATTGACTCTAAAGACAAAATTAATTGTTATCTCAAATATATTTAGTCTTCTAAATAGTGAACATGTTGATTCTCCAAGTGTGTAAATTCTTTTTAAATTTGTTTTTGGGATGTTTTGTAGTTTTCATTTCAGATTTCTAGCAAATCTCTTAGATTTATTCATAAGAATGTTATGTTTTATTTTCTCTCTTTTAAATTGAGTTATTTTAATGGTTATTTGATTTAATTTTCCAGTTAGCATGTTATTTGATTTAATTTTCCCATTAGTATGTAAGAATATTATGGATTTTTAAAATATTAACCTGGATCCTGTGCTTATGCTTAATTCACTGCTTAGATATAATAATTATTTTGTAGATCCTTTTTAATATAAATATATGTTCTGCAACAGATTTAATTCTTTATTTCTGATGTTTGTGCCTTTTTTTTTTTTGGCTTGCTTTATTGCAATGACTAGGTCCTCTAGTACAGTGTTAAATAAAAATGTCAAAAGAAGGCATTCTTGCCCTTTTCCCAATATTAGAGGAAAAGCAATAACTCTTTCACTTTTAAGTATGGTATTAGCTGTAGGGTTATCTTAGATGTTCTTTGCCGGTTTGAAAACCGACAAAGAACATCTGAGAACACTTATTGTATTAGTACAGTAATTTGCTTTGATTGACTCTTTAATTCTGAACCAACACTTGCATTTCTGGGATAAAAACCTATGTGGTCATGGTCCTTTTATTTATTATTTGATTTGTTAATATTTATACCTTTTTCAAGAGTATTTTTCTGTATTTTTAAATAATGTCTTTGTTGTGATTTTGGATTACGGTTATGCTGGCATTATAAAATGAGTTGGACATTGTTTTCTCCTACTGTTCTGAAAGTGCTTCTATAGGATTGATATTATTTTGTCCTCCGATATTTAATGGAATTCACTGGGTTACCAGCTTGTTCCATTGATCTATGTGTGTATCCCTGCACTAATAAAGCACTGTCTTAGTCTGTTTTGTGCTGCTATCATAGATAAAACAGAATACCACAGACTCCATAATTTGTCATGAAAAGAAATTTATTGGCTTACAGTTCTGGAAGCTGGGAAGTCTAAGATCAAGGGTCTGGCGTCTGATGAGGGCCTCCTTCCTGTGTCATCTCATGATGGCCAAAGAAAGAGTGAGATGGAGCAAGAGACTGACCTTTCAGCCTCAAGCCATTCTATAATTGGCATTAATCCATTCATGAAGGTCAAGCCATCATGACCTAGACAAGTCCCATTAGGCCCCACCTCCTAACACTGTTGGATTGGGGATTAAGTTTCCAACATATACTTTTTGAAGATATATACAAATCATACCATTTTGACCTTGATCCCAAAAATTCATGTTTTTCTCACATATAACATACAGTCATTTTTATCCAGTAGCCCCAAAAGTCTTAACTTGTTTCAGCATCAACTGAAATGTTCAAAGTCTAGAGTCTCTCATCTAAATCAGATGTATGTGGGCGAGACTCAAGACACAATACATCCTGAGGCAAATTTCCCTCCAGCTGTGACCCTGTGAAATCAAACAAATTATCTACTTCAAAATATTATGGTGGAACAGGCAGAGGATATATTTCCAAAAGGGAGAAATAGGCAAGAAGAAAGGGATAAATGACCCTAAGGAAGTCCAAAACCCAACAAGGTAAACAACATTAAATATTAAGCCTCCAGAATAATTTTCCTTGACCCCTTGTCCTGCCTTCTGGGCACACTGGGGTGGGGGTTGTGCCCTCAAGGGCTCGAGAAGCCACACTTCTATGGCTTTGTTGGTCATAGCTCAAACAACAGCTCTTGTAGGTTGGAGTCAGATGCCTGCTGCTCTCCCAGGCTGGTATTGCTTATCTCCCATGGCCTTGCTCTCGTGGCTCTACTATGTATTACTGTAGTGGAGACTCTCTGAAAACTCTGACCACACAATTCTGCAGGGCATTACCACAGTAGAGGCTCTCTGCCGTGGCTCTGCCCCTATGGTAAGTCTCTGCCTGGGCCCCTAGGTTGTTCACAACAAGTTTCTTTGAAATAAAGGTGGAGGAAGCCATGCCTCCACAGCCCTTGCATTCTGCCTGCCTGAAGACTTAACACCACTTGGACACCACCAAGATTTGTTGCTTGTATTCTTACAATCAGTGACTCAAGTCCTGTCTGGGGCCTCCTTCAGCAACACCTGGGTGACTGAGGAGCCCTGTGCCAGAATGCAGGGAACAGAGACCTGAGACTTCCCTGGGAAGCAAGCCTCGATGTCCTGAGGGCCCACTAGGCCTCTCTTTTCACATATTTCCTTCTCCCAGACCTTGGCACTCTGGGCCTGTGATGCGAGGAGTGACACTCTGGGCCTGTGATGAGAGGACTGTTTTAGCAACAGTCCCACTTCTCAAAATCAATTTTCTATCTTAGTCCACTCTGTGCTGCTATAATAGAATATCTGAGACTTTGTAATTTATAAAGAACAGAAATGTATTTCTCACAGTTCTGGAGCATGGAAAGTCCAGGATCAAGGTATTGACATCTGGTGAGGGCCTTCTCATTGTGTAACCTTATGATGGAAGTGCAAAGAGAGGGCGTGAGACAGAGAGAGAAACAGAGACAAAGGGGCCAAACTCAGAATCCAACCCCATGATAATGACATTAATCAGTTCATGAGGGCCAAGCCCTCATGGTCTAATCACCTCTTAAGGATCTTACTAAATACTGTTATAATGGCAATTAAATTTCAACATGAGTTTGGAAGGGACAAACATTCAAACCATAGCAAACACTGTCTTCATTACTATGGTTAGTAAGTCTTAAAATTGGTGGTGTGATTTCTCCTACTTTTTTCTTCTCTCACAAAGCTAATTTTAGCTATTCTTGTTTCTTTGCTTTTCCATATGAAGTTTAGTTTATCTGTATTTACAAAAAAAATTATTCTAGGATATTGATAGCAATTGTATTAAACTTATAGCTCAATATAGGATTTGTGGAATTTTCATAATTTTACTATATTAAATCTTTAGATCCATGAACATAGCATGCCCATCTATTTTTTTTTAGGTCTTTTATTTCTTTCATTGGTAGTTTGTAGTTAGCATCATATAGATCTTATACATGGTTGTTAGATTCATGTAGTTATTTCATTTTGGAGGGAGTTATTATAAGTGTTATTGTGGCTTAAATTTTGGTTTGTAATCATTTATTGCTAGTACTTAGAAACATAATAGTTTTTGTTCGTTGCCCTTGCTTACTACTACTTTGCTACATTTACATATTTTAGGAGACTTTTCAAAAAATAGATTTCTTGAAATTTTCAATGAGGGCATTGATATTTAGAAATTTCCATTTTTTCCTAATAAAAGCTACATGTAAAATGATAATTTTTTCAAACACTGCTTTAGATTTATACCATTAATTTCAGTGTTATATATTCATTATTATTAAATTCAAAATATTTTTAGATATTTAAGATTTTTCTAGATAATAATGGAAATAAATGTGAGAGAGAGAAAATTTAAAAACAGACAAACAGAATGGATACTCTTCCCTGTGTGAGTTGTTTCTTTCAACTGTCCTTCTAAATTCACTTTAATCTCTTTGCTTTTTAGAGTACTCAGGTAGTTATTTTACAATGTAATTATTTTGAATATATAATTGTAATCAATAGGATGGCTGGATATTAGTGGCTTAGACCATAACAACAAAATGATAAGTCCAAGTGCAAAGGATTTTAATTATAATTCAGTGGTTAATTGATATAGGGCTTTTCAGATTTTCTGAGCCTGTTTTGATAATGTATATCCTCAAGAGTTTGTCTATTTTATTTAGATGTCAAACTTATTCCACAAATTGATCATAGTGTTCTCTTATTTTCCTTCTAATGTCATAGGATCTGTAGTGATGTTTTCTCATTAATTCCTGATATTATTCATCTACATATGTTTTTTGTTTTTAAGTTTTACCAAACTTTAATTGGAAGTTTATCAATTGTAGTAGTCCTTTCAAAGAGCCAGCATTTTGTTTATTAATTTTCTCTTATCTGATTTCTATTTCATTAATTTTAGCTAATACCTTTAATGGTTTCTGAAGTCTTTCCTTTCTTATCTGAAAATTAATGTGCTCTTCTTTCTTTAGTTTTTTTTTTGAGACAGAGTCTCGCTCTCTTGCCCAGGCTGGAGTGCAGTGGCGTGATCTCAGCTCACCGCAATCTCTGCCTCCTAGGTTCAGGTGATTCTCCTGCCTCTGCCTCCAGAGCAGCTGGGATTAAAGGCACACACCAGCACACCCAGCTAATTTTTGTTTTTTTAGTAGAGATGGGGTTTCATCGTGTTAGCCAGGCTGGTCTTGAGTGGCTGACCTTGTGATCCGCCCACTTTGGCCTCTCAAAGGGTTGGGATTACTGGTGTGAGCCACTGCGTCTGGCCCTTTCTTTAGTTTCTTATGAGAGTAGTATAGAACATTGATTTCATAACTTTCTCTTTTTTCTTATGTAAGTATTTAAAAGCTTTACATTTTTTCCTAACATTGCTTTATCTATAGCCCACTAATTTTATTTTTGTTGATTTTTAAGTTTTTGATAAGTCCAAAATATTATCTAATTTTATAATTTTATTTGGCCCAGGTCTTATTCATTAGTATGTTGTTTAACTTTCATATATCTGGTCAACTCCAATATAATTTTTGTTAATCTGCAATTAAATATCTTATGTTCAGAAAACATATTCTATATCAATTCAGTCCTTTCAGTTGTTATGAAGATTGTTTTCTGGCCAGAAATCTGGCACATCTTGATAAATGTTATATGCTCCCATGAATAAAAAGTTTATTCTGATATTTTTGGTTTTAGTAAGTTAATCTTCTATATCCCTGTTTTTTTATTTTCAACTTGTTATATCAGTTTTTGAGAACGGAATGTTTGAAATTCCTAGCTATTATTGTGAATTTGTCTATTTCTCCTTTTAGTTTTGCCACATATTTGAAACTCAGTAACTAGTTAAATAGACATTTAGAATTGCTATTTTTTCCTGATCACTTCCTCCTCTATCATTATGTAGTACATTTTTATATTCCTGATAATATTTCTTACATTGAAGCCTATTTTGTTAGATATTAATATAAAACCATTCCAGCTTTCTTATGTTTAGTGTTTATATATTGTACCAGTTATTTAGACCCTGTAAACATTTCTGCTTTGCCAATTTGCAAAGTTCTTGATAATATACTTTGATGGACAAAATCTTAATTTTGATGAAGTCAAAGTTACGTGCGCTTTCTTTTGTTACCCTTGTTTTTGGTGTCAGATCTAAGCATTTGTTGCTGTATGAAAGCGTGAAGATTTAACCTTATGTTTTTTTCCAGGGATTTAATAGTTTTTGCTCTGATATATTTAGGTCATAAATCCATTTTGAGTTAATTAATGTATTTGATATGAAGTAGGGGTTCAACTTCATTCTTTTGCAGTTGGAAATCCACTTGTCTCTTTACCATTTGTGGAAGAGACTAGTATTTCCATAATTAATGGACTTGGCACCCTTATAAATAATGAGCTGGTCATGGATATATGCGCTTATTTCTGTTCCATTGGGCTATATAGTCTGTCGTTATGCCTGTACCACACTATTTTGATTACTATTGCTTTGTAGTAATTTTTGAAATTGGAAGTTATGTATCTTCCGACTTTGTTTTCCTTTTTCGATTTTTTTCGACTATTTAGTGCCCTTTGAATTCCATATGAATTTGAGGGTTGGCATTTCCATTTCTTCAATAAAAGCTGTTGGAATGTTGACAGGGATTGTATTGAATCTCTAGATCCCTTTGAGTAATATTAACATCTTAACAATATTAAGTACTTATTCTCATGAATACAGAATGTCTATTTAGGTCATCTTTAGTTTCTTTCAGCAATATTTTGTAGCTTTCAGTGTATTTTACCTCCTTAGTTCCAGTTTGGTTTTGATTGTTTATTTCCCTGAATATGGGTTATGTTTTCCTGCCTCTTATTACTGCACAGTAATCTTTGTTTAGATTCCAACATTGTGAATTTTGCCTTATTTGGTGCTGGATATTTTGATGTTCCTAAAAATTTGTTTCTTCTGAGTCTTTGTTTTCACAAGCAATTAATGCATTTCTTGGAAGCTGTTTGATTATTTTATGTCTTGCTTTGTAATTTGATAGGTGGTTCTTGTTCAATATTCAGTCCAGAGGTAATTGTTTCCTACTACCTTCCCAAGTGCTTTACCCAGTGCCTTTTGAATTTTGAGTTTCTCATACTGGCTGTTGGGAACAGACACTGTTCATTATCCTGAGTGACTGCCAGGCACTATTCCCTCTATTGCTATCAAAATAGATGTTCCTCTTCCCAGACTAACATAGCTTCCTCACACATACCTGCTGATTGCTGTTGTGTAAAATATTTTGGAGAAATATTCTACTAATCTCCGGGGTTCTCTGTGTATGTTGCTATCTCCTCTCTGGGACATAGTCTTAACTCCAGCAGTGTTGGTCTTCTCTGACTCTTAGGTTGGTCTCCTTAATTGAGGGACTTTGCTGGGCTCCACCTTAGTTCCCTGTAACAT
The DNA here is from genome assembly GCF_000001405.40 of Homo sapiens. NCBI lineage: Eukaryota > Metazoa > Chordata > Mammalia > Primates > Hominidae > Homo > Homo sapiens. The sequence continues at coordinate 49,953,125 of NC_000007.14, read as the reverse complement.
AATTTGAAAACTCACTCAAGACAGTAAGCTATGGAAGTTAGTTTACTAATTGTAGGCTCACAATTGTAGGGCTCACATCTTTTGTTTCTTATTTCCAAAGAGTTACAGTTCCTTGTGGTTTGATAACTAATGTTTTGAAAGCCATTTTTTCCATGTATATTGAATTATTATTATTATTTTTCATTGTTTCAGGCAAGTTGATACATGGATTTCCTATTATTCCATCTGGTAATAGATCTCTTCAGGCTAAGGAACTTCCTTTAGTTTTTCTTTTTTTAACTTTTATTCAGGGGTACACGTGCAGATTGATTCTACAGATTGCATGTTACAGGAGTTGGGAGAACATATTTTGTTACCTGGATAATATGTCTCTCTAATTTTTATTACAAATTGTATTTTTACCCTTAGTTTCGAAAGATAGTTTCTTAGTTGTAAAATTCACTTTTATGTCTAGTAAACCATTGCTCCATTCTCTTCCAGCATTTATTGTTTCTGATGAGAAGAGAGCTTCTAGTTATATAGATCCCTCCACCCTGCCTGTAATGTGATGGGCTTTTACATTTGTTTCCTGTATAGCTATGAGAGTTTCTATTTATTAAAACTCATTTACCTTTATTTTAAACTCATAGAGAAGTTCTCAAAGCTATACAGGAAATAAATAGCAGTTTGACTCTGTAGTGCCTAAAAGTGGAGTTCTTTGTATATATTGTGTGGAATGTTTGTCAGGTATCTTTGACCTGCTCATTTATGTCATTCATTAAATCCACTGCTTTTAACCATTTATTGTTTTATGCATGATTGACTGACCTCTCCTTTTGATTATCAAATAAACATGTGTCACACCAATTTATATTGGTCCACAGATCAAACGAAGCTCTCTTTATTTTTTTAATTGAGTTGAAATTCACATTAATTAAAATTCACCATTTTAATGTGAACAATTTAATAGCATTTAGTACAATCACAATGTTTTGCAAACACCTCTACCAAATTCCAAAACATTTTATCACTTCAAAAAGGAAACCCCGTACTTATTAAAAAGTTACGCCTCATTCATGTCTACCATTACCCCCTGGCAACTATCACTATGCTTTCTATCTTTATGGATTTATTTATTCTGGATATTTCATATAAAATAAAACAATATGTATTATTTTGTATCTGGCTTTTTTCACTTAGCATAATGTTTTTGAGATTCATCTATGATGTAGCATGTATCAGTGCTACATTCTTTCTTATGGCTGAATAATATCCCATTTTATATATATATACAATTTGTTTATCCATGGACATTTGGTTATTTCCATATTTTGGCTATTGTGAATACTGTTGCTGTGAACATTCATGAAAAGTATATACTTAAGTGCCCATTTAGAGTTCTTTTGGGTACATACCAAGAGTGGAATTACAGGGTCATTCCACTTTATTTTCCACTTATTCTGTGTTTAACTTTTTGAGTATAAGCCAAACCATTTTTCACAAGACATATACCATTTTACAATCCCATTAGTGATGTATGAGAGTACCTGTTTCTTCACATCCTGGCCAACACTTGCTATTTTCCTTTTTAAAAAAAAAAAAAAAAAGTTTAACCATTCTAGTATATGTGAAATAGTGTCTCATTCAGTTTTTATTTGTATTTCCTGAATGATGTAATGATGTTGAGCATTTTTTCCTGTTTGCTTGGTGGCCATTTGTGTATCTTTTTTGGAGAAATGTCTACGTAAATCCTCTGCCAGTGTTTCTACTTGGGATTTTGTTTGTTTTTGAGTAGTAAGGGCTCTTTAGATAGTCTATATATTAGATTCTCAGCAAATATATGCTTTGCAAATATTTTTACCTGTTCTCTGCTTTTCTTTTCACATCCATAATATTGTCCATTTCATCCCAGTTTTAAAATGAAGTCCAGTTTATATTTATTTTTTATTGCTTATGCTTTTGGTGTCATATCTAAGAAACCATTGCAAAATCTAAAATCATGAAGACTTACCCCTATATCTTTTTCAAAGTGGTCATCAATGCATTTTGAACTAATTTTTATAAATTGTGTGTTGTAGGAGTTCAACTGTATTATTTGACATGTGGCTATCTAGTTGTTACAGAATAATTTGCTGAAGAAACTGTTCTTTCCACATTTCATTGTTTTGGTATCCTTGTTGAAAAATCAGTTGTCTTAGATGTATGAGTTATTTATGTGCACTATTCTGTTTCATTGGTGGTAGGCATTTCCTTATGTTAGTACCACACTGTTTTGATTATTGTAGCTTTGTAGTAAGTTTTGAAATTTGGCATCGCAACTGGAAGCTTTGTTCATTTTTTTAAATATGTTTTGAGTATTTTGGACCCCTTGCAATTATATTTGTTTCTTCTTAGGAAAGTTTTACCTGTCTCATAGGCATGAAAAAATCTCTAATATTTTATTTCAATAATTTCATAATTTTGTTTCTTTACCCTCAGGTCTATGAAGTAGGGGTATATACCATATTAATTTGTGTATTTATATGTGTACATATAAATAGACATACACATATATTAACACATATAAAATACATATATACACGTCTTTTAAAGAATTATGATTTTTATTTTACTGATCTATAATTATTACTAAAACTTACAAAAATGTCTTAAGTATAGAGATCATTGTTTTTATTTTTGTTAAAAGCTGCCAATTTTAAAACGGTTTGTCCAGTCGCATAAAATAAAATTGTCATGGTTGAGATTTTGTGATTGCTTTGCATATGTATATATTAATTTGTCTTAAACTTATATTTTTGTGTTAACAGCATACAGCTGGATTTTTAAATATCAAGACTGAGAATCTATCCAGTCAAGACTGAGAATTTATCTAATTATAAATATACCCAGTTATAGTTATTTTAACCTATTCATATTATTGTAGACCACATGTGTGAAATTTGTTTCTACTTTTGTGATTATAACACTATTAAAACTTCTAAATTTTTGTATAATTTTCCATTATGTGAATATATCAGGGTGCACATCTGTTTTATTGTTGGTTGAAATTGATTGTTCTCAGTTTTTTGCTATGACACACAGTGCCATAATGAATATTTTTGTTTATATATTCTGTTCAAGATTCTTAAAGGTCTTTATCTAATATTGGGTCACAAGATATGCAGTTAATTAAAATATATCAGACTATTTTTCACAGTTGGTTTTATTAATACATTTCCAACAGTAGGGTGGAAGAAACTCTGTTATTCCATATCTATGTGAATTCTTGGCATAATCAAATTGTAGATATTAGCTAATTTAAATATATGAATGTGTATATATCACTTTTTATTATGGTAAAATGTACATAACATAAAATTTAACATTTTAAGTGTATTTAAATGTATAATTTAAATACACAGTGGCATTAACTTCAGTCCCACTGTTGTGAAATCATCATCACCATCCATCTCTAGAATTTTTTTCAACTTCTAGACTGAAATTGTATACCCATTAAATAATAACTCCCCATTCCCTTCTCCCTCCAACACCTGAAAACCACCATTCTACATTTTTTCTCTATAAATGTGACTACTCTAGATACCTCATATAAGTGGAATCATATAGTATTTGTCTTTTTATGACTGGCTTATTTCACTTAGCACAATATTTTTAAGATTCATCCATGTTATAGCATGTGTCAGAATTTCCTTTTTAAGGCTGAATAACATTCTATTGTACCTATACACACATTTTGTTTTTCATTTATTCACTGATGGGCATTGGGCTACATCCAGCTGTTGGCTATTGTGAATAATGCTGCATTAAACACAGGTAAGCAAATACCTGCAAGATCCTGCTTTCAGTTATTTTAGATATATACTATATTAGGCTGCCATAATAAAATTTCATAGAATGGGTGGCTTAAACAACAGAAATTTATTTTCTTACAATTCTGGATGCTAGAAGTCCAAGATCAGTTTCTGGAGAGGGCTCTCTTCTTGATTTCAGACAGCCACCTTCTGGTATTGTCCTTACATGGCTTTTCCTTGGTGCATATTCATGGAGAAAGAGGTAGCAGTGTTTCTGGTCTGTTTTCTTATAAGGAGATTAATCTTATCAGATAAGGGCCCTGCCTTTATTACCTCATTTAAATTTATCTCCTTAGGGGCCTTATCTCCAACATTGCCTCATTGGAGATTAGGGCTTTAATATATCAATTTGGAGGGACACAAACGTTAAGTCCATAATGCATACAAATGTCTCTTTGAGACACTTCTTTCAATTCTTTTGAGCATATACCCAGAAATGGGATTGCTGATTCATATGGCAATTCTATTTTAATTTCTTGAAGAGCCACCATACTGATTTTCCATAGCCACTATACCATTTTACATTCCCATCAGCAATGCACAAGGCTCACAATTTCTCCATGTCCTCACCAACACTAGTTATTTTCCATTTTCTTGATACTTGTCGTCTCATTGTGTTTGAAGTGGTATCTCATTATGGTTTTGAGTTGCATTTCCCTAATGGTTAGTAGTGTTGAGCATCTGTTTATATACTTATTGACCATTTGTGTATCTTCTTTGGAGAAACACCTATGCAAGTCTTCTTCCCATTTTTTAATTGGGTTGTTTGTTGAATTATAGGAGTTTAAAATTCAAAAAAAAAATGTTAACCACTTATCAGACATGTGATTTGCAAATATTTTCTCCTATATTGTGGGTTGCCTTTTCACTATATTTGATAATGTCCTTTGATACACAAAAGGTTTTATTTTTATAGAACCCAATCTTTATTTCTTGTGCTTTTGGTATCACGTAAAAGAAATCAAAACAGGGAGAAGGCAGAGTAAGATGGCCAAATAGAACCCTCCAGTGATTATCCCTCCTGCTGGAACACCAAATTGAACAACTGTCCACACAAAAAAGCACCTTCATAAGAATCAAGCATTAGCTTGGATACCAGCTTTGTGGAGTAGAGCAACAAGTGGGCTCCTGGAGTCTTCAGTTCCAGGCCATCGCTCCTGGATAGGATTTCTGGACCTTCTCTGAGCTAGGGGGTAGCCCACTGCCTTGAAAGGAGAGACTCAGAACTGGCAGCATTCACCACAAGCTGACTGAAGGGCCTTTGGGCCTCGAGTGAACATTGGTGGTAGCCAGGCAATACTTGCTGCAGGCCTGGGGCAATGATGGTCATAGAGAGAGACTACTATGCTTGAGAATAGGGGAGTGAAGAGTGGGAAAGACTTTGTCTTGAAGCTTTGGTGCCAGTTCTGCTGCTGTAGAATAGAGGACCAGGTAGATTCCAGTCCTTGGTTCCCAGATGGCATCTCTGAACACAGTTAGGGCTGGAAGAAACTTACCAACAGGAAGTGAAGGATATGAGCCTGGCTGGACTCACTACCTGCTTATTGTAGAGCCCTTGGGTCTTCAGTGAACATAAGCGGTAGTTAGGCAGTGGTGACTATGAGCCTTGGGTGAAACCCAATGCTATGCTGGCTTCAGGTCTGACCCAGTGCAGTCACAGGTGGTGGTTGCCACAGGGTGCCTGATTCACCCCTCCTCTTGTTCCAGTCAGCTCAGCACACACAGAGAGACTCTGTTTGTTTGCAGGAAAATAAGAGAAGAGAACAAGAGTCTCTGCCTGGTAATCCAGGGAATTCTTCTGAATCTTACCCAAAACCTCCAAGGCAGTGCATCTGCAAGTCTGCAGGAGCCACAGTGTTACTAGGCTTGGAGAGCCCCCTAATGCAGATATAGCTGCAGTGACCAAAGACTTCAATCACAACACTGAAGTCTCTTTGAATACCTAGAAGGCCTTCCCAGGGAGGATGGGTACATAAAAGCCCAGACTGCGAAGACCACAATAAATACCTGACTCTTCAATGCCAAGACATCAACAAACATCCACAAGCATCAAGATCATCCAGGAAAACATGACCTCATCAAATGAACTAAATAGGGCACCGGTGATCAATCTTGGGAAACAGATGTGTAACCTTTCAGATGGAGAATTCATAATAGCTATTTTGAGGAAGCTTAACAGAATTCAAGATAACACAGAGAAGGAATTCAGAATCCTGTCAGATAAATTTAACAAAGAAATTGAAATAATTAAAAAGCATCAAGCAGAAGTTCTGGAGCTGAAAAATGCAATTGATATATTGAAGAATGCATCAGAGACTCTTAACAGCAGAATTTATCAGGCAAAATAAAGAATTAGTGAGCTTCAAGGTAGGCTATTTGGAAATACACAGTCAGAAAAGACAAAAGACAAAAAGATGAAGCATGTCTAGAAGATCTAGAAAATAGCCTCTAAAGGGCAAATCTAAGAGTTATTGGCCTTAAGGAGAAGGGAGAGTGAGAGGTTGGGGTACAAAGGTTATTCAAAGGGATGGTAACAGAGAAGTTTCCAAACCTAGAAAAAGGTATCAGTATTCAAGGACAAGAAAGGTATAGAACACCAAGCAACTTTAACCCAGGTGAGACTACCTCAAGACATTTAATAGTCAACCTCCCAAAGGTCAAGGATAAAGAATGGATCCTAAAAGCAGCAAAAGAAAAGAAACAACATACAATGGAGCTCCAGTACATTTGTGAGCAGACTTCTCAGTGGAAACCTTATAGGCCAGGAGAGAGTGGTATGACATATTTAAATTGCTGAAGGAAAAAAAAGAAAAAATTTGTATCCTAGAATAGTATATCTGGCAAAAATATTCTTCAAACATGGAGAAGAAATAAAGACTTCCCCAGAAAAACAAAAGCTGAGGGATTTCATCACCACCAGACCTTGCCTATAAGAAATGCTAAGGAGAGTTCTTCAATCTGAAGGAAAGGGATGTTAATGAACAATAAGAAATCATCTGAAGTAAATACACAAAAAAACACAGAATATTATAATACTGCAATAGTGGTGTATAAACACTCATATCTCGAGTAGAAAGACTGAAAGATGAACCTATAAAAATAATAACTACAACAACTTTTCACAACACTGTATACTAAGATATAAATAGAAACAACAAAAAGCTAAAAAGGGGGGGATGAAGTTAAACTGTAGAGTTTTTTACTAGTTTTCTCTTTGCTTGTTTGTTTATGCAATCAGCATTAAGTTGTTGTCAGTTTAAAATAACAGGTTACGTGATATTATTTGCAAGGCTATGGTAACCACAAATCAAAAAACACAACGGATATGTACATATACCACCAGAGAAAATCACCTTCACTAAAAGGAATACAGGAAGAAAAGAAAGAAGGAAAAGACCACAAAACAACCAGAAAACAAGTGACAAAATGGCAAAAGTAATTCCTTATGAGTAATAACATGGAATATAAATGCACTAAACTCTCCAGTAAAGAGACAAAGAGAGCTGAATGGATAAAAACACAAGACCCAACAATCTGTTGCCTACATGAAACACACTACACCCAGACGGACACACACATAGGCTGAAAATAAAGAGTTAAAAAAAGTTCCATGCAAAACCAGAAAAGAGCAGGAGTAGCTATACTTATATCAGGAAAAAAAAAATAGATTTCAAGACAAAAAGCATAAAAACAGACAAGGTCATTGAATAAAGAAATCAATTCAGCAAGAGGATATAATAATTCTTAATATATATGAATCTAACACAGGAGCATCCAGATATATAAAGCACATATTATTAGAGCTAAAGAGAGAGACCCCTATACAATAATAGCTGGAGACTTTAACACCCTACTTTCAGTGCAGCATTGGACAAATTATCCAGACAGAAAATCAACAAAGAAATATCAGGCTTAATCTCTACTATACAACAAATGAACCTAATAGCCATATTCACAGAACATTTCATCCCACAGTTGCAGAATACACATTCTTCTCCTCAGCTCATGGATAATCCTCAAAGATAGGCCATATGTTAGGCCACAAATCAAATCTTTAAAAAGTCAAAAAATTGAAATTATATCAAGTATCTTCTCTGACCACAATGGAATAAAACTAGAAATGAATAACAAGAGGAATTTTGAAACTATATGAACACCTGGAAATTAAACAATATGCTCCTGAATGACCAGTGGCTCAATGAAGAAATTAAGAAGGAAATTTTAAAATGTCTTGAAACAAATGAAAATGGAAACCTGATGTACCTAAACCTGTGGGATACAGCAAAAGCAGTACAGGGAAGTTTATTGCAATAGGCACCTACATCAACAAAAGCAGAAAAACTTCAAATTAGCAACCTATTGATACATCTTAAAGAACTAGAAAAACAAGGGCAAACCAAACCCCAAATTAGTAGAAGGAATAAAGATCAGAGCAGAAATAAATGAAATAAAAAAAATACAAAAATCAATGAAATGAAAAGTTATTTTTAAAAAAGATAAACAAAATCAACAAACCTTTAGCCAGACTAAGAAAAAAAGAAGATAAAATAAATGAAAATAAAATCAGATAAAACAGTAGACATTGCGTCTGCTGCCATGGAAATTCAAAGGATCATTAGAGGCTTCTAGGAGCAACTATATGCCAATAAATTGGAAAACCTAGAAGACATTCCCAGACAGATACAGCCTACCAAGATTGAACTATGAAAAAATCTAACAACTGAGGAGACCAATAACAACTACTGAGATTGAAGCTGTAATAAAACAGGTCACTTCAGCCAGGCCTGGGAAGTTCTGAATTCATTTACCCAACATAAGCTGGACTTAGCACTTCAGTTCCCATCTCATCGCCAAGATGGTAAAGCCCAAGTACAAAAGGACAGTGCATCATCAACCTCTTCGATGCCAGCACAAACCCAGACTGAGAGCAGGAAGCAGGAGGTCAAAACATGAGGGACCAGGCCACAGTCTCAGGCCTGAATATGTACAGGCAAAAGAAATACAAGAACAGCTGTGGTAAGATCATTAAGCCCCTGGAATATCAATCAAAGGTGGCTTCTGGCACAGTGGCAAAAGTGCAGCCAAATATCAAATAGTTTGAAAATGCACATGTGATTAAGCAGTCATGATTACAAAAACTTCAAGAGGAAGTGGATACAGTTATGAAGGATTCATACACAGTTGTCATGAAACAAAGCAAGTTACCAATGTCTCTTCTCTAAGATTGAATCCAGCCTCAACTCAAAGGTGCACGTTCCTGATACTGAAAGTTTTAAAACTACATTTGGCCCTATGTCACAAAGGAAGCAACCAAATTTATTTGCAAGTGATATGCAGTCTTTTCTAGAAAATGCTGAAATGTCCACTGAGAGCTAGACCAGTTTCTAGAAAAGATCATGAGTCAGTAACTGAAGACACTGGTGGGATAAATGAAGCACAAGAAGAGACATGTAAAAAGGGACAGTCCAAAGGAATATAGGATGAGCTCTCCAGGGTTATAGATTCACCAGATGTTGTAGTTCTGGTTGCTGGCTAGAGATCCAATGGGTACCCGTTCCCGTCACATTGAGCCTTGAGCCATACTTGAAAAAGAATAAACCCTGGGAACACGTTATGTTTGTACATAACAAATGTGACCTTGTTGCAACCTGGGCAACAAAATGATGGGTTGCTGTCCTCTCCTTGGATTAGCCAACACTTGCTTTCCATGCAAGTCTTACTGACCCCTTTCGCAAAGGAGCATTTATTCAGCTTCTGTGGCAGTTTGGAAAGTTGTACACTGACAAGAAACAGATGAGTGTTGGGTTCATTGGCTATCTAAATGTTGGCAAGAGGTCTGTGATATAAACATAGTGTTCCAAGAAAGTTTGCAATGTGGTCCCCATTGTAGATGAAATATCTGGAAATACATTACCTTGATATGTTGGTTATGCTTCATTGACTGTTCAGGTTTGGTATACTCTTCTGAGGACTTGAAGACAGACATTGTGCTAAAAGGAGTTAAGTAGGAAAAATTAAGACCCCTGAAGACTGCATTGATGTTGTACTTGAACAAGTAAAGCCAGAATATATCAGCAAGACATAAAAGATTAATTCTTGGGAGAATGCTGAGGACTTTATTGAGAAGCTAACTTTCTGGACTGGGAAGTTACTAAAGGGTGGAGTAACTTACTGACTTACTGACTGTGGGTGGATAGTCCTCAATGACTGGCTGAGAGGGCTGGATTCCTTTCTTTGTCAAGCTGCTTAATGGAGAGTCACCTGTGGCCCCCCAGCTTTCACCCTCCTAATCCGTGGAAGTTGCCACAGAAGCAACCCAGAACAATCCAGAAGAGGAAGTGACAGAATGAATACCAAAACTGTAGGTGAAGTGACAGAATCTGTGATTGAAAAAGAAAAAGAAGAGAATAGTCACTGGATGCTAACTCAGAGATGCAACCAATTCTTGTGCATGGGTTCAGCAAAACTTTGGCAAACTCAGTGTGGTGCCTCAGTCTTCTGGGGATGACCTCGCTCCTGTGGATATGTCATATCTGGAGAAAGAGCTTGAGAGCTTTTCTATTGAAGAAGGGGAGCAGAAGCAAGAGATGATGAAGAGTCTTACTAGGAATCTGAGGAAGAACATATGGAAAAATCACACCAAAGCCATTATTAAAGCTCTAGATGAGAATATTGCTAAATATCAGAAGTTTTTAGACAAAGCTAAAGCTAAAAAGTTTTCAGGAGTCAGAATATCCAAGGTACTAAGTGAAAAGATATTTGAAAAACATGAAGAGCAGAGAAAAATATCTGAAGAAGATGCAGATGCTACACAGCATTTACCAAAAAAGGAAATAAGCAGAACACAGAGGGAAGAGGAATATTCAAGTAAAACTTGCAGGATGCTTACATCTAAGGAATGGAAGTGAGCAGTACAGCAGCAACAATCCAAAAAAATTTGTGTGCACTACTATGAAACACACAATGTGAAAAATACAAGCGGGAACAAAAAGAAGACCAATGACTCAGAGGGACTGAAGCAGAAACACAAAAATTCAGATATTAGCAGTAACGTTTAAAAGGTTGTGTATTATACAAAAATATGCAAAAAAAGAGAAATCATTGTAAAATGCAGTATCCTGAAGCTTTTCCCCAGTGTCATCTTCTAAATGTTCTACAGTTTTAGCTCTTAAGTCCTTGATTCATTTTGAGTTAATTTTTGTATATGGTCTAAGAATCCAACTTCATTTAGTTGTCTGTGTATATCCAGTTTTCCCAATACCATTGGGTGAAAAAAATTGTTCTTTCCCCATTGAATGATCTTGGCATCCTTTGTGAAAATCATTTGTCCCTGTATGCAAGGATTTATTACTGGGCTTTCTATTCTGTTCCATTAGTCTGTATGTCTGTCTTTTTGGCAGCACCACACTGTTTTGATTATTGCAGCTTTGTAGTAAGTTTTAAAATCAGGAAATGTGAGACTTTCAACTTTGTTTTTCTTTTTCAATATTTTGGCTATTTGGAGTCTCTTGAGAAAGATTTTTGTTTTTCACAAAAAAAAATGTTATTGGGATTTTGATAGAGATTGCATTGAATCAATAGCTTTGTGTGGTGTTAACACTTTAATATTGTGTTCCAACCCATGAACATGATATGTCTTTCTATTTATTTGTGTCTTCTTGAATTTTTTTCAACAATTTTTGGTAATTTATAGTATACATTATTCCACCACCTTGGTTGAGTTTATGCCTAAATATTATTTGATTGTATTTTAAATGGAACTATTTTCCTAATTTCCCTTTTGGATTGTTTATTGTTAATGTACACAAACATAACTGATTTTTGTGTATCAATTTTGTATCCTACTACTTTGCTGAATTTATCAGATCTAACACTTTTCCCATCTCTCAGTGAAAATCTGAGTTGTTTCCACCTTTTGGCCATTGTGAATAATGTGACAATGGACATGGGTGCATGGATATGCAATACTTCCTAGAGATCCTGCTTTCAATACTTTTGGATATATACCCAAAAGCAGGATTAACTGATCACATGGTAATTCTATTTTTAATTTTTTGAGGAAGCTCTGTATTGTTTTTCATAGTAGCTTCACCATTTTACATTTCCACCAAGTATGATTTCAATTTCTCCACATCATGACCAATAAATATTTTCTGTTTTTTAAATAGTGTCTGTGCTAATGGTTGTGAGCTGATATCTCATTGTAGCTTTGATTTGTTTTTCTCTTACGCTTAGTGATGTGGAACATCTTTTCTTATGCTTGGTCCTGAGCATGTGCTTTTTTTCTGAATCCTCTGTATACATGGCTGCTTTTAGATATCTTCTTCTCTAAGAGGCTCACTCCTGCTGCTTCTCTGGGCTTTACATGTTATGTTATATTTTTCAGGAAATCTCTTGCCCCACCTATGTTCCCCTTTGTTGTCTCCTTGTGGTTTTCAGGAACTGCACCCATCACAAACCAATCCCACAGGCATGGGACTCTCATACAGGTCAGAAGGTCATAAATTTAGTCTGCTCTGTTCTCTCAGTTGTGTAGGATGGAATCTTCCAGAGCTGCATGGGGAAGGAGGTGGGACAGTGGTGAGTAAAAATGCCACAATTTTTTTTTTTTAATCATTTCAAACACAGCTTTTTTTTTTTTGGATTCAGAACTTAATTGCTGTAGACCTATGGCTGGTTTCCATAGCTCTTGTAAAGTTATTTTAGCCAGTCTCTAGTTACTTATTTAATGTTTTCATGGGGGAATGAGGGCCTGGAGCTTCCTAGTTCACTGGAAGTTCTTGCATCTCACTCTCAATGTATTACATTCTGATGTCTATCTGGATTTCCTAGATCTAATTTGAGTACTCTTTTGTTGGCTCAACAAAAAAAGCCATTAGTTCACCATTTGTATTTTCTCCTTGGTGCCTACTTTTAAATTAGTTTTTATTTGTTTTTCTAATTGATTTATATGAGTTAATTATATATTCTGAATAATATTCTTCTGTTGATTATATAGCTACAATTTTTTTCCGAATTTTATTCCTTGACTGTCGTTAACAAAAGACCATGAGATCTGCAAAGGCCAAAAGGAAAGCTTATATTTTCTGAGAAGCAATGGATAGAATTGGGAGACACAGCCTTTGGTATAACTGAAGGTGCACTGCAGAGAACAAAGAGAGGGTTTGGCTTTCATAAAGTTCCTACCCATGTTCCCAATCATGTCTGTTTATGAAAAGGAGGGATTCAAACTTGTTCGGTTCCTGTTGGTTGATGTAGCCAAGCTCTGATTGGTTGAGGCAACAGAGTGATTGGGTTGCCTACAAGTTTGAGACCACAAATCCCTTTTCATTGAAGATTTTCAGATGGTCAGTTATGGAATGTTCAGTTTTTGGTTATAGGAGATACTCCAGCTTGGAGTTGTACAGGCAGAAAGTTTGTTGTCAAAGGCTGTATTTTCTTCAGAGAAACACAAAGTATGTGACCACTCACCAGCCTCTCACCTCACTATGAATGCCTACTTCTCTTTTCAAATTTGAAGCATCTCTGTTAGCCTCAGGGAGTCCATCTTGCTTGGAGAGTCTTTCCACAGTTTTATTTTACACAATCGTTACTTTTATGATTTTTAAAATTAATTTCTTAATTTTAATATTAAATGTTTTACATTATGGTTAGTGCATTTTCCTTTTTAAGAAATTATTTCCTATCCAAAGTTCATAACTTTTTTTTGTACTTTATCATGTTTTTTATGTCAATACTGATTAGTCACAAATCCTTCTTTGTCTCTTTGTTTAAAGAGTTGGCTAATTTTGTACTTTAAATTTAAATAACATTTTAACATTTTTCCCCAGTTCTACTTAACAGAGAAAAAATATTTTAGTATGTATACTAGGAAGGAGTGCTACACATAGGAACTATATGATGTTACACATGTCATACTGTGACGGTTTATTAATTCTAAGAATAGTAACTAGAAAGTCATATTTATTTAAGCTTGTATTTAGATGATTTTATGCTGGTGTCATTTCTATTTTTGATAATCAATATAAAGCATATGTGTAAAGACTGCATGCAGATTTCTCTTCTGCATGTGTAATGATTTAACACTTTTAGTATCTTTGCTCAACATTTCCATATTTGTTCTTCAATAAATATTAAGGTGTGCTTTGAGAGAAAATGTGCCATAATCAACACACTTTTGAGAAACATCATTGGAAGCTTACTGTGTACATTACCAATTCAAATACTGTTGTTATCACTGGAGGAAATAAATCTACTTTGTTTAATTAAACTTTTTTCCATCTGAAACATTATTCTCCCAAATAAAACATCTATTAAAACTGAGGAACTCTTTGGAACATAGAATGGCAAATATTTCCTCTAAAAAATGGTAAAATATTTCCCAATTTGGAAAAATACATTTTAAAAGTAAATGATATAAAATTTAAAATATAGTGTGAACTAGATCCAAATATTAACTTGTATCATTGAATCATGATGCTAGAAAAAGAATTTTCTTTGATGGCCCATAATAAACATTCCATAGATGTGCTATTAACATATTCTGAGATCCTTGGGCAACCACATTTGCAACAGGAAAAAGAGGAACAGAATAATCAAAGACCCCAGCCCAATTATGAGGCTTGATGGCACCACCTGATAGCCATCCCCTTATCCACAATAGAACAGGTTGGTAGAGGCAGTGTTCCTGAGTGCATAAAGTTAAGCATTTATTGAGTGCCTATGATACACTGTGTGATTTTTTAATACATTAATGTTATGAAATTGGTTATTATTGTATTGCACCTGTTTTACAAAATAAGGATAGTGGAACTAAGAGAGTTGACTGTTTTACCTAAGTTACCAAAGATAATCTGTGACAGAGATGGTATCTGACCTTGGTTTCTTTCTATTCTGTCAGGCAGTAGTAGATGTCATCATTTAATCAAATTCATGATTTCATTATCCTCATATTAGGGATGATCAAACTGAATTAAATTAGATTAATATTTTCAAAATTGCACATTTAGCAAGTGGTAGAAATAGGACTTGAAATCAGGAGATTATTAGAAAAAAATGCAGTCTCTTTCCACCTAAAATACACAGTTATGGCCATGTGTGAAGCACATTTGGTTCTTCCTGTAGTGTTGACCTCTTGTGGCTTCTGCTATATAACTTAAAGCAGGGGTCCCCAACCCCCAGGCCAGGGAACAGTACTGGTCTATGTCCTGTTAGGAACCAGACTGCAAAATAGAAGGTGAGTGGCGGGCAAGTGAGCATTATGGCCTGAGCTCTGCTTCCTGTCAGGTCATCAATGGCATTAGATTCTCATAGGAGTACCAACCCTATTGTCAACTGTGCATGCATGCAAGGGATCCAGGTTTCACGCTCCTTACAGGAATCTCAGAGTAAATAATTAAAACTTTCAGTGTATGATTCCACTTACACGAGGTATGTAGATTAGTGAAACTCATGGAAACCAAAGGTAGAATGGTGGTTGCCAACAGCTGGGGAAACAGGGAAATGGGTATAGAGTTGCAGTTTTGCAAGATGAAAAAGTTCTGCAGATTTGTTGCACAACAGTGTGAATATGCTTAATACTACTGAACTATACACTTAAAAGAATTGAGATTGGAAATTTTATATTATGTGTATTAGGAAAATACTACTTATTAACTTACTCTTTTTTCACAGTGATCTGCAGCCCTGGATCATATAACCCCCGTGATGGAATTCATTGCCTTCAATGCAATAGCAGCCTGGTGTATGGAGCAAAAACGTGCTTATAAGCCATTATCTTCAGTTATTCAGTGGTTTATTAAATGCAAAGTATATATTTGAAATATTAACATAATAAATTATTATGCCAAAATTAATCATATTTTACAAAAAAATGTGTCATCATTTTAATCAAATACTGTATGTCCAAATGTTTTATGAGGATGAAAATCCTCTAGTCTTTATCCATTAATGCCAAACCTACATATGATTCTAAAATATTTCTAGTATCACTGCATTTTAAAAATAGTTTCAAATATACTGTTTTCAGGTTAGCCCAAAAGATTTTCCAGGATTTTTCAGAAATATTCTGTTTTATCTTTACTA